>NC_000007.14:67052233-67355263 GCF_000001405.40 Homo sapiens
ATATTCTCCTCCCCACCCACCCACTTGCTTCCTAGAAGACTACAGTTATATATGTAATAATCTGCTTGAATTTGACCCACAACTCACTCATGTTCTATTCATTTAAAAAAAGTTCTTTCTTCTGTCTCACTTTTCATTTTGGTTAGTTTCTATTGCTATGTTTTCAAGTTCAATAATCTTTCTTCTGTAATGTCTCATGTTCCGTTAATCCTATGTAATATGTTTTTCAACTTAGACATTGTAGTTTTCATTTCTAGAAGTTCAGTTTGGGTCTTTTTATATTTTCCACATCTATTACCTTTTTGAGCCTATAGAAAACAGTTATAACTGTTTTAATGTCCTAATCTGCTAATGTCTTTGTCATTTCTGGATCAGCTTTGGTTGATGGATTTTTTCCCTCATTCGTCATGTTTTCCTGTCTGTTTGCATACTTCATATCTTTGATTGGATGTCAGACCTAATTTTACCTTATTAGGTACTGGGTATTTTTATTTTTATTATTTATTTATTTATTTTGAGACGGAGTCTCACTCTGTTGCCCAGGCCGGAGTGCAGTGGCGTGATCTTGGCTCACTGCAACCTCTGCCTCCCGGGTTCAAGCGATTCTCCTGCCTCAAGTGATTCACCTGCCTCAGCCTCCTGAGTAATTGCGTGCCCACTACCACGCCTGGCTAATTTTTTGTATTTTTAGTAGAGACGGGGTTTTACCGTGTTAGCCAGGATGGTCTCGATCTCCTGACCTCCTGATCTGCCCACCTTGGCCTCCCAAACTGTTGGGATTACAGGCTTGAGCCACGGTGCCTGGCCTGGATATTTTTATATAAACACTCTTATAAACAGTTTTAAGCTTTTTTTTTTTTTTTTTTTTCCTGGGACAAGGTTAAGTTACTTGGAAATAATATGAGCTTTATATCTTACTTTTATGGCTTCTTAGATGAGACAAGAGCTGGCTCAATATGGGGCTAATTATTCTTCACTGTTGAGGCAAAACACTTCTATTTGTAGTCTACCTAATGACTTGTGCATCTTTAGATTTCTAGTCTGACTGGCAGAAGCAGGTACAATTCTCAGCCTGCTGTAAGCATCAGGCATTGCCCCCAGTCCTTCCCTTCCTCTCTCCCTCTTTTCATTTGGGATAGTTTGTTTCTTTTTTTTTTTTTTTTGAGATGGAGTTTCACTCTTGTTGCCCAGTCTGGGGTGCAGTGGTGTGATCTTGGCTCACCACATCCTCCTCCTCCTGAGTTCAAGCGATTCTCCTGCCTCAGCCTCCCGAGTAGCTGGGATTACATGCATACGCCACCACGCCTGGCTAATTTTTATATTTTTAGTAGAGACAGGGTTTCACCATGTTGATCAGACTGTTCTCAAACTCCTGACCTCAGGTGATCCACCCGCCTTGGCCTCCCAAAGTGCTGGGATTTACAGGTGTGAGCCACCATGCCCATCCCATTTGGGATAGTTTCTATCACTGTGTCTTCAAGTTCAGTAATTGTTTCTTCTCTAAATGTCTAGTCTTCCAAAAATGGTTCTTTCCCATCCTTGGGTAGTGTTTCTCTTGTGAATGTGCTGAACAGTACTTGGGCAAATACTTGAGAGAAATCCCCTGTAGACTCTTGGAGTCTCTTTGTAGGTTTCATCTCTCTAGCTTTCAATCCTGCAAACTGTAGCCACCTTTGTCTCCCCAGGCTCTGTTGCATTTTCCAAACTCAAGAGTCCACTGGGCTTCGCTTGGGTAGTCTCTCTTTGCTACATGGCCTGGAAGGTTTCTAGACAGTAAGCCAAGGTAATGGGAGGGCTCACCTTAATTGTTTCCTATCTCTATGGGATCACCATCCTTTGTTGCCTGATGTCTCATGTTCTGAAATCTGTTGTTTCATATATTTTGTCCATTTTTTGGTATTTCAAGTAGGATTGTAAATCCTCTTTGTTATTCCATCTTGGCTAGAAGCAGAATTCCACACTATTATTTTCAGCAACTGTACACTGTTGGCTTATATTTGTGCTGTGGTCAACTACAGATCTCTTCATTCTGTAATGTACAGTTTTTTTTCTTTACCTAAATGCAAAATTTATAGAAACCTATGTATCTTGGGAGAGAAAAATATAAAGAGTTAATATAATAGAGGATGATTTCTATGATAGTATGAACAGTATAATATGGAATTCCAAGAGAAGAACTAGAATTTCCTCTGGGGATCTTTTAAATGCATATTTGGTATCAGAGATGAGTTACTCAATTGGACTCAGTTCCACCTTGGAGTACATAAGCAGTCCTTTGTTTATTTATATGCAAGATGTTTACATAAATACAGAAGAGGATACAAGACAAAGCCCTGTAAATGTTACCACTGGAAACTTGTAATCAAAATTGACATTGCTCCAATAATCATCACAGTATGAATATGGTTGTTTAACCAGCCACTGATCCACTTATGCTGTCATCCAGACTGTATTTCTCCATTTGCCTTATTTGCCTGCAAGAGTCTTTTTGTGAGAGCGACTCATGATAATTGTGGCTTATTACCTGAAGCCTCATGAGAAACGGTATTGAATGCTTTCTGAAATCAGAATGTACTACTTGTTTGTACTACTAGTTTGTTTAAAAAGGAAATGAGATTACTTTGGCCTGGCTTTTTCCATGCTTTTCATGTCCTATGTAGCTCAAAAATTTGAAATGACAGGTTATAGTGCTACTGAGAATTCACGTTTAAGATGTAGTTCCTAGAATTTGATTTTTCTCTCTTTGGGTCAGCATTACTTTGTTTTAATCTCCCATTGACATCTGGTTCTTCATCTTCTTTCAAAGATTACTGATGATAGCTCCCCGTTCATTTGAAATATATCATTACTTTTGTTTTATGGCCCAGCATACCGTTCATTTTTATAAATGTTTCACTGGTCCATGAAAGAATGTAAATTCTATAGTTGATGAGTGCAGGGCTCTGTATGTTTTTGGTCAAGTTTATGTGTTGTGTTGCTTACATCTTTTAGAGCTTTACCGAGTTTTTACCTATGAGATCTGTTAGAGACAGAGAGGTTAAAATCTCCTCGTATAATTTTTGGATTAATTTATTGTTTCATGATTGGGTGTGGTGGCTCACGCTTGTAATCCCAGCACTTTGGGAGGCGGAGGTAGATGGATCACTTGAGGACAGGAGTTCGAGACCAGCCTGGCCAACATGGTGATACCCCATTCCTACTGAAAATACAAAAAAATCAGCCTGGCAGGGTGAAGCACAACTGTAGTCCCAATTACGCGGGAGTCTGAGGCATGAGAATCTATTAAACCCAGGAGGCAGAGGCTGCAGTGAGCTGAGATCACAACACTGCACTCCTGCCTGGGTGACAGAGCGGGACTGTCTTAAAAAAAAAAAAAAAAGATCATTTCTTTATGTATTTTGAGTCTATATTATTAGATACATATAGATTTTAAATTGTTTTCTCATCTTGCTGAATTAAATCTTTAATGTTTCCTGCCATGGGTTGGTTGACTGCAATAATTTAGCAAAAAAAAAAAAAAATTTTTGCTAAATTTTAAAGTCACTTTTTGATATGACGCTTTGGATCAGTCCAACTTTGTGTTCCCTGCTTTTCCACTCAGGTTATCAGTTGATTGGGAGCCACTCGGGGGTGAAGCTTTGCAGGTGGACAAAGGTATTTTTTTTGTTTTTATTCAATATGTCTATTACATGCAACTTTTAAATAGCTATTATTATACACTGTCTATAAATTTACTATTTAGAGGTATAATTTACATTTAATTTGCACAGATTTTTAAATGATTCTTTAAAATGAGTTCAGCAAATTTTGATGTAGAACCTATATTCACCAACTCCAATTAAGATATAAGTTATTATCCCCACCCCAGTGAATTTATTGTGCCCATTTCTAGTCAATAACTCCCTTTCCCTAGGGAATTCTTGTTCTAATTGCTATTACTGTTATTTGGCTTTGCCTTTTTAGAATTTCATATGAGTGGCCAGATGCAGTGGCTCACGCCTGTAATCCTAGCACTTTCGGAGGCCAGGTGGGCGGATCATTTGAGGTCAGGAGTTCGAGACCAGCCTGGCCAAAATGGTGAAACCCCGTTTCTACTAAAAATATCAAAATTAGTCAGGTGTGGTGGTGGGCGTCTGTAATCCCAGCTATTCGGGAGGCTGAGGCAGGAGAATCACTTGAACCCAGGAGGCAGAGGTTTCAGTGAGCCCAGATCTTGCCACTGCACTCCAGCCTGGGTGATAAGAGTGAGATTCCATCTCAAAAAAAAAAAAAAAAAGAATTTCATATGAGTGGAATCATGTAATGTGCAGTCTTTTGCAACTGGCTTCTTAAACTCAACATATTTTTGAGATGCATCCGTGTCGTATCATGTAACATGCATCAGTAGTTCATTCACTTTTATTGCTCAGTAGTATGCCATTGTATGAATATACCAGTTTTTAAAGATCTGTAAATAGACATTTGGTCTGTTTTTAATTTTTGGCTATTATGAAAAAAAGTGCTATGAGCATTCTTCACAAGACTTTGTGAATGTAAATTTCAGTTTTCCTTGGGTAAATGCCTAGAAGTGCAATTGTTAAGTCATAGAGTAGGTATATATTTAACTTTAGAAGAAACTCCGAAACTGTTGTCAGTGTGGTTGTACTACTTTATACTTGCTCAGCAATTTATGAAAGTTCCATTTGTTGCACATTCTCACCATCATGTGGTATTGTCTTTTAATTTTAGGCATTTTCATGGTTGTGAAGTGGTTGTGAAGTGGTACCTCATTGAGTTTTTTCTTTTCTTTTTTTTTTTTTTGAGATGGAGTCTCGCTCTGTTGCCATCCTGGAGTACAGTGTCATGATCTTGGCTCACTGCAACCTCCGCCTCCTGGGTTCAAATGATTCTCCTGCCTCAGCCTCCCTAGTAGCTGGGACTACAGGCGCGCACCACCACGCCCAGCTAATTTTTCTATTTTTAGTAGAGATGGGGTTTCACCATGTTAGCCAGGATGGTCTTGATCTCTTGACCTCGTGATCTGCCCACCTCGGCCTCCCAAAGTGCTGGGATTACAGGTTTGAGCCACCGTGCCTGGCCCTCATTGTGGTTTTAATTTACATTTTGCTGGTGATGGTTGATGATTGGGAACATTTTTTTTGTTTTTTTTTTTTCGAGACAGAGTCTCGTTGTCTCACCCAGGCTGGAGTGCAGTGGTGCAATCTTGTATCACTGCACCTCCTGGGTTCAAGTGATTATCATGTCTCAGTCTCCTGAGTAAGTGGGATTACAAGCGTGTGCCAACACGCCCAGCTAAGTTTTGAATTTGTGTATTTTTAGTTGAGACGGGGTTTCACTATGTTGGCCAGGCTGGTCTCAAACTCCTGACCTCAAGCGATCCATGCACCTCAGCCTCCCAAAGTGCTGGGATTATAGGCGTGAGCCACCATGCCCAGCCAAGAACATCTTGTGTTGTGCGTATTGGCTGTTTATACTTGTGAAATGTCTGTTCACATCTTTGTTCAAACTTGGTTGTTTGACTCTATATTATTGATTTCTAGAAGTTCTTTATATGTTGTGGATGTGAATCTTTTGTTGAATGTGCATTGTGAATATTTCTCTAGACTGTGGCTTTTCTATTTCCATAAAGGTATCTTTTGAAAATTTTAATTTGGATACAGTTCACTATATCATATTTTTCTTTTATGGTTAGTGTTTTTTGTATTTTAAGACATTTCTGCCAACCACAAGGTCACAAAGATATTCTAGATTTTCTTCTAGAAGCTTCGTCGGCTCACTGCAAGCTCTGCCTCCCGGGTTCACGCCATTCTCCTGCCTCAGCCTCCCGAGTAGCTGGGACTACAGGCACCCGCCACCATGCCCGGCTAATTTTTTGTATTTTTAGTAGAGACAGGGTTTCACCGTGTTAGCCAGGATGGTCTCAATCTCCTGACCTCGTGATCTACCCGCCTTGGCCTCCCAAAGTGCTGAGGTTACAGGCGTAGGCCACTGCGCCTGGCCTACAGGTTTGATTTTTGTCTGTCGTTTTTCTTTAGGTGAAAATGACAAATTCAGTTTCTTTTTTCACTGCCATAGCAGGTCTTTAGTTTTGATACAGAAGTTATATAAACATATTGTCCCCAGACTTCAATGTCTGTATTCCTAGAGCGGTGTGGCAGGAGCTCTTCAGGGGGTCATTGGCCGAGGGGGCGGACAGAGTTGCTTGGGCAGATTCCTCCTAAGCAACCTGTGTGGAAGAAGCCATTTTTAAAAATTGTTTATTTTTTTGAGGTAGAGTCTTGCCCTGTCATCCAGTCTATAGTGTAGTGGTGCAATTTCGGCTCACTGCAGCCTCCCACCTCCTGGGCTGAAGTGATCCTCCCTCCTCAGCCTCCCAAGTAGTGTGCCACCATGCCTGGCAAAAGTTTTTTTTTTGTATTTTTTGTAGAGACAGGGTTTCATCATGTTGCCCATGCTGGTTTTGAACTCTTGGACTCAGGTGATCTGCCTGCCTTGGCCTCTGAAAGTGCTGGGATTATAGTCATGAGCCACTGTGCCTGGCCCCATATGTAGTTTTAACTTTTATGTTTGGGCCTGTGATTCGTCTTGAATCAATTTTTATGAATGATGTGAGGTAAAGGTTAAGATTTATCCCACCTCTGCCAATATGGATATCCAGTTGTTTTGGCACCATTTGTTGAAGACTTTTGTCAACCTGAATAACAAACAGAGAGGGGCTCTCTAGAAGAAAATGATGGTTATTTTGGAATAGAGCATTGCAATGGGAATATGCAAGCCACAGTAAACTGTGTTTTTGGGGAGGTACAGGAAGACAGTATACTTTTTAATGTTTTGTGAGTTAGTATAAGTCAATGAAGACAAAGTTTTTTTTTTTTTTTTTTTTTGAGACAGGGTCTCGCTCTGTCACCCAGGCTGGAGTGCAGTGGTGTGATCTCAGCTTACTGCAGGCTCTGCCTCCCAGGTTCACACCATTCTCCTGCCTCAGCCTCCTGAGTAGCTGGGACTGCAGGCGCCCGCCACCACTCCCGGCTAATTTTTTTTTTGTATTTTTAGTAGAGACGGGGTTTCACCTTGTTAGCCAGGATGGTCTCGATCTCCTGACCTCGTGATCCACCTACCTTGGTCTCCCAAAGTGCTGGGATTACAGGCGTGAGCCACCGTGCCTGGCCAAAGACAAAGATTTTTAAAGGAAAAATTGAGGAGGATTATGTAATTGTTTTGAAATAATTATCATTGGCTGCAAAGATCAGTAACAAGGGTGACGGCAGTCTGAGGGTAGGCTGGCAGTTGCTGGGCAGATGACGTTGGCAGAGAAGCATTTTTTTGTATAAGGTCGTGGTAGCCTTTGTGCAAGGTTGTGGTTTTTGTAGAGTCTTTTTCATTACCAGGCATACAAGATAACTCTCCTCATGGTCTTCCCTGCTTCTGTTTTTCTTAACATTAGTGATTCCATTCTGATTTTGACAACTTTTACATTTCTTCCTTTTGATCAAGATCTTTCTCAGAAAGCATGACTGATCATTCATCTTGTAGTTATTTTTATTTATTTATTTTTTTGAGACAAAGTGTTTCTCTGTCACCCAGGCTGGAGTGCAGTGGTGTGATCTCGGCTCCCTGCAACCTCTGCCCCCTGGGTTCAAGCAATTCTCCTGCCTCAGCCTCCTGAGTAGCTGGGATTACAGGTATGCATCACCACGCCTGGGTAATTTTTGTATTTTTAGTAGAGACAGGGTTTCACCATGTTGGCCAGGCTGGTCTCGAACTCTTGATCTCAAGTGATCTACCTGCCTTGGCCTCCCAAAGTTCTGGGATTACAGGTGTGAGCCACCGTGCCCGGCCCTGTAGTTATGTTTTTTTTTTGAGACTGAATCTCACTCTGTCGCCCAGGCTGGAGTACAGTGGCGTGATCTTGGCTTACGGCAACCTCTGCCTTCCAGGTTCAAGTGATTCTCCTGCCTCAGCCTCTGGAGTAGCTGGAATTACAGGCAATTGCCACCACTCCCAACTAATTTTTATATTTTCAGTAGAGACGGGGTTTTGCCACGTTGGCCAGGCTGGTCTTGAACTCCTGACCTCAAGTGATCCGTCCGCCTTGGCCTCCCAAAGGTGGGATTATAGGCATGAGCCACTGTGCCTGGCCCAGATTCAAAGTTTAGAAAGGGAAAATAAAAGGTAAACTTAATATGACAATGTCAGTTTGCATAATGGCTTTGAGTTGTGAATCTAGGCTTAAAGAAAACAAATTGAATAAGTTAAATCACCATAGGGAATTAGAAGAGACCTGCTGTAACCCTATGAGCTGTTTTGTTTTGTGTATATGGGTTTCAGCTTTCCCAGAGGAATTTATCCAGGTACAGCTTGTAATATTAGAAACAGCACAGACATTTTCTTATTTAATGAATCGATACAAAAGTATTTCTTAAGTTAGGTTTTGTTAACTCACCAGCAGAGGCTATTGATTATAAAATTTCAATTACACTGTTAGTCTGCCAAGTGAGAAAAGTAGCATTAAGAGGAGTAAAAGTCTCATTATGATATGAAGTTCTTATTCCAACCTCTTGGAGAAAGCTGTTTACAGTGTGAAAATAGCAACTTTTTCTTCTGGTTTGTAGTTTGAATATCTTTGGTCATGACATTGGGCAGTTGGGTGAACCTTTTTTGTGGTTCATAAATCAGACATGAGGCTTGTTTCTTAAAATTTATCCAGTTTCAGCCGGGCACCAGTTGTTCACACCTGAAATCCCAGCACTTTCAGAGGCCAAGGCTGGCAGATCACTTGAGGTCAGGAGTTCAAGACTAGCCTGGCCAACAATGTGAAACCCCGTCTCTACTAAAAATACAAAAGTTAGATGGGTGTGGTGGTGTGTGCCTGTAGTCTCAGCTACTCGGGAGGCTGAGGCACGAAAATCATTTGAACCCGGGAGGTGGAGGTTGCAGTGAATCATGATTGCACCACTGCACTCCAGCCTGGTCGAGAGAGTGAGACTCCATCTCAAAAAGAAAAATTATCTAGTTTCAGCTAATAAAGCTTTTTAAGCCAGCTGGAGAATTGTGACCAAGTATTGGAGGAAATTAGAAGAATTCAGAATCTAGTCCAGTCTACACGTAGATAACAAGAACTTTAAAACAATGCACGGGGCTACAAACTGTAATAAGAATAGGTATATTACAGTTTTTCTATAGAGACATAACTTTTTCTTCCCACATTGATCACACAGGAATCTCAGATTTAAAAACCTCCTGAGCTAGGAAGCCAAACCAGGGCAGATTTTAGATCTTACGTACAATCTTAAGGATCTTTGGCCTTCCAGGAAGTGACCATTTTTACTGACTCACTGGAAGTCTGGGAACTCTGGAAGCCAGGCATTCAATGCACATTTTCAAATAAGACATTTCAGCCAAAGCCTTGGTGGTATATAACCGATGTTTATATTTCTAATTGTATCCTACTTGAGAGCAGATTTTTATTGAATTTATATAAATAAAAATAAGAATACTAATGGTTGGTGAATTTTGGGAGGAATCCAATAGGGAGGAAAAGCAAATGGTTCCATCTTTGTTCACAAAAGTATGCTTTACCAAATTGTTGTATACTATAGATAGCTTATGCGAGAAAAATGTCTTAAATCTGTAAGACAAAATATTTTAAGTAAAGAACCAAAAATGAAAAGTCACAAACACATCATCGTCATTAATTACTTAATTTGAAGTCATTAAATTTTAGTTTTGCTTGATCTTGATTAGCAGTTTTATGGAGCAGTGCCGTTGTACTGTGAGGTTGGCCATTAACAGTTTTATGCACCAATCAGTTTTTAAAATATATTAGAGTTCTGGAAGTTGTCATTTAGTCCATTGATCTTAAAATTATCAGAAATGTGTTCAAGAGTACTTGTTGGGCTGGGTGCGGTGGCTCACCCCTGTAATTCCAGCACTTCGGGAGGCTGAGGTGGGCGGATCATGAGGTTAGGAATTTGAGACCAGCCTGGCCAATATGGTGAAACCCTGTCTCTACTAAAAATACAAAAATTAGCTGGGCGTAGTGGTGGGCGCCTGTAGTCGCAGCTACTCAGGAGGCTGAGGCAGAAGAATCACTCAAACCCGGGAGGCGGAGGTTGCAGTGAGCCAAGATTGCACCACTGCACTCCAGTCTGGGCAACAGAGACTCTGTCTTAAAAGAAAAAAAAAAAGTACTTGTTGAAGTCATTTCCATAAAAAGCAGTTTTGGAATGTAGCTGATTGCAGATGTTTTCTGCAATCACCCAGATGTAGCCCATCTGCAGTCACCCAGATGTCACCCAGATATAGCCTGGGTGACAGAGCGAGACTCCGTCTCAAAAAAAAAAAAAAAGAAAAGAAAACACAAATCATCAGTATCAGGAATGAAACAATATTATTACAGGTCCTGCAGCGATTGAAAGGATGATAAGGGAGTGCTGCAAACAATTTTATGTTAGTAAATTTGGCAACTTAGGTGAAATACATCTATTCCTCAAAAACCGTAACTTATTAAAACTCAACCAAAATATATAATCGGAATAATCCTGTAATCATTGAAGAAACTGATTTTGTAATTAAAAGCCTCCCCAAAGTGATATCCTAGTTTTCAATGGTTTTCCTGAAGAATTCTACCAAATATTTAATGAAGAATTAATGCCAGTTTTACTTAATATCTTCCCCAAAATACAAGAGGTGGGGAACATTTCTGAACTCATTTTATGAGGCCAATAGTAACCCGATAAAACCTGACAAAGACAATGCACTAAAAGAGAACTAAAGACTAATCTCTCAGGAATTTAGATGTAGAAATCCTCAACAAGATATGAGCAAATTGAATTCAGCCAAGTATAGAAAGAATTATATGCCATAACCAAGTGGAATTTTTCCCAGGTATGCAAGGCAGGTTCAACATTTAAAAACCAAAGCAATCCACCATATCAAACATGCTAAGAAGAAAAATATCAGTCAGTCATATCAATTGATTCTGAAAAAGCATTTGGCAGAGTCTAACCCTTCATCATTAAAAACTCTTAGCAAGTTAGAAATAGAGGAATATTAACCTCTACAAAATTCTTACAGCTAACATCATACCTAATATGAGAGAGTAAATGCTTTTCCCATTAGATTGGGAACAAGACAAGTATGTCTGTGTTCACCACTCCTGTTTTACATAGTATTGTAAATTCTAGCCACTGGAATTAGTCAAGAAAAAGAAAATGCATACAGGTTGCAAAGGCAGAAATAAAGCTGTCTTGTTTTGCAGGTGACGTGATTGTTATGTAGAAAATCTCAAGGAAATGACAAATAAATTTCCTAGAACCTGAGTTCAGCAAGGTTACAGGATACAATATCAAAGCACAAAAATCAGTTGTATTCTGTATTTTTTTTTTTGAGGCGGAGTCTCGCTCTGTCACCCAGGCTGGAGTGTAGTGGCGCGATCTCGGCTCACTGCAAGTTCCGCCTTCCAGGTTCCCGTCATTCTCCTGCCTCAGCCTCCCTAGTAGCTGGGACTACAGGTGCCCGCCACCAAGCCCAGCTAATTTTTGTATTTTTAGTAGAGACGGGGTTTCACCATGTTAGCCAGGATGGTCTTGATCTCCTGACCTTGTGATCCGCCCACCTCAGCCTCCCAAAGTGCTGGATTACAGGCGTGAGCCACTGTGCCTGGCCGTATTCTGTATATTAACAATGAACATATGAAAACCAAAACTAAAAAGTTCATTTACAGTCACTCCAACGAAAGTAATATGCTTCGATTTACATTTAACAAAACATACACAGGACTGGATGCTGAAAATTTTTAAAATGCTGATAAAAAATAAATGAAAATCTAAACAAATAGACATACCATGTTCATGGATTAGAAAACTCAGTATAATAAACTGTCAATTCTCCCCAAATTGATTCTGTAGGTTGAATGAAGTTCTTACAAAAATACCAATAAGATTTTTGTAGAAATAGGCAAACTTATTCAAGACTTGAAAGACACAGGCCCTAGAATAGCTTAAACAATGTTGACAAAGAAGACAGAAATGGGAAGAATAGTTCACTCTGATCTTGTAGCTTACTATATTGTTGCAGTTATCAAGATGGTGTGGTACTACTGGTAGAGAGATAGACATATAAATCAAGGGAAAGACTAGAGATCTCAGAAATAGACTCACAAAATATGTTTAACTGGGTTTTTACAAAAATGCAAAAGCTGTTCTGTATTAGTCCGTTTTCATGCTGCTGATAAAGACATACCCAAGACTGGGAAGAAAAAGAGGTTCAATTGGACTTACAGTTTCACATGGCTGGGGAGGCCTCAGAATCATGGCAGGAGGCAAAAGGCACTTTTTACATGGTGGTGGCAAGAGAAAATGAAGAAGCAAAAGTGGAAACCCCTGATAAACCCATCGGATCTTGTGAGACTTATTCACTATCACAAGAATAGTACAGGAAAGACTGACCCCTGTGATTCAGTTCCTCCCCGGGTCTCTCCCACAACACGTGGGAATTCTGGGAGATAAATTCAAGTTGACATTTGAGTGGGGACACAGCCAAACCATTTCAAGTTCCATGGTGAAATTTTCAACAAATGCTGCTGGAGCAATTAGATAACCATAGGCCAAAACCAACAGAAAAAAATAAAAGACCCAAATACTGCTCCCCGCAACAAATTCCGAAAAAGAGTGTCTTAAACTTCACACCTTATATAAAAATTAATTCAAAATGGATCACAGACTTAAACATTTGGAGACATCATTTTTTAAAACGAAAAACATTCCATCCTCTTCTCACATGCTTCTATGCCTGTGTCTTACAGAGTCCTTTTGAAAAATCCTTTTAGTCCTTCAGTATTGGATTTGGACCGCACACCTCTGGGAAGCTCTCACTGGTCCTTTGGTGAAGCTACCTTGGTTGCTTTTCCATCTTATGGGCTCTAGTCCTTACATGATCTGTCCTCTGTGCACATGCAGAGAGATCTCTGGTCTCTCTTCCTGTTCTTATAAGGACGGTAGTTCTGTCAGATTTTGGTCCCATTCACGTGACCTCACTTAACCTTAAATACCTCATTAAAGAGCCTATATCCACATGCCGTTGCATTGCATTGAAGTTTAGGACTTCAACCTGAATGGGACAGGGGAGCACAGGGCAGTTCAGAACAAAGTGTATTAACTTCTTAATCAATAGTGATTGAAGTGTACAGTTCTTCAGCTTTGTTTCTCTAGTGGCATGAGATTTTGTGGAAATTACTCTGTGACTCTGGCATTTGTTGGACGTTTCGGTTTTCAGTGCTATTTACAAGATTTGAATGTTTTGTTTGCTGCCTTGTACATTTTATTAGGAACTTGGAAGAGGTTTGTAGGCACAGGTTTTCCCTTCACACCTTTTTTTCAAATGCAGTACTAATATGGACAGGGAAACTTTTTTTTTTTTTAATTAAAACAAAAAATAGTTAAAAGGCTTCATGGTCAACTGACAGTAAATAAGCTAGTAGACATTTATGTAATATTCTTTCATTGTGGACAGGCTTATATTAATAACAGTACTTTGGGAGGTCGAGGTGGGCGGATCACTTGAGGTCAGGAGTTCAAGACCAGCCTGACCAATATGGTAAAACCCTGTATCTACAAAAAATACAAATACTAGCTGGGCGTGGTGCCGCATGCCTATAATCCCAGCTACTTGGGAGGCTGAGGCAGGAGAACCGCTTGAACTGGGAGGCGGAGGGTGCAGTGAGTTGAGATCACACTACTGCACTCCAGCCTAGGTGACAGAGTGAGACTACACACACACACACACACACACACACACACCCACACCCCTATACACGTGTAAAGGCTACTCATTCGTGTCTCTGCTTTCCTTCTCCTTGTTCGTTGTTGGTATTATTAATTCCATATTATTTCAGTCACTTGGCCTCAAAATCAGTTATTTTGGATGACTTCCTCTGTTTTGCTCCTCAGTGGGGAATGACATTGATTTCACTTCTTTAGTACCCTACCTGTCCCACTGATCTTAGGAGAAAGTCATCATTACCTGTCTCACATAACCTCCTCCCAGGCTTCACTGCTTTCACTTGTACTGAAATCAAGCTTGTCTTACCCAGAGCTCTGGACAGATCTGATTTTACCTTTTAAAGCTTGATATTATCTTGATTCCAACCCTGGTTGATCTAGACATTTTTTTAGATTACCTTCTTACTACATGTACCAACTTATATGACTCGTGATATTTGTTTTTATCCCTTGCATCATCAAATAGTGATCTTTTTGGAAATGGGAATAATGTATTTCTTGTATACCTGCTGCTTGCTTCCACAATGTCTCAAATATGTATGCTCCAGGGCTGGGCACAGTGGTTTGCTCACAACTGTAATCTTAGCATTTGAAGAGGCTGAGGTGGGAGGATCGCTTGAGACCAGGAGTTCAAGACCAGCCTGGGCAACATAGTGAGACCTCATCTCTACAAAAAATTAAAAAATAACCAGGCATGGTGGCTCACACCCATAGTCCCAGCTACTTGAGAGTCTGAGGCAGGAAGATTGCTTGAACCCAGGAGTTGGAGGTTGCAGTGAGCTATGATTGTACCACTGCACTCCAGCCTAAGGAACAGAGCAAGACCCTGTCTCAAAACAAAACAAAGGAACAACACTCCAGGATGCATTCCCTTACCCATCCTTCTTTATTCAGAGCAGGGATATGCTTGCATAGGCAGACAGCCCCCATTTTTTAGGAGTCTGTTTTATCTGTTTCCTAGCATTATATATTATTGTATTAATGTTATTTGAAGGAGTCTGATGGATTTGAAAATGAAAGCATTAGTGGTTCTCCCTGTAGAGTTTTCAGAGTTAATGAATCATAGGTTTATTTCACTGGGCTTTAGTAAAAACCCAAAGCACTGCCAAAACACTGAAATGCTCTGATGCGAATTTCCTGCGTCATGCAGTTACCAGTAGGAGTATTCATGGTTACGAAACACATGGTTTCTCTTAAAAATGATGCCTTGGTGGTTTGTTTCTGTGCTTTGACAATTTTATTCAAATTGTGATTTGTTTACTTGTCATAGTCCATGCTCCGAGGGAGAGGAGGTTGTTACAAACACACATTCTATGGAATTGAGAGCCATCGCTGCATGGAAACCACCCCGAGCTTGGCGTGTGCTAATAAATGTGTCTTCTGTTGGCGGTAAGTAAAAATGAAAGGTCATGGTGATCGAATATGTAATGAGCTGTGGTAATCAATCTGCCCAGCTCACACTCAGACTTACCTAAGAGCTCTGCTGTCTTGGTGATTAATCTTTTCAACTGTGAATGTTAGTGTATAAAAATTTTGTAGACAAATATTTTTGTTTCTCTTGGACAAACACTGTGAGGAATTGCTGGATTTGTAAACATCCATTTGGACAGTTTGTCTTTTTTAACTGGTGAGTTTAGTTTGTCTTATTTATAGTGATTATCGATAAATAGTGATACATTAGTGATAAAAGTTTATTTTTATTCTATCCTTTTGTGCTTTCTGTTTATCTTGCTCTCCTACATTGTTTTCTTTTTTTTCTATCTATGACTAATTTTATGCTAAGGTGTCAGCTTGGGTGTCTTTTTATTGGAGGCTTTTCAGTTTATCTTGCTGGAAATACAAGCAGTGAATGTTGTTTTTCAGCTGGTTACAGCCCATTGTATGCAGAATTGAGTCTTTTACAACAATTGGGAATAGTTTAAGTGAAAGAAAATGGCTAAATTGCACAATTCTGTCTCTCTCTTTTTGGGGGCAGTGGTGCTTGCTACTAACCCATTTCTTTTTCTTTTCTTTTTTTTTTTTTTGAGATGGAGTTTCGCTCTTGTTGCCCAGGGTGGAGGGCAATGGCGTCATCTTGGCTCACTGCAACCTCTGCCTCCCAGGTTCAAGTGATTCTCCTGTCTCAGCCTCCCAAGTAGCTGGGACTACAGGTGCGCACCACCATGCCCAGCTAATTTTTGTATTTTTAGTAGAGATGGGGTTTCACCATGTTGGCCAGGCTGATTTTGAACTCCTGACCTCAGGTGATCCGCCCGCCTTGGCCTCCCAAAGTGCTGGGATTACAGGCGTGAGCCACCGCACCCAGCCTACTAACCCATTTCTTTCCTTCACTTAGAACTGCTTACTCTTCAACTCCTAGTTCTCTATGCCAACTCACATCTCCATAGCAGCTCATGTTGTTGTGGTCACTAATGACTTCCTTACTATCAGATCTAATAGAAGCTACTTAATTCTTATCTTAGTTGAACTCCAGTGAAGCATGCTAGGAAAGAAGGGGGAGGCCACTCCTTCTGTTGGATTCAGAGATACCAGTCTCTTCTAGTACCCCACCCACCCTTGTCAGTTTCTTTTCAGTTTCCCCTGTTAGCTCTTCTTTCTGCTTCTGTCCTTCAGCTGTCTTTTATGACTCTGTGTTATGATGGTAGGAGAAGTAAACCATTTCCGTGGCTTCATTTATCTGTAGTTTGACACCTTTAAATACTTCATCTCCAGTCTCAGTCTCTTTTCTGAGTTTTCCTTCTCCATTTCCAATTTCCTGTTGCATATCTTCTCTTGGATCATCCGCAGTCATTTCAAGCTTAATGTATTTATCATGGAATTTATTAGGCTTGTGTTAACTTGTTCTGTTTTGGGTAATGGCACTATTAGCCATCTAATGGCCCAGACTGGACATTTCTTCTCTTTTTCTCAAACCCACTGTATCCATTTGCTTATCTAATTCTATTGATTATGTTTCAGATTCTCATTATTTCTTCCTTTAGCAACCAAAATGATTTAATACTTTCTAGTCAATGTCATCTCTTAATTTATCTCCATATTTGCACAAGAGTTATAATTCTTTTTTTTTCCAGTTATTCCTAAAAATTTTGTTTTGATTATTATAAATGCTTATAATAACTTGATTTGGGGGTGATTTTGTTATGATTATTTGGGGGTTACAAATAAATTTTAGCAAGTAGACAATGTTACAAATATGAAATCAGATATTAATGGGATTGACTATTTTGAATTGGTAAACTATTTTGAATTGATATTATTTGACTCAATAGCAGTCAAAAACTTTGCCCATAAACAGCTCTGTCCCTCCTCCTTTATGTCATTGTCACAAATGACAACTTTATATACTGTATGCCCATTAACATAGATTTATAATTGCTGTTTTATACATTTGTCTTTTACATCATCAAGAGAAAAAATAGAGGAGTTACAATCCAAAAATACTGGCCAGGTGCAGTGGCTTATGCCTGTAATACTAGCATCTTGGGATGCCAAGGTGGGTGGAGCATTTGAGCCCAGGGGTTCAAGACCTGTCTGGGTAACATGACGAAACCTTGTCTCTACGAAACTTGCAAAAATTCGCCGGGCATGGTGGTGCATGTCTGAAGTCCCAGCTACTCCAGAAGGCTGAGGTGGGGGTGATCATAAGCCTGGGAGGTGGAGGGTGCAATGAGCCTTGATTGTGCCACTGCACTCCAGCCTGGGTGGCAGAGCAAGACCCTGTCTCAAAACAAACAAATGAAAAACAAACACAAACAAAAATCCAAAAATACAACAGTGGTGACTTTTGTATTTACCTATGTATTTTACCTTTATGTTGTTCTTTGTATATTTGTATGATATGGGTCTGTTTAGTGTCCTTTCATTTTTGTCTGAAGGACTCCCTTTAGTATTTATCGTAGGGCAGGTCTGTTAGCAGTGAACTCCCTCAGCCTTTATTTATCAGTGTCTTAATGTCTCCTTCAGTTTTGAAGAATTGTTTTGTTAGATATAGAAATCTAGACTGACAGTTTTTTTCTTGTAACATTTTAAATATGCTCTCCCACTGCCTTCTGGCCTCCATGGTTTCTGCTGAGAAATTGGCTGTTAATTTTACTAAGGATCCCTTATATGTGATGAGTGCCTTCTCTCTCGCTTCTTTCAAGTTTCTTTCTTTGTCTTATTCTTCCAACAGTTTGATTATAACATATCTTGGTATGGATCTCTTTGTGTTTGTACTACTTAGAGTATGTTGAGCTTCTTAGTTCTGTGAATTCAAGTCTTCTACCAAATTTGGGAATTTTTCAATAATTATTTCTTCACATGTTCTTTCTGTTCCTTCTTATCTCCTTCTGGAACTTTTATTATGCATATGTTGGTATGCTTGATGGTGTCCCCCAGCTCTTTTCAATTTGATGGTGTCCTAAGGCTCTGTTCAATTTTCTTCACACTTTTTTTTTTCTACTTAGACAAGATAATTCCAAATTGATTTGTCTTCCACTTCACTGAGGTTTTTCTTTGGCCTGTTCAAATCTTCTGTTGAAACCCTCTAGTGAAGTCTTCATTTCAGTTATTATTCTTTCACATCTTCTGTTTGGTTCCTTCTTATCATTTGTATCTCTTCATTGATATTCTGGATTTGTTTAGACATTGTTTTCTTGGTTTCCTTCATCTCTTTGTCCATGGTTTCCATTAGCTCTTTGAGCATGTTTAAGATAGTTGGCTTAAAGTATTTTTTTAGTTGGTCTAATGCCTATGCCTCCTCAGGGAGAGTTTTTCCAATACATGCTGGGAATACACACTTGTTTCTTTGCATGGTTTGTATGCAAAGAAATGTTTTGTTGAAAACTGTATATTTTGGCCTGGCACGGTGGCTCATGCCTGTAATTCCAGCACTTTGGGAGGCTGAGGTGGGCAGCTCACGAGATCAGGAGATTGAGACCATCCTGGCTAACACAGTGAAACCCTGTCTCTTCTAAAAATAGAAAAAATTAGCCGGGCGTGGTGGTGGGCGCCTGTAGTCCCAGCTACTCGGGAGGCTGAGGCAGGAGAATGGCGTGAACCCGGGAGGTGGAGCTTGCAGTGAGCCTAGATCGCGCCACTGCACTCCAGCCTGGGCAACAGAGCAAGACTCCGTCTCAAAAAAAAAAAGGAAACTGCATATTTTGATTATTAGAATGTGTTAACTCTGGAAGTCAGATTTTTCTCACTCTTCAGGGTTTGTTTTTTATTGCTTGCTCTGGGTTTTGTTTGTTTAGTGAGTTTTCTAAACTATATTTGTAAAGATTTTATTCTTTGTTTTATATTATCTCTGAAGTCTGTGTCTTAAGCTCAGGGGTCAGCTAATGATTTGACAGAGATTTCCTTGAGCTCATGGAGCCAAAGAAAAAAAATTGGAAAAAAAAAAAAAAGCTTCTCCCAGTCTTTGCAGATTGACTCTGTCTTGGAACATTTCTTTCGCTTTTTTTTTTTTTCCTTTTGAGACAGGGTCTTGCTCTGTCACCCAGGCTGTAGTACAGTGGTGGAATCTTGGCCCACTGCAACCTCCACTTCCTGGGTTCAAGCAATTCTCATTCCTCAGCCTCCTGAGTAGCTAGGATTACAGGTGTGTGCTACTATACCTGGCTAATTTTTTTTTTCTTTTTTTTGAGACAGAGTCTCGCTCTGTCACCCAGGCTGGAGTGCAGTGGCACAATCTCAGCTCACTGCAAGCTCCACCTCCCAGGTTCATGCCATTCTCCTGCCTCAGCCTCCTGAGTAGCTGGGATTGCAGGCGCCCGCCACCACACCCGGCTAATTTTTTGTGTTTTTAGTAGAGACGGGGTTTCACGGTGTTAGCCAGACTGGTCTCAAACTCCTGGCCTCAAGTGATCCACCCGCCTTGGCCTTCCAAAGTGCCGGGATTACAGACTTGAGCCACCATACCCGGCCTGGAACACTCTTTTAATGTTTAGCCAGGCCATTTACAACTCTGCCTTAGCCTTTGCTTCCTGCTTGTGCTGAGCCTAAAGATCGGGCAGAGGTGAAAGTTTAGACTCTTCCTAGGCCGCTTCTTAGCATGTCTCCTGTCCAGTGTGCCTTTCTAAATCCCAGGCGCATGCAGGTGCTTTTCAGTGCTCCAGTTCACCACATTAGCCTTGGTGCCTAGCTCTTCTTCCCAGGCATTCAGCTGTGTATTGTTTACCTCAACTATAATTTTTTTCTTAACAGCAAGTTGTTCATGTACCTACTGAGACCTTTGTTAACCCCTCTACCCACTTTTTTTTTTTTTTTTGAGACGGAGTCTCACTCTGTCACCCAGCCTGGAGTGCAATGGGATGATCTTGGCTCACCGCAACCTCCACCTCCTGGGTTCACACCATTCTCCTGCCTCAGCCTCCTGAGTAGCTGGGATTACAGGTGCGTGCCACCATGCCCTGCTAATTTTTTGTATCTTTTACCAGAGACAGGGTTTCACCATGTTGGCCAGGCTGGTCTTGAACTCCTCACCTTGTGATCTGCCCTCCTTGGCCTCCCAAAGTGCTGAGATTACAGGAGTGAGCCACCGCGCCTGACCCCTCTCTACCCACTTTTAAAAAATTCTTATTATAGATTTTTTTTTAACATAAGCAGAGAGAGAACAATATATTAAACCTCGGTGAACATTTATCGTCATATGGATAATCATATTCCATTTACCTATTTTAATACAAATCCTAGCCATCATATTGTTTTATCTGTACATACTTCAACTGACAGATCATGTAAAATGTAAATAATAAGGTCTGTTAAAAAATGATATGGCCACAATACTATCATCCCATATTAAGCCCTGTCACCTAGGCTGGAGTACAGTGGTGCAATCATAGCTCACTGGTACCTTGAACCCATGGGCTCATGTGATCCTCCTGTCTCAGCCACTTGAGTAACTCCAGCTACAGGCTTGTGCCACAATGCCTATCCAGTTTTTTTTTTTTTTTTTTTTTTTTTTTTTTATAGAGACAGGGTCTTGCTATGTTTCTCAAGCTGGTCTCAAACTCTTGGCCTCAAGCAGTCCTCTCCTCTTAGCCTCCCAAAGTGCTGAGATTATAGGCGTGGGCTACCATACCATATTCTTTTACTTGTATTTCCTCTTTTAGTTATCTCGAGATGTGGTAAGAACAAACAAAAAACAAAACACTACAAGTATCTCTTAGGTCATCCTGTTAAATCAGTGGTTCTCAACTGGGGGCAAAATTGCTATTTCTTGTCCCATACGGAGATTTGGAACATTTGACAATGTCTCGAGATATTTTTTATTGTTAGAACCAAGGAGAGTGCTGCTGGTATCTGGTGGGTAGAGGCTGGGGACGTTGCTAAGCATTCCCTAATGCATAGGACAGTGCTCCGCAACAAAGGATTATCTAGTCCAAAATGGCAGTTGTGCTGAGGTTGAAATAACCTGTGTGCCATGGTCTACAGTTACTATTTCAGTGAAGGGTATTGCTGGAACATGGCAGCACTGAAATAGAATGTGACCAGGCCGGGTGCAGTGGCTCATGCCTGTAATCCCAGCACTTTGGGAGGCTGAGGCAGGCGGATCACGAGGTCAGGAGTTCAAGACCAGCCTGGCCAACAGAGGGAAACCCCGTCTCTACTTAAAAAAATACAAAAAATTAGCTGGGCGTGGTGGCAGGCGCCTGTAATCCCAGCTACTTGGGAGGCTGAGGCAGGAGAACTGCTTGAACCCAGGAGGTGGAGGTTGCAGTGAGCTATCATGCCACTGCACTCCAGCCTGGGTGACAGTGCGAGACTCTTCAAAAAAAAAAAAAAAAAAAAAAAAAAGAAATATGGCCAGGCGCGGTTGCTCACGCCCATAATCCCAGCACTTCGGGAGGCTGAGGCGGGCAGATCACGAGGTCAGGAGATCGAAACCATCCTGGCTAACACGGTGAAACTCCGTCTCCACTAAAAATAGAAAACATTAGCCGGGCGTGGTGGCGGACGCCTGTAGTCCCAGCTACTCGGGAGGCTGAGGCAGGAGAATGGTGTGAACCCAGGAGGTGGAGCTTGCAGTGAGCCGAGATCACGCCACTGCACTCTAACCTGGGCTACTCCATCTCAAAAAAAAAAAAAAAAAGAAATAAAATGTGACCAAAAAACCACTTTTTAGGAATAGAGTATGTGCTTACAGAGTTTGAAATATTATAGGGTGAGCGCTTGCAAGACAAAAGTATGTTAGCCATATGATTATGTAGACTGAAGTATTGGGATCACATCATACTTAGGTTGTAGGACAAATAATCAAGTATTTTGTGTCCTAGTTTTTCTTGTTTCACAGTTTACACTAAGTATAAATCCTAATCTCTTCTTAAGATTGTTGGCATAAGTAGTTGGTTTTTTTACAGGTCAAAATTCAAAAGAAATAACAGGATCTAATGGGTAGTGCTCCTTAATCTTAATTTCCTGTTCATAGCCAACAATGCAGTCTTTCAGTTTCTTGAGCAGTACATTTACCCAGAGTTTTGGAAAGCAAACAGTATCATTAACACATTCCTTAATGAGATTTTTAGAAAGATCTAAGTAAATGGAGATATTTCATTTACCATGGCTTCTGGTAAAGAAGGACTAATATACGAGGTTTTAAAATTAGAATTTGCCATCTGTTTCAATGAAATATATAACAAGAATGTCAGAAAAGGTTCATTAAAAATTGATTTAAATGTTACATAAATGCTTTTATTATTGTCCTTTTCTTGCAGTGGATTCTTAAAATAGCCTCTGAGCCTCAGTTTCTCAACTGTAGAATAAAACAACATACCTTCCTTACAGGGTTGCTGTAAGGCTTAATTGCTTGAGTGAGATTCTGTATATGACAGTGGGTTTTTTTTTTTATTCTTTTGAGATGGAGTCTCGCTCTGTCACCCAGGCTGGAGTGCAGTGGTGTGATCTTGGCTCACTGTAACCTCTGTCTCCTGGGTTCAAGCGATTCTCCTGCCTCAGCCTTCCTGGGACTAAAGACATGTGCCACCATGCCAGCTGATTTTTGTATTTTTAATAACTGGGATTACAGGCGTGAGCCACCGGGCCTGACCAATGACTGTGTTTTTAAACTACAACATGATGTACATAGATGTGATTTTTTCAAAGTGAAATTTTTACTTTATTTTGATTATATGTGAAGTAGACTGTTATGGATAGATAAAATGCTGTTCCACCAATTTTCAGAAGGATATATTGGGTATTTTTATGTATGTATAGATACCACATATTTACCATTGTGTGTCTCTTATTCCTGTTTTTAAAATTTTATTTTAAGGTTTTATTCTTTGAAATTTTGAATCAAGGGTTTTGTCTGTTTTCCTTGCTCCTGGGTTAGCCTGTGAAGTGGGGGCAGGGTGGAGGAAAGAGTTATATCTGTCTTGAAGAAATAACCCAAAAAATCTTGTTAGACAGTTCTCCAAAGAAGATATACAAATGACCAGTAAGCACATGAAAAGATATTCATAATATCCAAAAAGTAGATATACTCTAGGTGTCCATTAACTGATGAACATGTGGTGTATCCATTCCAAGGAATGTCATCTGTCAATAAAAAGAGGTTAAGTACTGATACATGCTACAGCATGGATTAATGTTGAAAATATTATACTAAGTGAAAGAAGCCGATCACAACAGGCTGCATCTATAGTAAGATTGCATTTCTGTGCATTGCCTAGAATAGACAAATCTGTAGAGACAGAAAGTAGAATAGTGGTTGCCTAGGGCCGGAGGGAATATGGGGGTTGAGGAGCAATACCCAAGGGGATAGGGTTTCTTTTTGGGAATGACAAAACATTTAAAATGGATTTTGGTCATGGATGCATGTAAAAAGTGAAGTAGAGGCTCCTCTTCAAAGAGACTTTCCTCCCCATCTAATTAAGAATAAATAGTAACTTCTCTTAGAAGCAAAATTTATTCAAAGACCTGTGCTAACATTCTTAGATATCTGCTAGCTGTAATAAAGAAATCAATGTACTTTGTGTTCTTAGCTCCCACAATTTAGCCTAAATATTTTCCCTGGCATACTTATACTGGTCAAAGCAAGCATTAAGTCGTAGCCTATTCCTCTTCTTTATTCGGAGGTGTTTTTACCTTTCTGAGCATTCCACAATTTACTTCCTCCTTCCTTTGTTCTCCTCTGCCTTTGCCTCTTTTGAAAAGTTCTAAGTTGCTAGCCAATTGGGACAAATACAGAATGTGAGGTCCCATTCCAGCCAATGGAAACTGGTAACAGCAGTAGGGTGAATGTTTCAGGTTATAAATGTCCCTGTCTCCTTTGTTCAGTGTACTCTCATGGCAGAAGTGCTGGCGAGTGTACCCTTTCTGCAGAAAGTAAAAAAATGGCCTTGCTGAGAAAATTAAATTTATGTTCAGTTGCTATTTCTTTGTGACACTGGGGAACAAGCATTTCTAACAATGCACAACTCTGTGATTATAGCAAAAGCCAATGATTTATAAACCTTAAATAGGAGAATTTTATGGTATGTGAATTTTTTTTTTTTTTAGACAGAGTCTCGCTCTTTTGCCCAGGCTGGAGTGCAGTGGCCTGATCTCAGCTCACTGCAATCTCTGCCTCCCAGGTTCAAGCGATTCTTGTCCCTCAGCCTCCCAAGTAGCTGGGATTACAGGCACACGCCACCAAGCCTGGATAATTTTTGTATTTTTAGTAGAGGTGGAGTTTTGCCAAGTTGGCCAGACTGATCTTGAACTCCTGACCTCAGGTGATCCGCCTCCCTTGGCCTTCCAAAGTGCTGGGATTACAGGCTTGAGCCACTGCACTCAGCCTTTTTTTTTTTTTTTTTTTAAGGCAGAGTCTTGCTGTTGCCCAGGCTGGAGTGCAATGACACAATCTTGGCCCACTGCAACCTCCACCTCCCAGGTTCAAGTGATTCTCTTGCCTCAGCCTCCTGACTAACTGGGATTACAGGCTCGTGCCACCACCTGGCTAATTTTTTATATTTTTAGTAGAGACGGGATTTCACCAAGTTGGCCAGGCTGGCTTCAAACTCCTGACCTCAAGTGATCCACTGGCCTCAGCCTCCCAAAGTGCTGGGATTACAGGCGTGACCCACTATGCCCAGCCTCATTCTTTTTTATAGGGCTAAATAATATTCCATTGTGAATATATATCACATTTCCTTTATCCATTTATCTGCTGATGGACACTTAGGTTGGTTCTGTATCTTGGTGATTGTGAATAGTGCTGCCATAAGCATGAGAATGCAGCTATGTCTTCAACATACTGATTTCCTTTCCTTTGGATGTATATTCAGTAGTGGGGTTGCTGGATCATATGGTAGTTCTAGCTTTAGTTTTTTGAGGAATCTCCATATTGTTTTCCATAATGACTGTGGTAGTTTACATTGCCAACAACAGTGTATAAGAGTTCCCTTTCTCCACATCCTTGTCAGCATTTGTTATTATTTGATAATAGTCATTTTAACTTGGGTGAGATGGAATCTCATTGCGGTTTTGATTTGCATTTCTTTGATGATTAGTGATGTTGAGCATTTAAAAATGTGTCTGTTGGCTACTTGTATATGTTCTTTTGAGAAATGTCTATTTACATCATTCGACCTTTTAAAAATCAGATTATTTGTGGGTTTTTTTGCTGTTGGGTTGTTTGAATTTTTTGTATATTCTGGATATTAATCCCTTGTTTGATGAATGGTTTGGAAATATTTTCTGTCATTCTGCAGGTTGTCTCTTTACCCTGTTGATTGTTTCCTTTGCAGTGCAGCAGCTTTTTAGTTTGATATCATCCTATTTATTTGTTTTTACTTTTGTTGCCTGTAATTTCGAAGTTCTATTCATAAAATCATTGCCCAGACCAGTGTCCTAAAGTGTTTCCTCTGTGTTTTCACAGTATGTAATTTCACAGTTTCAGGTCTTACGTTTATGTCGTTAATCTGTCTTGAGTTGATTTTTGTATATTGTCTTTCCCCACTGCATGACCTTGGCACCTTAGTCAAAAATTGGTTTCCTGTAAATATTTGGATTTATTTCTGGGTTCTCTATTTTGTTCTGTTGAGTCTATGTGTCTGTTCTTATGTCAATACCATGCTGCTTTGGTTACAGTAGGTTTATAGTTTATTTTTTGTTTTTTGTTTTTGTTTTTTTTTTGAGATGGAGTTTTACACTGTTGCCTGGGCTGGAGTGCAATGATGTGATCTCAGCTCACTGCAACATCCACCTGCCCGGTTCAAGTGATTCTCCTGCCTCAGCCTCCCGAGTAACAGAGATTACAGGTGCCTGCCACCACTCCTGGCTAATTTTTTGTATTTTTAGTAGAGATGGGGTTTCACTATGTTGGCCAGGCTGGTCTTGAACTCCTGACTTTGTGATCCTCCTGCCTCAGCCTCCCAAAGTGCTGGGATTAGAGGTGTGAGCCACTGCACCTGGCTATAGTATATTTTGAAGTCATGTACTGTAATACCTTGAGCTGTGTTCATTCTGCATAGGATTTCTTTGGCTATTTGGGGATTTTAATGGTTCCATGTGATTTTTAGAATTGTTTTCTATTTCTGTGAAAAATGTCTTTGGTGGTTTGATAGGGATTGCATCAAATCTGTAAATTGCTTTGGGTGGTATGATAACTTTAACTATATTTATTCTTCCAACCCATGGAGATGGGGTATCTTTCCATTTTTTTGTGTGTGCTCTCTTCAATTTCTTTCCTCAGTGATATGAAATTTTCTTTTTTTTCTTTCTTTTTTCTTTGAGACAGAGTCTCGCTCTGTCACCCAGGCTGGAGTGCAATGGCACAATCTCGGTTCACTGCAACCTCCACCTCCTGGGTTCAAGCGATTCCCCTGCCTCAGCCTCCTGAGTAGCTGGGATTATAGATGCCTGCCACCACGCCTGGCTAACTTTTTGTATTTTTTTAGTAGAGACAGGGTTTCACTGTATTAGCCAGGATGGTCTCGATCTCCTGAATTCATGATCCGCCCACCTTGGCCTCCCAAAGTGCTGGGATTACAGACGTGAGCCACCGCGCCTGGCTGAGGATTTTTATACCTTTGTTTATCAGGGATATTGGCATGCTATTTTCCTTTTCTTTTTTGTTGTGTTTTTGTCTTGTTTTGTTTTCAGGGTAATACTGGCCTCGTATAATACTGAGTTTCTAAGAATTTCTTCCCCCTTAATTTTTTGAAATAGTTTGAAAAGTATTCGTGTGAGAGGTGTGTGTGTGTGTGTGTGTGTGTGTGTGTTTTAGGTTTGGTGGAATTTATTAGGGAAGCCATCTGGCCATGTACTTTTTTCTTTGTTGGAAGACTTTTTATAATTGATTTAATCTTGTTAATGATCTGTTCAGGTTTTCTCTTTCTTCCTGGTTTATTCTTGGTAGGTTGTGTGTGTACAGGAATTTCTACGTTTCCTCTAGGTTTTCCAATTTGTTGGTGTACAGTTGGTTATAACAGTCTTTAATGATTCTTTGTATTTCTGTGGTATCAGTAGTAATGTCTCTTTTTTTGTTTCTGATTATATTTATTTGGATCTTTTTTTTTTTCTTGGTTAGTCTAATGGTTTGTCGATGTTTATCTTTTTAACAAATGAACTTTCTGTTTTGTTGATTTTTGTGTTCTTTTAGTCTCAACTTCATTTATTTTTGCTCTGATTATTATTTTTTTCTGTTCTAGTAATTTTGGGTTTGGTGTGTTTTTGCTTTTCTAGTTCCCTGAAGTGCATTGTTAGATTGATATTTGAAATGATTCTACATTTTTGATATAGTTGTTTATTATTATAAACTTCCCTCTTAGTACTGCTTTTGCTCTGTCCCTTAAGTTTTGACATTTGCTTCTATTTTCATTTGTTTCAGTACATATTTAAATTTTTTTCTTGCTTTCTTCATTGACTCATTGGCTGTTCAAGAGTGTGCTATTTGGTTTCCATTACTTTATATAGGTTCCAAAGTTCCTTTTATGACTGATTTCTTGTTGTATTCCATTGTCCAAAAACATACTTGATAGGATTTTGATTTTTTAACATTTTTTGAGACTAAAATATGGTCTGCCCTGGAGAATATTTTATGTATGGATGAGAAGATCGTGTATTCTGCAGGTGTAGTATGAAATATTTTGTCAGTGTCTGTTAGGTCAGTTTGGCCTGTGGTTTGAATCTGGTGTTTCTTTACTGATTTTCTGTCTAGGTGATCTGTCCAATTCTGAGAGAGTGTGATGTTGATGCCCCCAACTATTATGGTAGTAGAGTCTATCTTTCCCATTAGATCTCATAATGTTTGCTTTATATCTCAGTGCTCCAGTGTTAGGTACATAAATATTTACAGTTGTTAGATCCTCTTGCTGCAGTGATTCCTTTATCATTATACAGTGACCTTTTCCTTGGTCTCATTTTACAGTTTCTGACTTAAAGTCTATTTTATCTTATACAAGGATAGCTACTCTTGCTTACTTTTTTTTTTTTTTTTAATTTGAGATGGAATCCTGCTCTGTTGCCCAGGCTGGGGTGCAGTGGCACAATCTCGGCTCACTGCAACTTCCGCCTCTCAGGTTCAAGCAATTCTTCTGCCTCAGCCTCTTGAGTAGCTGGGATTGCCCACCACCACACCTGGCTAATTTTTGTATTTTTAGTAGAGATGGGGTATCACCATGTTGGCCAGGCTGGTCTCGAACTCCTGACCTCGTGATTCTCCCTGCCTCAGCCTCCCAAAGTGATGGGATTACAGGCGTGAGCCACCACACCCAGCTGCTTTTGGTTTTGGTTTGTGTGGTATGTATTTTTCCATCGCATTCACTTTCAGTCTGTGTATATCTTTACAGGTGAAGTGAGTTTCTTGTAGGCAACACATAGTTGGGTGTTTTTTTTTAAAATTCATTCAGCCAGTTTATATCTTTTAACAAGGGACTTTAATCCATTTACATTCAAGGTTATTCATGGTAGATGATGACTTACTCATGTTGTTTTGTATATTGTTTTTGCTTTCTTACTGTTTTTTTTTTTTTTTTTTTTTTTTTTTGCAGTTTGGTGGTCTTCCATAGCGGTAACATTTGAATCCTTTTTTTTTTTCTCATTTGTATATCTGCCCTACCAGTGAGTTTATACTTTTGTGTATTTTCATGATGGTAATTATTCTTTCACTTCCTGATATAGGAGTCCCTAAGCTTTTCTTGTAAGGCCAGTCTAGTGGTGATGAATTCCCTCAGTTTTTACTTGTCTGGGACAGGCTTTATTTCTCCTTCATTTCCAGAGGACAGTTTTGCTTGGTGGTCTTTTTTTTTTTTTTTTTTTCCAGCCCTTAGAATATATCATCCCATTCTCTCCTGGCCTGTGAGGTTTCTGCTGAGAAATCTGCTGTTATTCTTATGGAGGTTTCCTTACATGTGACGTGATGCTTTTCAATTGCTGTTTTTAGAATTCTCTTTGTCATTGTCTTTTGACAGTTCGACTATAATGTGTCTCAAGGTGGCTTTTTTTTTTTTTTGGCATTTAATCCATTTGAGGAATTTTTAGCTTGCTTGATCTGAATGTCCATATCTCTCCCCAAATGTGGGAAGTTTTCAGCTTTTATTTCATTAAAACCTGTTTACTTTTCCATGCCTTTTCCCACCTGTTCTCCTTCTGGAATTCCTAAATGCAAACATTTGTTCATGTAATGGTGTCCCATCATTCCTGTAGGCTTTTTTTCCTACGCCTCCTGCTGCTGCTCCTCCTCCTGCTGTTCCTCCTCCTCTCTCCTCTATCCTTTCTTCCTTCTCCCTTCTCTCTTCTTCTTCTTTTCTTCTTTCTTTTTCTCATCTTCTCCTCTTCCTCTTCCTTCTTCTTTTCCTTTTCTTTTTCTTTTCTCCTTTTATTCTTTCTTCTTCTTCCTTCCTTTTTTTTGGTCTGACTGGGTCATTTCAAAAGTCCTGTCTTCAAATTCAGACATTGTTTGTTCTCCTTGATCTAGTATGTTGTTGAAACTCTGAGTTGTATTTATTTCATTCATCGAATTCCTCACCTTCAAGTTTTCTGTTTGGCTGTTTTTTTGTGATATCTATCTCTCTTGAATTTCTCATTTAGGTCATGAATTCTTTTCCTGATTTCATTGAATTGTCTATGTGTATTCTCTTGTATCTCTCTGAGTTTCCTTAAGACCATTATTTTAAATTCTGTTACAGGCCTCGATTTTCCTTTTTCTTTCAGGTCTGTTACTGGAGAATTATTGTGTTTCTTTGGGAGTGTCATGTTTTCTTGCTATTTCATGTTTTTGTTTTTTACTACATTGATATCTGCACATCTGGTATAACAGTCACCCCTTCCATTTTTATGGAGTAGTTTTCGTAGGGAAAGACTTTCCTGGAGAAGTATTTTATAGTGTTGGTTGAGTGGGGTGCTTTGACTTGTCCTCTAGACGGGTACAGTAGTGTAGTAGTATAGTAGTGTACATGTGATTTCTTTGGCCATAATCGGTGCCTGTGGTTCCTATGAGTGCCTCACTGGCCTGGACTGTGGGTGTTTGTGGAGGCAGTGGCATGACTTTGCTAGGGGCAGTATTGCTGGGCTTGCTGGTCCTTAGACCCTAGGGGAGCTTGTGCTATTTCTGGCAGCTCTGTTGCTTATGGGGGTAGTGTCTTCAGTGGTGCTGGTTTCTGGGCAGAATGGTCCTTGGGCCTTGAGGGGCCTGAAGGGCACATGGTAGTTCTGCCTGTCGGGAGGTTGAGATGGTTGGCAGTGGTGGACACTGGGGAGCTGGTCCTTGGGCCCTGGCGTTGTGTCTGTCTTGGGGGTGGTCTCCTTGCTGTACTGCGCTGCCTGTTTTTTTGGACTACAAGGTTCTGCATGGGCTCAGGTGCTTGGATATGGTTGTACTGCTAGGTATAGCTTGGGTTATGGCATTGTAATCTTTTGTATGGCCATGGAGTGATGGTGGTGGGACCTCAGGAATATGGAGATACAGGGGCTTTGGCTCCCAGGGCAGGATACACTCTAGCAGTGGTTTTGGTCTCAAAATGACATTGTGTTGTAGCTGCTTGGGTCCCAGGTGGAGGTTCTTGTCCTTTCCCCAGGCCTGCATCAGGAGAAACTCATTCTCAGGCCCTGTCAGTGTGATTTCCAAGCAAGTGTTCCAGCTGTCGTCACTCACTTTATGAAGTGTCGACGTAGATGACAGTAACATGGTGTTGACAGTTTGCCTTGTTTGTGTACATTCACAGTTAACATGGTTAAAGCAGCAGAGAGCGTTCTGTCAACCTGTAACTGGAATTGAGTGAGTTAGGTGCCCAACATCTCTGGGAAGAGTTGAATGATTTCTCTATTCACCCCTCTCTGTTGGGTGTCATGATTTAAAATAAGTTGGAAAATACCACTATACATGGTTGAACTCTTAGGAGGAAACCAGTCCTGATTTTGTGATTTTTAAAAATGGATGACTTCATCATAAATGACTAGCCCAGATCTTATTACAGAAGGGTCTTTTAGAACTTTGCATCTTGTTCCTAGGCACCACACCAACCCCGTGGGCACTGAGTGGCGGTGGAAGATGGACCAGCCTGAAATGATCTTGAAGGAAGCCATTGAAAACCATCAGAACATGATTAAGCAGTTTAAAGGTATTTATCTTCCCTCTACAAAGGAATGCTAATACCTGTTAATAGTCTGAATCAGATTGGCAGAAGAATTGCCTCTTTGGTAGGATTTTGTCCCCACTGGCAAATTTTCCTCTAAGGAAGTGAAAACTTTGTAGGAATATTATATATATTTTGCCTTTTTAGCTTTTACGTCCCATATGATGGAAGAACTAAAAATTTAAAATGTAGCAACTTGGCCAGGTGTGCTGGCTCACGCCTGTAATCCCAGCACTTTGGGAGGCCGAGGCGGGTGGATCACCTGAGGTCAGGAGTTCGAGATGAGCCTGGCTAACATGGTGAAACCCCGTCTCTACTAAAAATGCAAAAATTAACTGGACATGATGGTGGTTGCCTGTAATCCCAGCTACTTGGGAGGCTGAGGCAGGAGAATTGCTTGAACCTGGGAGGCAGAGGTTGCAGTGAGCCAAGATCTCTCCACTCCACTCCAACCTGGGCAAAAAGAGCGAAACTCCATCTCAGAAATAAATAAATAAATAAAAAGTTTAGCAACTTATAATATGCTGCATTCAGCCTGAAAGCTTTACCTGGGAATGTACCATCAATCTTCCTAGAAACCTTTGCTGTTGTTCTGTCTGGCTGAGCTGAGCAGCCTTTTGAATGGATTGGAAATTTTAGGTTAGTGGAAAGTCTTAAATAATGTTAGTTAGTGATGGGAAAACCGTTTTGAATGAATTCCTTATTTAAAAAAAAGGAGGGATAATATAAATAACAGTTTCTTCCATCTAATGCACAGTAATGTGGTAAAAATTCAGCCACTCCATTTTTTTGAATTTCCTGATTTAATTCTGTCTCATATTAACAAATATTGACTTCACTGGAGGTTACTGGTTCTCAAACTTTATCATGCATCGGAATCATCTGGAGAGCTTGTTAAAACACAGATTGTTGGTTTCCTTTCCCAGAGATTGGGTCAGTAAGCCCAAGAGTATGCTTTTTTTTCTTTCTTCTTTTTTTTTTTTGGACCAGATCTCGCTCTGTCACCCAGGCTGGAGTATGTGGTGCCATCTTGGCTCACTGCAACCTTCACTTCCCAGGATCAGATGATCCTCCCACCTCAGCCTTGCCTCCTGAGTAGTTGGGGCTACAGGCACGGGCCACCACACCTGGCTAATTTTTTGTGAAGATGGGGTCTAGCCATGTTGTCCAGGCTGGTCTCAAACTCTTGGACTCAAGCCATCCACCCACTTTGGCCTCCCAAATTGCTGGGATTACAGGTGTGAGCCACCTGAGAATGTGCATTTCTAACAGGTTTCTGGTTGGTGTTGATGTTGTTCAACTGGGGACCATGCTTTGAGAACCACTACTGTACATGTGATGTCTTCATAAAGCAACAGCTGTAGGTGATGAATTGGAATTTGTTAGGTTCCCTGTTGAATCTCTATGCTCTGGTCTCTACCTACCACTGGTGATTCCTTCTCTCCTGTATTCTTCTTTTCCGTCATATGCAACCATTAAAAAATAGTCCCAGCCAAGACTGTTTTAATATAGACACTCTTAAGGTATTAATAGCGCATATGGGAGTCTTTAGAAACCTCAGTAATTAGCATTCTGAAGATCAGATGATTCTTTCACGTAAGGAAATTTGTTCTGTTCTGGCCACTCATTCGTAATATTATAATACTCCTTACCACTTGATATGGTTAGGCTTTGTTCCCCTCACCCAAATCTCATCTTGAATTGTAATCTCCATAATCCCCATAATCCCTATGCGTTGAGAGAGACCAGGTGGAGGTAATTGAAATGTGGGGGCTGTTTCCCCCATGGTGTTCTCATGATAGTGAGTGAGTTCTCACGAGATCTGATGGTTTTATGAGGGGCTCTTCCCCCTTTGCTCTGCACTTCTCCTTCCTGCTGCCTTGTGAAGGAGGTGCCTTGCTTCCCCTTTGCCTTCCGCTGTGATTGTAAATTTCCTGTGGCCTCCCCAGCCATGCTGAACTGCGAATCAATTAAACCTCTTTTCCTTTATAAATTACCCTGTCTCCGGCAGTTCTTTATAGCAGTATGAAAATGGGCTCATACTTATTTCTCATTTTTATGAGAAATGGAGAAAAGTCATGCAAATAATGGTTCAAGATCAGTAGTAATTTATAAAAGATAATTATTCAGTAGGCTTAGCACGGTGCCTCACGCTTGTAATCCCAGGACTTTGAGAGGCTGAGGTAGGCGGATCACCTGACGTCAGGAGTTCGAGACCAGCCTGGCCAACATGGTGAAACCCCATCTCTACTAAAAATACAAAAATTAGCCAGGCATGGTGGTGTGTGCCTTTTAATCTCAGCTACTTGGGAGGCTGAGGCAGGAGAATCTCTTGAACCCAGGAGGCAAAGGTTGCAGTGAGCTGAGTTCACACTCCACTGGACTCCAGCCTGGGTGACAAAGTGAGACTCCATCTCAAAAAAAAAAAAATTAGTCAATAATTATACTTTTTTTCTTTATGAATTTTCTAGGGAAAGTTGACCTGTACATATTTGTGTGTATCTGTAGATAGGCTGACTTTTTTTTGTACATTTACAAAGAAGCTAATGATTATTTTAATTTCTCATCTTGATTTTTAGTTTCAAGCATTTTTCGATGGCGGGAGGTGGGGTACAAGTTACATTCTTATACTTGGATAAAGCAGTGTCTCTTACCAGTGTTTTGGAAAATTAAATGAAACTGTTGGTAAAGAACTAGTAAGCCCCACATCTGGAATTTGACTGGCTTTTCCTAGACTCATTGTTGGTTTAGTTAATAATTGATTGTTGATCTTCAAGTAAGCTATGTGTCTTTTTAATAAATTTCAAGGCAAAGTCTTATTTTCCTTTGGAGAGTGTGTTAGGGTTCTCCAGAAAAACAGAACCAGTGGGTGTATGTGTATGTGTATGTGTATGTGAATGTGTGTGAGGGGAGAGAGAGAGAGACAGAAAGAGAGACTGAGATTGAGATTCATTTGTTCATTTTTAGGAGTTGGCTCATGTATTTGTGGAGGCTTGGTGAGTTCAACATCTCATGGGTTGACTGGGAGGTTGGAGACTCAGGGAAGAGTGGGAGTTCAAGTTCAAAGGCATTATCCTGGCAGAATTCCTTCTTGCTTGGAACAGGTCAATCTTTTTATATTAAAGCCTTCAAATGATTGGATGAGGTCCATCCACATTATGACGGGCAATCTACTTTACTGAAAGCCCAGCAATTTAAATGTTAATCTCATCCAAAACACCTCCACAGAAACATCCAGAATAATGGCTGAACAAATATCTGGACGCCGTGACCCAGACAGGTTGACACATAAAATTAACCATCACAGATAGTAATATCAGAAGCAGGAAATGCCAGTACTTTTATTTTTATATGAAGTTGATTTTTGAGTTAGTGCTTAAGGAGCTAATGGGACGATGACTGAGGATGTGTGTTTCCTGGACATCCTGGAGTCTCCCTGAATGAACTGTGTCTCGGGCAGTTTGTGTGAGGAGGAATCAGCACTGCCTTGAAGAATAGACACCTTCATTTCTTTATGCTGAAATGTCCTTCCTACAGAATGACGATCTGAGTTTGGATAGTAATTTTTCTGACAGGAGCGTTTTTGCAAATGCACTTTAAATGGAAATATGTAATGAATAAACCATGAGGTAGACTTTGTTGATTTTAATAAAATGTGTTAGGTGAGTTCCGTGAGCACGTGTTTTTCATTGTCTGCTGGGCCTGTTGAGGGTCCTGTCCTGTGCAGAAAGGGGTGTCCAATAGTGACCTTAGGCTTAACGTTAATCAGCAGGCATCTCAAATGGTTTGTCTATGGGTTCTTATGATGTGAGGAAAACAAAAGAGTTTTAAAATTTATATTCTCTTGAGGGATGATAGGATGCAGGATAGCAGAGAGAAAGAATAGAGCACGTCTATGGATGCGTGAATCCTGAGTAGGCATTAGAATGCATAAGATGGAAGGAATGATCCCCAGAAATTCAACAACTGCCACCAATTTCATTCTTAAAAATGGTATTTATACAGTATCTATTTTACCCTGGTAATTCCTACAACGGATTTTTTTTTTCATATCTGAATGGATTGACTTGATAACACGTTACCATGTCAGGAAAACCTCAGTGTATTTAATCAGCAACAAATTTGCTGGAAGGGTTTTCAGAGTGGAACTGGTTAATATTTGTGCATTGATGTTCTTCAGGTTAGCAAAGCAGTTTTTCTTGAAGCTAGCAGAAAACAGGTGCATGTTTGAAGGTGCGGAGGGTGTAGATGGGTCAGCACGTAGGCATAAGGGAGCCTCATTTGTTTTCTTTTTATTTTATTTTATTTTACTTTATTTATTTACTTGGAGACAGGGTCTCACTCTGTTGCCCAGGCTGGAGTGCAGTGGCATGATCTTGGCTCACTGCAACCTCTGCCTCCTGGGCTCAAGTGATCCTCCCACCTCAGCCTCCCAAGTAGCCGGAACTACAGGTGCATGCTACCGCGCTTCAGCTAATTTAAAAATTTTTAATAGAGATGGGTTTTCCCTATATTGCGCAGGCTGGTCTTGAACTCCTGGGCTCAAATGATCCTTCTGCCTGGGCCTCCCAAAGTGCTGGGATTACAGGCATGAGCCACCGTGTCTGGCTCTCATTTGTTATACATTTTCACAATGAATGAGAGATCCCTTAATTTGTAATTTTGGGGCCTTGATGACTATTTGTTTAATGCTTTTTTCTGTGTTCTAAGTTAGGTTAAACAAGCCATTATTTTTGAAAATCCATCTTATTGCTATAATAGTCATAGTAAATATTGCTGTAAAATTATGATAATAGAAAAGAAAAAAAAAACCCTAATTAGTAAAGGGTAAAGTGCATAATTTGTAAGAATCCAGAGCCCTTCTGGAAAACTGGTGGTAGTCTGTAACACTTCAAAGAAAAAAATGTTATGTGATTTCTTTTAAAATGATAACTTTGACAGCATTATAGAATTTTAGTACTTCAGAATATTGATTGTATTTTCTGTTCTCTTGGCAGCAAGTAATTTCAACTGAAAAAGACCGTAAAGGGATAGGGTCTTGTTCTGTTGCCCAGGCTGGAATGCAGTGGCATGATCATAGCTCACTGCAGCCTCAACCTCCTGGGCTCAAGCAGTCCTCCTGTCTCAGCCTCTCAAATATCTGGGATTACAGGCACATGCTACCAAACTCAGCTAATATTTTAAAAAACATTTTTGTAGATATGGGGGTCTCACTATGTTGCCCAGTCTGATCTCGAACTCCTGGGCTCAAGCAATCCTTCAGTCTCAGTCTCCCAAAGTGCTGGGATTATAGGTGTGAACCACTGCACCTGGCCTTAATTTTCATTTTAATAATATTGTATCTATGGGAATACAAATTTCAGGCTTAAACAGAAATGCTTACGAACAGATTTCTTGTATAAATGGCAATTATAGTCAATTTCAAAGGCTTGAAGGCATTTCCTTCGTAGTTTGTGATATTCCTGGTATCTCCACTTTGGCCTCTTTTTGGAGGTCCACTCTTAGCTCATTAATTATTATTATTTTAAAAATCCTTTTATTACTCTTTTTTAACAAATAGCCCCAGGGACAGGGGACCAGGGGAAGGGGGAGGAGGGGAAGTGAGGCCCCAGCCCCACAACCCCTCCCTCGCCACCCCTTTCCCCCTTATATATTTATAATCTATATACAAGCCCTGGGGGTAGCGGGCAAGAGGAACTCCCTCAGTGGGGTGGGGGCAAACCAGGCTCCTTGTCCCCTCGGGACCCAGGCTCCTCTGCCTTTTGGGAGGGCCCTTCTCGAGGTGGCGGCCCTGTCCATTCCCAAGGCTTAGGTATCCAGTGCAGGGCATCTGGTGGGGAGGCCTGCTGGTAAAGGTCGAAGCGCTGGGTGCGGAAGACTCCACTGCAGGTGGAAGGCGTGGCCTTGAGACAGGAATGCTCATTAATTATTTACCTCACTCTGGCTTGGAGAGTCCTTTGCTTTCTAGGGTGAGTTCCCACCCCATGACAAAGAACGCCTGCCGTCTGTCCTGGGTCTGGTTCAGTTGTGTGAAAGGTGGAACTGGCTGTGGGGATTGTTGCTTATTGTCTGAGTTCCCCAACTGGAGCTACGTGGCCAGTCCTGAGCAGCTTTGGAAGATAATTCCTGATGTTTTCAATGCTTGTCTTTTGTGTTCTTAATTCTGAGGGCAATCATTGTCTTTTCAGTTATTTCACTGAGTTATAAAAATATCTTTCTTTTCCTGACCTTTATTAGCGTTCCTTTTATATACATACAAAATTAACTTTGCATTGATTAAAAGTGGGTCAGAATTTCAGTGCCACTCAGCGTCTATTCAAAATGCTGCCTGCCCCCTTCTAAGTACTACCATGGCAGGGAGAAATAGTTCCCAGAAAATGGGGCTGAGGTTTCTTTAGCTCAATTTTCCACCCGTTCAGCAAACATCAAGTGATTGCACCGTCTTTGTCAGGAACGTCCTCGGTACTAAAGCTGCAAAGATGAAAAAGACATCATTTATTGCTAGGTGTTTTTATCTATACTTTAGGCTAGAAGCAAAGTACTGCAAGACATAAAAGATCTCCAACAGATGGTTTTCACAAGCTAGGTATGCTAACATACACATCATAAAGAAAATGTGAAGGTGGGGAAGAGAACACCACCTGTTAATTGTTTTCAGAAACTAATTTATGAAAAACCTCAAGTGGAGTATCTATATCAAACAGGTATTATTTATGACTTTTAGTCAGGGCAGGTCGTTGGGAAGATTTTTGGCCAGGAACTGCATTGTTATGAGAAGAAAGAAGAGAATGTTTTATTTCTGATCGGCCCAAACTTTAGAAATAGGAATATACTGAGCATTACATCATGTTTATTTGTGTGTTATTTGGTTTATCGCTATGACATTAGGATGAAAATTTTCGGATCTTAAGTTCTGGCTTTGTCATCTTTCAATGAGATGAAGTCCGCTTGTTAGTTACTCTGCTGACTGTAATTGTGATTATCCAAGATCAGGAAGGTGTTCAGAATAAGAAAAATGTCAGAAAACTTGCTTAACCAAAAAACCCAAAGAATTAGAATAACAAAGCAGAGTTTAGTTGTGAAAGGGTTAAGATTTGGGCACCATGAAGAGAACAGATCGTGTGTGTGCATGTGCGTGTATGTGTGCCTGTGTGTGTGTGTGAGTGTCAGATAATGGGAAACAGCACTATCGATTTGCTGTTGAAATGTCCTGTGTCTCATGTGGACTCTTTCTTTCTTCTCCAGGAATCCTTTCCATTAGAAATTTAGAGGCTATTACCAGAGAAATGCAAATCAAAACCACAGTAAGATACCATCTCATACCAGTTGGAATGGTGATCATTAAAAAGTCAGGAAACAACAGGTGCTGGAGAGGATGTGGAGAAATAGGAACACTTTTACACTGTTGATGGGACTGTAAACTAGTTCAACCATTGTGGAAGACAGTGTGGCGATTCCTCAAGGATCTAGAACTAGAAATACCATTTGACCCAGCCATCCCATTACTGGGTGTATACCCAAAGGATTATAAATCATGCTGTTATAAAGACACATGTACACGTATGTTTATTGCAGCACTATTCACAATAGCAAAGACTTGGAACCAACCCAAGTGTCCATCAATGATAGACTGGATTAAGAAAATGTGGCACATATACACCATGGAATACTATGCAGCCATAAAAAAGGATGAATTCATGTTTTTTTTAGGGACATGGATGAAGCTGGAAACCATCATTCTGAGTAAACTATCACAAGGACAGAAAACCAAACACTGCATGTTCTCACTCATAGGTGGGAACTGAACAATGAGAACACTTAGACATAGGAAGGGGAACATCACACATCGGGGCCTGTCATGGGTTGGGGGGAGGGGGGAGGGATAGCATTAGGAGATACACCTAATGTAAATGACGAGTTAACGGGTACAGCACGCCAACGTGGCACATGTTTACATATGTAACAAACCTGCACATTGCTCACATGTACCCTAGAACTTAAAGTATAATAATAATAAAAAAGAAATTTAGAGGCTGTTTCAATTTCTGTCATATTTCCTTGAGGACAGTGCAAGAAGACATGAAGTGGAGTCCTTGAGGCTTTGTTTTTGGGAGGACCAGTGTAACAGCCTCTGGCAGAGAGCAAGAAATAAATAGAAACATGCTCTTATGAAGGAGAGAACCAAGGTTTTACATAAGCTTTTCAATATCTTACTTGTGAGAGAATCAGGATAACTTTAAAATCTAAGAATCCATTACTTTAAAAAGTTGATCATCAAGAATTTTTTTTGTCTTGTATTTTGTTTGTTTTTGTGATTGTCTAAATGGGGGAATATGATTATGATATTTTTATTTGTAGCTTTCTGGAAAGGATGGCTTTGGTGTCTTTGCTTCTAGGTTTCCTCCTGTCCTCGTGGCTGCTCTGTGGTAGTGCCCTTTGTTGATCCCTCTTCCTCTCCCCAGAACTGTGAGTGTTGTACGACTCAGTCCGTGGTCCTCCTCCCTGTCCTGTTAGCCCCAATGCTTGCTTTGTCTGAGTTGATGGCAGCCATGTTGCTGGAGCCAAACACTTTGTAGAAATCATTGAACCCTCTCACTTTCTCATACCCTACATCCAATCCATTTGAAAATCCCTCTTGATGATACCTTGAAAGTAGAGCCAGCTGATTGACTTTGCCACCTCCACTATCGTGCCACCTCCAGTGTCACCACCTTGGTCCAAGCCACCATTTCCTTTTTGTATTATATTATAGTCTGTCGGCAGATTATCCTCTCTCCTTGCCCCTCTGTTCTCAACGGAGAACCCGATGTGATCTACTTAAAACAAAAATTAGTTTATGCCACCCTCTTCTCAAAATCCTGCATTGGCTACCCATGTGACTCAGGTTCCCTAGACATAATCAGGCAGGCTCCCACCTTGGGGTCTTTTCTCCGACTGGAATGCTCTTCCGTCTTTGCCCTCTTGGCCTACTCCCTCACCTCCTCCAGCTACACTCTCCTTTTCAGCAAGACTTATCCTGACCAGCCTGATTGACAGGTCAGCCTGCCTCTTTTTCCTCTTGGCACCCCACATCTTCATTGCCCTGCTCTTTCTTTTCTTTTCCACGTGCCTATCACCTTCTTTTTTTTTTTTTTTTTTTTTTTTTTGAGACGGAATCTCACCCTGCTGCCAAGGCTGGAGTGCAGTGGTGAGATCTCGGCTCACTGCAACCTCCGCCTCCTGGGTTCAAGCAATTCTCCTGGCTCAGCCTCCCGAATAGCTGGGATTACAGGCACCTGCCACCATGCCCGGCTAATGTTTTTAAATTTTTGGTAGAGATGGGGTTTCACCATGTTGTTCAGGCTGGTCTCGAACCCCTAACCTCATGATCCACCTGCCTCAGCCTCCCAAAGTGCTGAGATTACAGGCGTGAGCCACCACGCCCGGCCCAAAACTTCGTCTTTACCAAAAATTTAAAAAAAAATTAGCCAAGTGTGGTGGCATATGCCTGTGGTCCTAGCACCTGAGGAGGCAGAGGTGGGAGGGTCACCTGAGCCCAGGAGATTGAGACTGCAGTCAGCTTGATCACATCACTGCACTCCAGCCTGGGTGACAGAGGCAGACCTTGTCTAAAAAAAAGAAATAATAATAATTGAATTTATTTTTCAGTTCACAAAATAAAAACATTTGCAGCTAGCACGTTTTGAATGTGTATGTTGGGCCTGGCACCCCATTAAGTATTTCATGTAGCTTATTTCATTTAATTGTTATAATAGCTGTATGTGTGTGTGTAAAATCTCCATTTTAAAGATCAGGGAATGGGCTTGGAGAGGGTGAGAGAGGCTTGACCAAGGATATAAAACTACCTTCGCGGTGGAGCTAGAGTGTGAACCCGGTGCATCTGAATCCCAGTGGCCAGGGCCTAGCCGATGCTCCTTCCACTTTCTGAGTTTTAGGTTGGTTTTGGAGTTCAGGTTCAACCTGCCTTTCTACTCAGCTGCTCATGGTGCGGATTATAGTTAATGATATGCTTTTTGAAAAGCAAATGTTATGCTTAATGCTGAGTTGTCTTGGCAACGTAGAATGAGCTTAAGGATCAAATTTTATTTGAAAACCTTGTTTTACTTGAGTTAAGATCTTAGATTTCAATAACCTAAAAAATTATTCATCCATCCAAAAATACTGACACGAAATACATTCTTACAATTGCAGTTACATAGTCATAAAAGAAGACATCACCTGTCATGCTTAGATTGTTCTCATTTTGGTCTGTACTCTGTTGCTTTGATCTCTTGGGGATTTACTTGCACTTTGTGTTTTATTTTATTTATTATTTTGTATTAGGGGTACATGTGCATGTTATTTACATCGGTGTATTGTGTACTGCGGGAATTAGGCTTCTTGCATACCCATTACTCAAATAGTGAACATTGTACCTGATAGGTAATTTTTCAACTCTCACCCCGTCCCATCCTCTTTTGGAGTCTCTAGTCTCTATTATTTCCATCTTTAGGTCCGTGTGTACCCATTGGTTAGTTCCCACTTAAAAGTGAGAACGTGTGATATTTGATGTTCTGTTTTTTAGTTCACCTAGGATGATGGCCTCCAGCTTCATCCATGTTCCTGTAAAGGACATGATTTTGTTCGTTTTTATGGCTGCATAGTATTCCATGGTGTATATGTACCATATTTTCTTTATCCAGTCAACCGTTGATGGACACTTAGGTCATGGTTTCATGACTTTTAGCTATTGTGAATAGTGCTGCGATGAACATACGAGTGGGTACAGGTTTTTTTTTAATATAATGATTTCTTTTCCTTTGGTTAGATACCCGGTAATGGGTTGCTAGGTTGGATGGTAGTTCTATTTTTAGTTCTTTGAGAAATCTCTCTATAGAGGTTGAACTAATTTACATCCCCACCAACAGTGTGTAATCCATGCCAATTCTGTTGTTTTGCTTTAATAATAGCCATTCTGACTAGTATAAGATGATATCCCATTGTAATTTTAATTTGCATTTCTCTGCAAATGATTATTAGTAATGCTGAGTGTTTTTTTCACGTAACTTACACTTTCGTATTTCTAAGGTGTGGGAGGAAGAGAGAGAGAGAATTAGAGTGTGTGTGTGTGTGTGTGTGTGTGTGTGTGTGTGTGTGTCAAGCACAGCTGACACCAATACCTTAACTTAAACATACCCAGAGAATGACTGTATGTTCTAAGAAGAATGTGTGTTCTGAGCTCTGAACTAGGAGATCCAGGAGTGGCCAACCTGGGGATTCATTCTCTTTGTTTTTTTATTTTGGACAGATCATTCTCTATCTATGAGGAACATCTGAATCCCTAGCGCTTCCTGTGGAATGCAGGTTGTACAGGGGATCAAGGCCCGTTGTTTTGGGTTAAATAAAGTGGTGCCTGGTGGAGATTGCTGGTGGGGGGGTACTAAGTGAAAATGCTGTATAAACTGCATGATTTTTTTTTTTTCCAGACAGGGTCTTGTCCTGTTGCCTAGGCTAGAGTGCAGTGGCGCAGTCTCAGCTCACTGCAACCTCCGCCTCCCGGGTTCAAGTGATTCTTCTGCCTCAGCCTCCCGAGTAGCTGGGCCTACAAGCATGCACCACCACGCCTGGCTAATTTTTGTAGTTTTAGTAGAGATGAGGTTTTGCCATGTTGGCCGAGCTGGTCTTGAACTCCTGACCTCAACTGATGCACCCATCTCGGCCTCACTAAGTGCTGGGATTACAGGCATGAGCTGCCGTGCCCAACCGAACTGCATGCTTTTTACAAGCAACTGTGGTTCTCCTGCCCAGCCCACTGCCACTGGACTGCCCTGTTTGTGAGTTTGTGAGTCCCTTCAATAAACCCTATGTCTTGGCTGGGCATGGTGGCTCACGCCTGTAATCCCAGCACTTTGGGAGGCTGAGGCAGGCCAACATAGTGAAACCCCATCTCTACTAAAAATACAAAAAAAAAAAAATTAGACAGACGTGGTGGTGTGCGCCTGTAATCCCAGATACTGAGGAGGCTGAGGCAGGAGAATTGCTTGAACCCGGGAGGCGGAGGTTGCAGTGAGCTGAGATCACGCCATTGCACTCCTGCCTGGGCAACAGGGCGAGACTCTGTCTCAAAAACAACAACAACAACAACAACAACAACAACAACAACAACAGCAGCAGCAGCAGCAGCAGCCCCTATGTCTCGTTCACTGGCTCTGCATCTCTTTGCCAGCCCCTCACACGTGGTGCTATCCCTACTGAAGTCAATCAGGGTCTGGCGGAACAGTGTGTCTAAAATAAAATCACTTTCTGAAAACTGAGGCACAACTGAGCAGTGAAATTTAACTTTATTTCGCCCACGTTCTTTGTTACTGTTGTTAAGGTGACAGTGACTGGGATCGAATCAGTTTCATAAATGAGGATAAAGGTGGTAATAGCAAATCGTTAATGAACGTTTCTTGTGTGCCAGACACTCCGCTAAGGCCTTTACATGCATTATCTCATTTAATCCCAACAAAAATTCTTCAAGGTACTTACCATTCACAGGTAAGAAAGTTATGTTTCAAAGATGGCCAATAATGGCTGGGCATGGTGGCTCACGCCTGTAATCCCAGCACTTTGGGAGGCCGAGGCGGGCAGATCACGAGGTCAGGAGATCGAGACCATCCTGGCCAACATGGTGAAACCACATCTCTACTGAAACTACAAAAAAATTAGCCGGGCATGGTGGTGGGCACCTGTAGTCCCAGCTACTCGGGAGGCTGAGGCAGGAGAATGGCTTGAACCGAGGAGGTGGAGCTTGCAGTGAGCTATTTTGCCACTGCAATCCAGCCTGGGTGATGGAGCGCAACTCCATCTCAAAAACAAACAAACAAACAAACAAAACAAAGATGTCCAATAGGAGTAGGAGAAGACACATGAACACGCTTCTCCCCTAGGCCCAAGCTCCATGAGGAATCCCTATCCTGCAGAGAGAATATATTCTTCAAAAGGAACCTAGAAATCATTGATTTAGAACTATCAGGAGTCAAGGTGATATATATTTTTTCTTTGTTTTTTTTTTAACTCTTAAGTTCAGGGGTACAAGTGCAGGTTTGTTACATAGGTAAACTTGTGTCATGGGGGTTTGTTGTACAGATTATTTCATCACCCAGGTATTAAGCCCAGTACCCATTAGTTGTTTTTCCTGATCCTCTCCCTTCTCCCACCCTCCACCCTCTGATAGGCCCCAGTGTGTGTCATTCCCCTCTATGTGTTCATGTGTTCTTAGGATACATATTTTTGCCTATTTACACTCTTTCCGAGTCTTTCGCATTCTCTGTTAGACTGAAGGACTTTTAGGACAGCATATCTTGTAATGCCTTCTACATTGAGTCAAGAGCAGTACCTGACAAACCAAGCTGCATGCTGGAATCACACGGAGAGCCCTTTAGAAATCCTGATGCATGAGGCCCCTCCCCAGAGACTGTGATTTAATATGTTTGGGATATGGCCTGGACATTGGGATTCTTAAATGTTTTTTGGGTAATCCCAGTGTCCAGCTAGGATTCAGAACGAGTGGTGTGTGCTAGTGGCTACTAAACTTGTCTACACATTGGAATCACCTGGGGGGCTTCAGAAACTGCGAATTGCCTGCACCCCTCCGCCAGAGATTGGCGTTTAGTTGATCTGAGCTGTGGCCTGGATTGTGGGAATTTTAAGATTCCAAGGTGATTCCAATGTGCAGACAGGTTGGGCCCCTCTGGTTTCATGCAGTGGCTTTTAGCCTTGGCTATACGTAACAACCATCTGAGAAGCTTTAACAAAACTTATTGCCCAGCCTTGCACCCACTCTGATGAAACAGACTCTTTAGAGGTGGACCTAGGTGGCAGTATTTTTGGTTTTTTTGGAGACGGAGTCTCACTCTGTTGCCCAGGCTGGAGTGCGGTGGCACTGTCTCCTCTCACTGCAATCTGTGCCTCCTGGGTTCAAGCGATTCTCCTGCCTCAGCCTCCCGAGTAGCTGGGATTACAGGCATCCGCCACCACGCCCAGCTAATTTTTGCATTTTTAGTAGAGACAGGGTTTCACCATGTTGCCAGGCTGGTGTTGAACTCCTGACCTCAAGTGATCTGCCCACCTTGGCCTCCCAAAGTGCTGGGATTACAGGTGTGAGCCACTGCGCCCAGCCTATTTTTGTTTTTTGAGACAGGCCTTGCTCTGTCATCCAGGCTGGAGTGCAGTGGCATGATAGTGGTTCACTGCAGCCTCAATCTCCCAGACTCAAGTGATCTTCCCACCTCAGCCTCCCAAGTAGTTGGGACCACAGACATGTGCCACCATGCCCAGCTATTTTTTTTTTTTTTTAATTTTTAGTAGTGGCAAGGTCTCACTATATTGCCCAGGCTAGTTTTGAACTCCTTGGCTCAAGCAATCCTCCTGCCTTGGCCTCCCAAAGTGCTGGGATTACAGGTGTGAGCTACTGCGCCTGGCCTGTAGAAGTATTTTTTGAAGCTCCTCAGGTGATTCCAGTATGAAGTATGAATTATGAAGTATTCCAGTATGAAGCCAAAGATAAGAACGATTAGGTCTCTTCTTTTTCTCTCCTATACAGCTTTGGACCAACTACATTTACTTTCCCAGTTCAGGATACTTGAGGAATGATTGGTCTAGAAGAAGCTTGTTCTTATGCAGATATACTGAGTTCATTTTCTTGGATCAACATGAAAGAATGCAAAGCTAAGCAAATTATGCAAAGGGACTTATTCTGCATTCCAAATAATTAGCTAACAAAGCTAGTTTTGCCTGTTTGTATTGATGTAGTTTAACTGGTACCAAAACTAAGAATGAGGTTACTGACTGATTTTTCTGATTTAATAATTCTAGTCCTGCCCTGCCCTTTAGCCTTTGTTTTGTATTCTTTGGTATCAAAAATGAATTTGCTCTATAAAATCAAAGCATCATTAAGAAAAACGTAAGTGACATCCTCTATCTGTGCCTTATGTAGCTGGGTCCTTCTCACTGTATTCTCCAGGAGTACCGGGCGTCAAAGCAGAACGCTTTGAAGAAGGAATGACGGTAAAGCACTGTGCATTGTCCCTCGTGGGAGAACCAATAATGTACCCAGAGATCAACAGGTTTTTGAAGCTACTCCACCAGTGTAAAATTTCCAGCTTCCTGGTCACAAACGCACAATTTCCTGCGGAAATCAGGTGAGTTCTCCAGCCTATGGAGAGATGCTGCTTGAATCTATGTTTCACTGCAAAGTAAAACTAATAGGCATTAATGCAATCAAATAGGATTTATTGATTACTTACTACATACAAATGTTGGGCTTTGGGAGGTGAAGATGGTCCTGCTCTTCAAAATCTGTTCTATTAGGCACAACAACATTAGTAAAAAGACTAGAGGCACAGATACATCGCTAGGGGAATTCAAAAGAGAATGAATTTTTTTTTTCCAAATGGGAGAGGCAGGGTAAAACTTACCAGAGAAGCTGTCATTTATTTTATTTTATTATTATTATTTTTTTTTTTTGAGTCGGAGTCTCACTCTGTCTCCCCGGCTTGAGTGCAGTGGCGTGATCATGGCTCACTGCTACCTCCGCCTCCCAGGTTCAAGTGATTCTCCTGTCTCAGCCTCCTGAGTAGCTGGGTCTACAGGCGCCTGGCACCATGCCCAGCTAATTTTTTTATTTTATTTTTTAATAGAGATGGGCTTTCACCATGTTGGCCAAACTGGTCTTGAACTCCTTACCTCAAGTGATCCTCCTGCCTCAGCTTCTGAAAGTGCTGGCATTACAGGTGTGAGCCACTGCGCCTGGCCTAATTTTTATCTTTATGTCTGGGATTGGTACTTGAGAAGGTTGGAAACTATATTGTTGTTAATAAGGAACTTCCTGAGAAAGACGTGGAGTTGGGGTATTTGTGATAACCATTATATAAGTGTAGTTTATTTAGACCACAGAATGTGTGAAAGAGAGTGGCAGGTGGAAGTCAAGTTAGAAAGGTTGGGATTAGATGGTCTAGGACTTCAAATGCGGTCCTTTGGAAAGATCTTGTTTCCTGCAGAGCAGTCTGCTGGCATGGTATGCAACTGGGGAGACAAGAAGCAGCAGGAACCTAGATAGGAGATTATGATGTTTGCTTAGGTCAGAGTTATAAGGGTGGAAGCAAGTCAGTGTGAATGAGGGAGTCTTAAAAAAGATGCTGTTAAGCCAGGCGCGGTGGCTCATGCCTGTCATCCCAGCACTTTGGGAGACTGAGGCCGGTGGATCACCTGAGGTTGAGAGTTCAAGACCAGTCTGACCAACATGGGGAAACCCCATCTCTACTAAAAATACAAAATTAGCTGGGCATGATGGTGCATGCCTGTAATCCCAGCTACTCGGGAGGCTGAGGCAGGAGAATCGCTTGAACCCGGGAGGCGGAGGTTTCAGTGAGCCGAGATCGCACCATTGCACTCCAGCCTGGGCAACAAGAGTGAAACTCTGACTCAAAAAAAAAAAGATGCTATTGAAGGATTGCTAGGTATGATTGGCAAACTGCTTGTATGGCTTTGAGAGGCTAGCGGAGAAGAGGACTAGGTAATTACACTGAGGGTTCCAGCCATGTTGATTGCTAGGATTATGGGGCCCCATAACAGCAGAGGGCTCTTGTAAGGAAGGGTCAGGTTTAGGTGGTAGGATGATGAGGTTGGGTTGGATGACTTAAGGGAGGGCTCTCCTTATAGGGATGATCAAAGGCATCTCCTGGGGCCTCTGGGGAAATGATCTGTTTTTGTGTCATACTGGGACTAGGCACACGCTGTAACACCAAAAGTATTACAAAATTTACTCATCCGTTATGTATTGGTGTTTTCCCCGATTAGACTGCAAGTTCCTTGAGGTCAAGACCTCTGCTTATTTATCTCGGTGCATTTTTTGCCTGGCGCACTAAAGGTGCTCAGTACATGGGTAGTGAAATATTGGGGAAATAGGAAAAAAAAAAAGATCTTTTTGAATTCAAGTTTGTTTCGTAAACACTGGCCAATAAAGTATAAGATTGTAAGAATTAAAGGGGCAGGGCGTGGTGACTCACGCCTGTAATCCCAGCACTTTGGGAGGCCGAGACGGGTGGATCACGAGGTCATGAGATTGAGACCATCCTGGCTAACATGGTGAAACCCCGTCTCTACTAAAAATACAAATACAAATAATAATGATAATAATAAGCCAGGCATGGTGGCAGTTGTCTGTAGTCCCAGCTAGTCGGGAGGCTGAGGCAGGAGAATGGCGAGAACCTGGGAGGCGGAGCTTGCAGTGAGCCAAGATCACGCCACTGCACTCCAGCCTGGGCTACAGAGCAAAAAAAAAAAAAAAAAAAGAGTTAAAGAAAGAGGAGAGAAACACGAAGGGCTGCTTAACAGTTAACAGGTTTATTCTGAACCTGGGAGGGACTTCTGACTGAGTTAGGTCAGAAGCCACACTCTGTTACAGACTAAGAGTTTTCAAGGATTCAGGGCGGGTGAGTTTATCAGAAGCCTGTACTGCTTCTGTGTCTCTTTGTTGTGCTTATGTGGGAGGGAGAGGTGGTGTGTGTCTGTTCTCATACCTCTTTCTGCAGCCGCAGGCATACCCCTGAGTCTGCTTTTAGCTGCCCTATCTTAGTGCACCTGAACGGAAAGGAATGTGCTTATTAAGGCCCACTGTTTTACTGGGGCCCAGTGTATGAGAGTGAAGTTTGGCAGTTACCCAAGAGACTTTTCCCTTACCTCCCTCTGTGCCCCAGGAGTCTTATCTGTGTTTTACTGTCTGCTGTTTCTGGCTGCTTGTAGTTGGAAGTGATTTCCTTGAATGCGTGAAGCTATAAAGGGAGGTGGAACTTGAAGTGGCGGGGTTTGTCCGAGATGACGGTGCTCCTGCTCTGTCAAAGATGTGAAAAAAGGTGAAAATATTTGCAAAAAATTAAGATCACGGTTATTTCTAGAAAGATTGATCACATACATTCGCACACGCAGTCAGCTTGAAATATTTATTTATTTATTTTTGAGACAAAGTCTAGCTTTGTCGCCCAGGCTGGAGTGCAGTGGCACAATCTTGGCTCACTGCAACCTCCGCCTCCCAGATTCAAGCGATTCTCCTGCCTCAGTCTCCCCAGTAGCTGGGACTACAGGCGCACACCACCACACCAGCTAAAAGATGGGGTTTCACCATGTTGGTCAGGCTGGTTTCAAACTCCTGACCTCAAGTGATACACCTGCCTCGGCCTCCCAAAGTGCTGGGATTACAGGCGTGAACCACCGAGCCCAGCCTGAAATTTAATGTCATAGGAAATCGAAGAGTTGATTAAAATTATTAGCTACCAGGCAATAATATGAAAATCAGTGTATTGTCATAAAGATATCTAAGCTATTACTTTTTGAAGTTGTATAAAAAGGTGAAGTTAAAATGTTTTTAAGAAGTCAATGTGTCTGTTTTACATAGGGTTGCCATTTCTGTTTTTAAACTTTAGTTGGGTTTTAAATTCCTGAATTTTCACATGGCTCATGTGGGGGACATTGGGATAGAATGGTGTTTGGGGTATATGCATAAAAAAAGGGAGTCTGTCTTAAATTAAAGGCATATATCCCCCAAAAGAATGGAATCTGTTAGTAGTAGGATAAAGTAATTTTTTGCAAAATGATAACCAGAGAAGATGTTTCATTGTTTGATCATGAATGGAATTGTCTGTGAATGCCATCATGGATTGAGGAAAATTATAGAGTATGATATAAGATATTTACCCGAAAACGTCCAACAAAATGCCGGCCACATTTGGTAGATGTTATCGAGTCTCTCTTTCCCTCTCTTGCTGGTGAGTCTTCTCAGGCCTGCAGAGGGATTGTGGAATACGACAAGATGTTCGTACTAGCCTTGATTGCCATCTTCAACAAACAAATGAGATAGAATGGCATATGATTCCAAAGAAATAATTCTTCATTTACTAAACCTGACTGGGAAATGAGGAGGGAGACAAAAAGGAGGAAGTAAGGTGGCAGGGTTGGGCTAATAGGAAGATTAGCAAATTTCTCCGATCCTGAAAATGAGAGTTTAAAAAGTGGATGGGTTTACTCTATCAGGAATCATCAAGAAAGAAGGAATGCTTAGGAAATAGAGGTTACACTTTTGGAATTTTTTTTTTTTTGAGATGGAGTCTCGCTCCGTCACCCAGGCTAGAGTGCAGTGGCGCCATCTCGGCTCACTACAAGCTCCGCCTCCAGGGTTCAAGTGATTCTCCTGCCTCAGCCTCCCGAGTAGCTGGGACTACAGGCACCCACCACCACACCCAGCTAATTTTTTGTATTTTTAGTAGAGACGGGTTTCACCGTGTTAGCAGGATGGTCTCGATCTCCTGACCTCGTAATCCGCCCGCCTTGGCCTCCCAAAGTGCTGGGATTATAGGCGTGAGCCATCACGCCCGGTCACGCTTTTGGATTTTTAAAGCATCCTTGAAGCTCCTAATATGAAGGGTGCTGTGCTTCAGGGAATAAGCAGGCAAATTGTGTTGCATTTTTTAGGGTATGTCCTTCCCTGGAACAAGACAGAATATGTAGAAAGTAGCCATTCTAGATTCAGATCTCAAAAAGTGGGCACGTCTTTGTTATCCGTTGAAATACCTATCTAGAAAGAGAAGAACAAAAGCAAGTCTGAGATCTGCAGATTACTGCTAGGATATGGGAAGAATTTCTGATAATGGAAGTCTGGTAGACATGGGTTGAGGACATAATCTTTCAGTTTACCTTTTTCTGAAACAGAGCAGTCCTCCTGGCTTGGGAATAATGTGTGTCCAAATGTTAGGAAGTCCTAAGTATAAGACAACCCTCCTAGCCCCACATTTTCCCAATGAAAGATTTGAATTATCTAGAAAAAACTTCAAAAACAAAATGATTAGGATTGCCATGCTAGATATTATGACGTGTCATAAAACCACAAGTTTCAAACACTCTGGGCTATAGAATAGTGAAACAAGATAGTCTTCAGACAGCCTTTACTTTTAAACTAATACTTTCAGGACTTGAGGCCTCTCCGAATTAAACTAAGGACGCTCCCTGCCAACCCCCATATCCCAAGAGAAAACAGAAAGAAAAAGTTTTCTAAGAGGAGATAATCTTACTTATTTCTGTGAATAGGAGGAATCAAAATACCAGTTGTCTCTGGTGTCTTAGTTTCTTTCAGAAAAATAAGGCTGTAGGTTAACTAATAGAACACAGAGGCCATGTATTTTGGAAGTTTCCTTTAATGTTGATAATGCTAATTTTATACAGCAAGTCAGCTCATACAGCAAGTCAACAAGTTCAGCTATTTGCTGAGCCTCTTGCAGCCATGTCATCTTTGAGCACACTGTAAGAATTAAAGAAAGAAGAGAGAAACAAGAAGGGCAGCTTGACAGTCAATAGGTTTATTTTAAACCTGGGAGGGGCTTTTGACCTTACACACACACTAGGAAGTAATAATGTTCTCTGGGTGGTTGGGTGGCCTATTTATTTTTTATTTTTTTAATTAGAATTTCTTTTTCTAAGTAACTGCAATACCACCTGTACTCTGGTATCTTTTCAGGGGAATCTAGACTTTGTCAATTGTCTGTATTATATTCAGGCTAGTGGCTTTTTCAGGGTACTAAACCTTTCCCTAAAAGGGTTTCAGTCTTCCCTCCAGCTCCAAAGCATGTAACTGTGTATTAGTCTGTTCTCGCATTGCCATAAGGAATTAACTGAGACTGGGTAATTTGTGAAGAAAAGAGGTTTAATTGGCTCACAGTTCTGCGGGCTGTACAGGAAGCACGGCAGGGGAGGCCTCAGGAAACTTAAAATCATGGCAGAAGGCAAAGGGGAAAGCAGGCACATCTTCACACAGCAGGAGGAAGAGAATGAAGGGGGAAGGGAAATGTTACACACTTTTAAACAACCAGATTTCGTGAGAACTTACTCATTATCACGAGAACAGCAAGGGGGACGTCCCCATCACCCAGCCATCTCCCACCAGGCCCCTCCTCCAACATTGAGGATTATGAATTCAACATGAGATTTGGGTGGGGACAGAGCCAGATTATATCAGACTCTTTCTGACAGTTCTGCCCCTTAGAGGAGTTTTCACAGTGAGTGGTCCACCAGGACTTTTGGGAGAGCCAGGTATTTGTTGTGGATGCTGTGTAGAAGCAAACACCTTAGGCAAATGAGAAAGCTTTTGCTCTCTGAGTAGCTGTATGCTTTTGTCAAAACAGAGGTTAATAAAAGTGACAAGAATGTGTAACACACTTCATGTTAATAGGCCTGGTGGTGATGAGACAAGAAAAAAGCCATTTCTTGATAGGAAGGTACTGATATATTTTAATATGTGTCAGTTCTCTTTTGCTGCAACCACCCACCTCAAACTAACTAACAATAATTTATTTAGCTCATAATTCTTCAAATCAGCCTGGAAGTCTTTTGGTCTTGGGTGACTTTGCTGGTTGATGATGGGCTGGGCTGGGGCCCAGGGGCCTCTACTCACATGGCCTCTCATCCCCCAGCAGCTATGCTGCACTTTATCACAGGGTGGCAGGGTTTCAAAGAGCAGCGAGGGGGGCAAGCCCCATTGCACGAGCATCTTTCAAGCCTTTGCTTGTATCACATTTGCTCACTTCCCATGGACCAAAGCTAGTCACACGGTGGAGCTTCAAGTCAATGAGAAGGCACTCAGATCTACAGGGCAGGGGCACTTGGGTACTGGGACAGGAGGAGTCGATGGCCACATTTACAGTCTACATACAGCACAACAGACCACACTTGTCAAGGAGTATAACCTTGAACCTACTGGGGCTCAGTATTCTTCAGAAACTCAGTTGATGATTATAATTATGTGAATAGCCCAGATGATATGCAATCCATTTTCTCCTTAAGCCCAGAGGTCTCAAGCCCTGCGTTGATAAGAAGTAGGTTTTGCTTTTCCTACAGCCTGTTTATCACTTTTTTTTGGAGCCAACGCTGAAAAACCAAGAGGTTTTACATAAAATCTGGACTTTTGACTTTGAAAAGATGATCTGGCAAAAGTTGTCAAGAGCCAAGGAGTACTTATCTTTTCCAGGAAGCCCTGTGGTTTTCAGTTTCCCACACTCCTCCCGTCTTGCTGTTTCTTCAGCCCTGAGGCTGAGTGTCATCTGCCACTTGTCAGAGGTATTGCACGGTTGATTTTCTTATAGCAGAGAAATTCCTGTCACCATTCCTAAAAAAGTGAAATAATGAAAGGTAAACTGAGAGGCCACATAGTCCCAGAAAAATGGAAGAAATCATATCACTTTGAGTAAGGAGAGAATATTCTTGTGTGTTTCATATGCAGTCTGCATTTTGGTACACAAAGAACTTTTGAGAGAGGAGAGAATATTCTTTTTTTTTTTTTTTTTTTTTTTTGGAGATGGAGGAGTTTCGCTCTTGTTGCCCAGGCTGGAGTACACTGGTGCGATCTCGGCTCACCACAACCTCCACTTCCCGGGTTCAAGTGATTCTCCTGCCTCAGCCTCCCAGGTAGCTGGGATTACAGGCATTTGCCACCACACCCGGCTAATTTTGTATTTTTAGTAGAGACAGGGTTTCTCCATGTTGGTCAGGCTGGTCTCAAACTCCTGACCTCAGGTGATCCGCCCACCTTGGCCTCCCAAAGTGCTGGGATTACAGGTGTGAGCCACTGTGCCTGGCTGGAGAGAATATTCATGTATGTTTCATATGCAATCCGCATTTTGATACACAAAGAATTCTTTTCCCTCTTAAAAGTGGCTTACTTGACTCACATTATTTCCTTGGTCCCTGTAGACATGTGAGTTTAGAACTTTGTTCCAGAACACTGTACCATCTGTGCATTCAGCTTTGCAGTCCTAGAGAGGTGCATCATAGCTGATGTTATTGCTGCGATGGAAGACTCCATAGAGTCATTTCTTATATATAGCTCCACGCTGTAATGCTGACGACACCTTGTAAAAGCAGATCTCTGTATGGCATCGTGTTGTAAGGCAAGGAAGTTGTTGAGGAGGATGTTTCCCAACACTGAATAGCTTCTTCCCTCTGAGGAACCTCAGAGAACTGGTTTGTTCTTATCTTGTGGACATTTGAATCCTGTAACAGCATCTCCCACTTCATGAGTGTGCCAGAGTTCAGAGTCAAATTTGTAGTCATTTGTAGACTCACAAACTCTTATTTTCATATTTAGTCCACGTTAACTGTTATGTATCATAATCATCTATTTTACATTATTTTAAAATTTACATTTAGAATCTCATAGCTCTTTTTTGGTGAGTACTGTAAATCTAAAGCTTTTTGGCTGCTAGCAGGTTTATCATAAGAAGACAGAGCTGTGTTCAGCATTTCACTATGACATGATTAACTTCTCAGACTCACCTCCTGCTCCCAAATTTCATCCCTGTGTACGTTTACTTTCGAACACCTTTTCATTGAAACTATGTAGGAACTTTATTCTCTTTCCTCTGCTACTTCTGTATTTCTGTTTTGTTTGCTTTGTGTTTTGTTTTCTTTAGTTTTTGCTGAGACATTCACCCCATCTTTTAGAGAACCTCTATAAACTGGATGTCTCTTTACGTATTAGGTGCATAGTATATGTTTGAAGAGATGAGTGAAGTTTAATAAACATGCAGTTTTCTTGTATGTGTTAGCTCAGAATGGTTCCAGAAAACAGCTACAATGAAATGAAGATTGAATATTGCCTGATTCTTTTAATAGAAGTTTCTTGCAATAGAAGTAAATACTGCCGCCTGAGTCTTTCAATAGAAGTTTCAGTAGAAGTAAATACGGCCTGATACTTTCAATAGAAGTTCCCCGACCCCCAGCCTATCTTGTTTGCACTAAACATATGAAGTTTAAAATCTAATTTTCTCTCCTGTCTTTGAGTTCATGGAATATTTTTCTGAAACATGCATGTCTGGATGGGCTAAAGAGAGAGAGAGAAAGTGCAGAGAGGTGGCAAAAAGCTTGGGCTGTGGGCTAGGTTTGAATCTTGACTGGATCTCCTGGTGTCTTTCTGATGTTGGAGGATAACTTTTCAGTGCCCGCTTTCCTCATTTGTAAAATGATAATAATAATAATGACTGCCTTATGGTGGCATTGCGAGTATGTGAGATAAGACATGAAACATGGAAGTTTCACCTTTGGCAAGGCAGGCTAAGTAATGTTGGTCAAAATATACTTTAAGGCAAAACCTGTTACTTGAGATAAGATTGACTTTTTTTTTTTTTTTCTTCAGAGACAGGGTCCCATTATATTGGCCAGGCTGGTCTTGAACTCCTGTGCTCAAGTGATCCTCCCACCCTGGCCTCCAAAAGTGCTGGGATTACAGGTGGGAGCCACCATGCCTGGCCAAGATGGACTTTTTTTTTTTTTTTTTTTTAAGATAGAGTCTCATTCTGTCTCCTATGCTGGAGTGCAGTGGTGCGATCTGGGCTCACTACAACCTGCACCTCCCAGGTTCAAGCAGTTCTCATGCCTCAGCCTCCCGAGTATCTGGGATTACAGGCATGCACCGCCATGCCCAGCTAATTTTTGTATTTATAGTAGAGACAGGGTTTCACCATGTTGGCCAGGCTGGTCTCAAATGCCTGACTTCAAGTGATTTGCCTGCCTTGGCCTCCCAGAGTGCTGGGATTACAAGAATGAGCTACTGCGCCCAGACAAGATGGACATTTCTTAATAATAAAACGTTAAGCCCACCAGAAACATAAAATCATATAACAACTCAAAATTTTTAACACTGAATAATATAGTCTCAAGATTGACAGACTACAAAGGGCGAGGAACAGTAGTAGATTTTTAACTGATTTCTCTCAAACTGATAAAATTAGTAGGAGTATTAAAGATTTGAACAATGGAATTAACAAATTTAACCTATATCACAGAAATAGAGCATTCCAACCAGTAACTTTGGAATACAGATTTTTTCTTTTTTTTTTTTTTTTGAGACAGGGTCTCACCCTGTCACCCAGCCTGGAGTGCAGTGGTGCAATCTTGGCTCACTGCAGCCGCTGCCTTTTGAGTTCAAGTGATTCTCCCACCTCACCATCCCCAGTAGCTGGGAATACCGGTGCGCGCCACCACACCGGCTAATTTTTTTATTTTCTGAGAGAAACGGGGTTTCACCATGTTGGCCAGGCTGGTCTCGAACTCCTGACCTCAGCTGCTTTGCCCGCCTTGGCCTCCCAAAGTGCTGGGATTACAGACATGAGCCACCGTGTCTGGTCTGAATACAGGTTCTTTTCAAGAGCACAGAACTTGTTCACAGAAAAATTACCAAATGGCCATTTGCTGAACATTATAGACATTTCAAAACAGGGTCGAAATTGTATAGAGCATGATATCTGAACACAATAGAATTAAACTAGAAACCAATACCAAGAGATAATTAGAATATTCTGGAATTTAAGCAACACACTTCTTATTTACTTGTGGGTCAAAAAGAAGTTACAGTGAAAATAGAAAATATACTGATGAGGCCGGGTGCGGTGGCTCACGCCTGTAATCCCAGCACTTTGGGAGGCCGAGGCGGGCGGATCACGAGGTCAGGAGATCGAGACCATCCTGGCTAACACGGTGAAACCCTGTCTCTACTAAAAATACAAAAAAATTAGCCGGGCGCAGTGGCGGGCACCTGTAGTCCCAGCTACTCGGGAGGCTGAGGCAGGAGAATGGTGTGAACCCGGGAGGCAGAGCTTGCAGTGAGCCGAGATAGTGCCACTGTACTCCGGCCTCAGCAAAAGAGCGAGACTCCGTCTCAAAAAAAAAAAAAAAAAAAAAAGAAAGAAAATATATTGATGAATGATGATAGATAAGAAAACAAAATATGTGGGTTGGATGTCAGCAGAAATAGCAGAGCACAGACCTTAAAAATCTTGTTTCTCTGTGAAAACAATGAGAATACTGGCAAAAATGATCACAAGCGACTGTTTTTTACCTGTGGAAATTAACCAAAGGCATGCAACAATGTGAGGAGCATATATTCACGAAAAAATGGTTGCATCTCAGTAAGAAAAAAGAGCTTTGTGATGTTAACTTGTTCTATTCCATTCTCACTTTCCCTAGCCTTGAAAACCAGTAGCTCGGCTGGGAGCAGTGGCTCACGCCTGTAATCCCAGCACTTTGGGAGGCTGAGGCGGGCGGATCATTTGAGGTCAGGAGTTCAAGACCAGCTTGACCTACATAGTGAAACCCTGTCTCAACTGAAATACAAAAATTAGCCGGGTGTGGTGGCGGGCACCTGTAATCCCAGCTACTCGAGAGGCTGAGGCAAGAGAATCGCTTGAACCCAGGAGGCGGAGGTTGCAGTGAACTGAAATCGCACCATTGCACCCCTGCCTGGGGGATAGAGCAAGACTCCCTTTCAAAAGAAAATAAAAAAGAAAACCAGTAGCTCACAACCACAGTGAAAACCAGCAGCCCAGCCGCTGTGGGAGGGGGCAAAACAGAGTGGGAACTCCTTCAAAGTCTCATTCCTGGGAAATTGTCATTATATATGACTTGTATGGCAAACCTGGAAACTTTCTCTCACAGGGGTTGTCTTTATTTGAAGTGACTCAAGTTTGTCTGGTGCAAAAAGCCTTTGGATGTTTCTCCTAAACAATTATAGACGATTGTTTAGCTTCACAAAGCCGCCTCATGTGGCATTAACAGCTAGGGCAGACAAGAAGCTCACCAATAAATGGAAAAGGAAAAGCTGGGCCATGAGATGTCATAGGGGACTTTGAAAAGCTCCATCGTATTCCTGGGAATCTCCAACCCCACTCACACGATCAGGGCTGTGGGCATGCCAGAGAAGACTTGAGAAGGCCCTGTGCTTTTGGTTCTTACTGAGTAAGCAGGCAGCGAAAACCAAGGCAGAGTTGCAAACTGCCTGCCTGGGTGATGAAGGCATCCCCTAACAAAAACACAGAGCCCCTCGACAAAGGCTGGGAGGCTTACCAGTTGGAAGCATTTAAGGATATCTCTGTCCATTAATGAGCTGACCACTAAGCTAACCAAACAGAGACTTCAGTGGCCAAACACAACAATGAATATCGAATTTACCAAATTATTTCAGCAAAAATAAGCACAACAAACAGCAAAAAAGAAAACCAAGAAACGAACAAAACAATATTCCCAAAACCAAAGTAACCAACCAAACCAAACAAACCTGGGTTGAGAGGTATCTGATTTCCAGAGTTGCCACTAATGATATTTAAAATAATAGCCAGGCGTGGTGGCTCATGTCTGTCATTGCTTGAACTTCGGGAGGCTGGGACGGGAGGATTGTTTGAGGCCAGGAGTTTGAGACTGGCCTGGGCAACATAGTGAGACCCTGTCTCTACAAAAAATTAAAACATTAGCCAAGTGTTTTGGTGCATGCCTGTAGTCCCAGCTACTGAGGATGCTGAGTTGGGAGGGTTGCTTGAGCTCAGGAGTTCAAGATTGCAGTGAGCCATGATCATGCCACTGCACTCCAGCCTGGGGGACAGAGTGAGACCTTGTCGCAAAAAATAAATAAAAAGAAAATGTCTAGTGTTTAAAGAAACCGACAAGATATACAAAGAAACAAGAATGTGGCCTATACACATGAAAGGAAACAGAATAGAATCCATCTACAAGGAAGCCTAGATGTTGGACTTACTAGACAAAGATTTGACATTGGCTATTTTAAATGTGTTCAAAGAACTACAGGAAAGCATTTTCTTATCCTTTTTTTTTTTCCGAGACGGAATCTTGCTCTGTCACCCAGGCTAGAGTGCAGTGGCACAATCTCAGCTCACTGCAACCTCCGCCTCCCGGGTTCAAGCAATTCTCCTGCCTCAGCCTCCTGAGCAGCAAGGGATTAAGGCATGTGGCACTCCTGGCTAATTTTTGTATTTTTAGAAGAGACAGGGTTTCACCTTGTTGGCCAGGATGGTCTTGAACTCCTGACCTCAAGTGATCTGCCCCTCTCGCCCTCCCAAAGTGGTGGGATTACAGGCGTGAGCCAACACACCTGGCCAGAAAAGCATTTTCAAAGAAACAAAAGTATGAAAATGATGACTCATCAAATAGACTATCACTAAAGTCTCTCAGAGACCCATGGGGCACCTTCAGGCATGCCAACATATTTATAAAGGGAATTCCAGAAGGACAGGAGAGAGAGAAATGAGAAGAAAGAATATTTGAACAAATAATGATCAAGAACTTCACAAACTAGAATTTGGGAAATTCACAAATATGTGGAAATTAAACAACACACTTGTTAAATAACCAGAATATCAAAGAGAAATCACAAAGTACATTCTTTCTCTGTAGTTGTTAGAAAATCAAAGAAAGATCCCGGCGTGGTGGCTCACACCCATAATCCCAGCACTTTGGGAGGCTGAGCCAGGTGGGTCACCTGCAGTCAGTTCAAGAACAGCCTGGCCAACGTGGCGAAACGCTGTCTTTACTAAAAATTCAAAAAAATTGGCTGGGCATGGTGGTGGGTGCCTATAATCCCAGCTACTCCGGAGGCTGAGGCAGGAGAATCGCTTGAACCTGGGAGGCAGAGGTTGCAGTGGGCCAAGATTGTGCCATTGCACTCCAGCCTGGGTGACAGAGCGAGACTCTGTCTGACAAAAAAAAAAAAAAAAAAAAAAAGAAAGTGCAAAAGCTCTTTATGTATTGATATGGAATGATTTCTACAAGTTCACAATCTTTTACCCCTTGTGCCCAAAAGTGTTTCAGAATTTTAGAAAGACAATACAGTTTATCCACTGTATTTTATGGTATATCTCCAGCACCCTAGAGCCACACACATGTAATTAGTTCTACAATAAAGTATGCTTAGTCACAGAAATGGAAAAATTAGGCCAGGCACAGTGGCTCATGCCTGTAATCCCAGTACTTTCGGAGGCCGAGGCAGGCAGATCACCTGAGGCCAGGAATTTAAGACCAGCCTGGCCAACATGGCAAAACCCCATCTCCACTAAAAATACAAAAATTAGGCAGGTGTGGTGGTGCGTGCCTGTAGAACCAGCTACTTGGGAGGCTGAGGTAGGAGAGTTGCTTGAACCCGGGAGGTGGAGGTTGTGGTGAGCCAAGATCATGCCCCTGCACTCCAGCCTGGGTGACAGAGCAAGACTCTTGTCTTTAAAAAAAAAAAAAAGAAAACAAAAGAAAAATTAAGAATACAAACAGCTTTGTAAGTCAGATTCTACTTCGAGGTAAGTATGTCTCCCAACTTAGAAAAGCAACCTTTTTGTTATTAGAGCTTTTTGGATTTTTAAATTGTGGTTAAGAGGTTGTTGGATTGGTGATAAGTGGGAGGCACAGGGGAGCCAGATGCAGAACGGTGCGCTGTGCTGGCTTTTTAATCCATCCATCACACTGGAGCCACGTGACTTTCATCAGCACTGATCTGACTGTGTCACTGGCTACATAAAACTTCAGTAAGCCAAACCTAACCCTGGCAGGACATGAGACCTGGCTGCAGGCATCCCCGAATTCCATTTGCCATGTTAGAACCATGGGGGATAGTTTGTGATTCCTTTATCCTGCTGCATCTCACAGCTGCAGGCCTTTGCATTTCTTCTTTGGACATCCGTGGAAATGATCTCATTCTCTTCCTGATGAACTCTGTGTCCTTCAGAGATCAGCTTTGACTTTGACCTTGTTACGTCTTTTGTATGATTTTGCCAAGCAAAATCAACTCACTCCTCCATTTATACCCATTACATTTTCCCCACCTTAGTCATGGCGCTGCGTGGTGGGACTCTCATCCATCTTCTGTTCCCTCCAGAATGTAAATATTAAGGGCTGAGCCTCTTGGCCTCAGTGTGCAGTTCATAGTAATCCCTGAATAAATGTTGAATGAAGTGCATAAGCCCCTGAAAAGAATTAAGTTCAGAATTTCTTCCTGAGGACTTGTTGTTTTGGCTTCTCTTAGGACTTTGCAGTCAGAATCTGCATTTCACAGATCATCCGTATTCTCTTGGATTTTTCATTTATGGAATACCGTTTGTTACATGTAACCGCTGTGACTTGAACACTGAGCCACACTGTGGATTTTGCCATCATGGTGCAGAGTTAGGAGAAAGGCTCTGGAGTCATCTCTGGACTTGAATCTCCTTGACGCTTACTGTTTTTCTTTTCTTTCTTTCTTTCTTTTTCTTTTTCTTTCTTTTTTTTTTTGATGTGGAGTCTTGCTCTGTTGCCCAGGCTGGAGTACAGTGGCGCAATCTTGGCTCATGCAGCCTCCGCCTCCTGGGTTTAAGTGATTTTTGTGCCTCAGCCTCCTGAGTAGCTGGGATTACAGGCGTGCGCCACCATGCCTGGCTAATTTTTGTATTTTTTAGTAGAGATGGGGTTTCACCATGTTGGCCAGGCTGGTCTCAAACTCCTGTCCTCAGGTGATCCTCCTGTCTCAGCCTCCCAAAGTGTTGGGATTACAGGCATGAGCCACTGTGCCCGGCATGATGCTTATTCTTTATAGATCCTTGCACACGTTACTTAACCTTTTGAACCTCAGCTTCATCGTCTCTAAAATGGGCATAAGTAGCAACTGCGTGGTCGTTTTATTGTGAGGATTCAGTGAACTGATCAAGAAGGGTAAAGCACACAGCAGAGTGTGCCAGCTCGCTGAGTGGTAAATAATTCTCTCCTTCTCTTTCACCCTCCTCCCCTCTTCCTCCTGAGCTATTTGGCTTGATCTGACAGCCTCAGATTGTCTTAGAGATTTAGGTTTTAATATCATTGCTTGTTTGGGTCACTCTGCTTATTTTTTTTATCCCAAGGAGGAGCTTCAAAGTCACTGTTTACTTGAATTTCTTACAAACATAAATCTCTCTCCTTTTTTTTCCTGCAGATATGTCAGGCCTCATTCTACCTTCTGAGCCTTGGAAGGTAGAAAGAGGCCTGATAATCTCTACAGAAAGGCAACATGGGAGAGGGATTTTTATGTTCATCAGCACATTTTTATATATGATAATTCTTCACTCAGAGATTTAAAATTAAGATGAAGGGTCCTTACAGTACTCAGATCAAGAATCCTGGGGCATTTGTACAGAGGATTGGGCTTAAGGTTGTCTATCTTAAATATTGTCTGTTTTTGGGAGAGCAGAGGATATCCTTTTTAATTACTCCCAGCAGTGCTGTTGAGATTCTCAGATACAGGAATTATTATGATGATTTTGATGATGTAAGACTCTTTTGCTTTTTGGGAACATTTGTTATCTCTGTATAGAATAGAGACAGATAACTGACTCTACTGGGAGCCTCATTATCTCTTCTGGGTGAATAGAGACCAGTGTGAGGCAGAAATAAGATCCCTAAAGCTCAGAAAATATCTCCAAAAGTCTCTTTGCTAATTTTGAGCCCCTTAGAAATGAGCTCTGTAATTCCTGGGGACCTTTTCCTCTTCTCCATTCTTCCTCTGCTCCTTGACAAGAGATCTGTAGACTTCCTTGAGTGCAGCATCTCAGACATCTGGTATTGACTAGAATTCCTTATTGGACTTCCTTGAGTGTAGCATCTCAGACATCTAGTATTGGCTAGAATTCCTTATTGGTAGTGTCAGTGTCCAGGGCTTCCTATTTTGTAAATGATAGAGGTTTGTAAAAGGAGTATGGCCTTTGGAATGTGCTGTTCATAATCTTAAGTAGTTATGGAAGCATACTGAAAAGGTCAGGGCAGTTCTCATTTTGCATCAGGAAGCTTTTGACAAAGTCCTGTTAGTTATCAGATGATGATAGCCAGCAGTAACCATTAAGACAGTCCTTTTTTTTTTTTTTTTTTTAAATAGAAGTCCAGTTAAGGAAGCATAGCTTGTCTTTTATTAAAGAGGCACTCAGCAAAGGGGTGATGAGACAGAATGCTGTTATTACTGATGCTTTTGTTTTACATTTTCAGTAATTAACGTGCTTTGCTCAGTAGTGGCACATTACCTGAACTTTGAAGGATCCCCTTAGTATATCGGTATTGCAGAGGCATTAAAGCAATGAGAGCCTGCCAGGATCTTAATCACCTCTGTCCTACATTTGGTCAGAGCCTCTCCACTTTCAACAGAAGTGAACAGAAGTCTAGACACTTGTGATTTTTCTATATATCACTAAGCCACATCATTGCAAGCATCTGTTTGGCCTATATTCCCTTAAAAATTCTGTCTGCTGAAATCAACAATATCTCCTAAAAAGTAGCTTTAATATCTGCCTGTGTGGCTGGATAAAAAGAAAAACAGGATTCTTGCTCTTCAAGATCTTACACTCAAAGATTGATAAGGCTGCTACTGATACATATATAAAGCACATAAACCATTATAAAGTGGTGAATTGTATGGCATGTGAGTGATATTTTCATTTTTTAAAAATGCATGGACTTTGAAACAAAAAATGCACAAAACTTCTAGGTGGAAATGTGGAATAAATTGTGGAATCCTTATAGAAAAAGAATATTGGGAGAATTTGATCAGAAGATGATTAAGGGGGAATTTGTTTTTTCTAGTTCTAAATTTACTGAAGAGATTGAATTATGAGACCTATTTGAAGAGAGAAGGGGAGAGGCTTTAGAAAAAGTACAGTCTAAGCCAGGCACAGTGGCTCACGCCTGTAATCCCAGCACTTTGGGAGGCCAAGGTGTGTGGATCACCTGAGGTCAGGAGTTCAAGACCAGCCTGGCCAACATAGTGAAACCCCTTCTCTACTAAAAATACAAAAATTAGCCGGATGTGGCACGGTACACTTGTAATCCCAGCTACTTAGGAGACTGAGGCAGGAGAATCACTTGAACCCGGAGGCAGAGGTTGCAGTGAGCTGAGATTGCACCACTGTACTCTAGCCTGGGTGGCAGAGGGAGAATCCATCTCAAAAAAAAAAAAAGAAAAGAAAAGAAAAGAAAAAAAGTATAGTCTAGGTTTAATGTAGAACTTGCAAGAAATCTAGTAGGGTCGGGTGCAGTGGCTCACGCCTCTAATTCTAACAGTTTGGGAGGCTGAGGTGGGTGGATCGCTTGAGCCCAGGAGTTCCAGACCAGCCTAGGTAATGTAGTGGGACCCCTGTCTCTACAAAAAAATTTTAAAAATTAGCCGGGTATGGTGGCACATGCATGTGGTCCCAGCTACTTGAGACACTGAGATAAGAGGGTCACTTGAGCCTGGGAGGTTGAGACTGCAGTGAGCTGTGATTGTGCCACTGCACTCCAGCCTGGATGAGAATGAGATCCTGTCTGGGGATTGGGCCGGGGGAAAAGACCTACTAGAAGAAGGACCTACTAGAAATCTAGTAGGTAGGAATGAAATTATGAAATGAGGCAGTGAATTTGAGAGAAGCGGAGAATGAGTGGTATTCATGGAAACTGATTGTAAAGGCAAGGAAAATAAGAATGCATTTTTTTCTTCTGGGCTGTGGTCCTGTGTAAGTATGAGGTTTCTACTGTTTTAGGTCTGCACTACTTAAAGTTCCCCAAATGGGTCATTGTTTGCCCACCCAAGGCTTGACATGAAACCCAGTCCCACTTATGGAAGCATAGGTGTGACTCTGCGTCCTTTGAGTAAGGCCTGAGCTTTTGGGATTGTTTCTTGTTCCTTAGAAGACTTCCGTCAGTGATTGATGGAGGGAGGTGGCCCAGCAGCACAGACCCCATGTGGTTGGCAGAGTGTGTGGGTGGGGAAGTTAGATCAGAGAGCCCCTCTAATTGTGCTGGGCTGATGCTGTCAGACTTGAAGTTAGATCACATTTTGTTTATTTTCCATTCAAACTTAGTATTTGAAGAAGGACCAATTTTAAGTAATTCAATATTTTCAATGTATTAGGGATGGTTTCCAGTCATTTAAAAAATAACCAGAGGCCGTCCCATTTTGTCACATGATTAAAATCATTAGTTCAGTCTTTTGGGGGAAGTGGAAGTCTCTAGACCCAGTGAAGTGTTTAATCCCCATGTCTATTACAGATTGCAGGTTTTATATCATGGAAAGCCTGATAGAGGAATAATTTTTCTTTCTTCTTTTAAAAAAAATATTACTAAGGAACCTCGAGCCGGTTACTCAGCTGTATGTCAGTGTGGATGCCAGTACCAAAGACAGCCTGAAGAAAATCGACCGCCCACTCTTCAAGGATTTCTGGCAGAGATTCCTTGACAGTTTAAAAGCCTTGGCAGTCAAGGTAAGAATTATGACATCTTAAAAATAAATAAACAACCCTCAGGTGTGTACTGAAGTTAAGAAGAAAGAAAGATGGAAGAAAAGAACAGAGGTACTTTTTCCTCTTTTCTCTTTAAAATAAAAAAAGATGAAATATAACTTTCAACTTTTTAGAGACTTCCTTCTTCAAGGAATTTTGAACATTTACTATTTGTTAAATAATTATTGAGTTCCTCTTAAGTTTGTAGCACAATGCTTTGTATGTATCATTTGCCTTTTATTCATTTAAGGAGAGAGGTATATATACTCCCAAAGTTAATAACAGTTGGTCCTAGAACCAATTCCCCATAGATACCCAACCCGGAATCTATGGAAGATTGGTCGTAGGACTCCCCATGGGTACCAAAATCCACAGATGCTCAAGTTTATATAAAATCGCATAGGCCAAGCATGGTGGTTCATGCCTGCCTGCAAACCCAGTACTTTGGGAGGGCGAGGCAGGTGGATCACTTGAGGTCAGGAGTTCAAGACCAGCCTGGCCAACATGGTCAGACCTCATCTCTACTAGAAATACCAAAAAATTAGCCAGTTGTGATGACATGCACCTGTTATCCCAGCTATTTGGGAGGCTGAGGCAGGAGAATCACTTGAACCTGGGAGGTGGAGGCTGCAGTGAGCCAAGATCATGCCACTGCACTGCAGCCTGGGTGACAGAGTGAGACTCTGTCTCAAAAAATAAATAAATAAATAATAAAAATAAAATGGCATAGTATTTGCACATAATCTACACTTATCTTCCTGTATACTTTAAATCATCTCTACATTACTTATAATATGTAGTACAATGTAAATGCCATGTAAGTGGTTGTTATACTGCATTTTAAATATTTGTGTGACTTTTAATTGTTTTATTTTTTCCAAATATTTTTCATCCATGGTTGGTTGAATGTGTGGAAATGGAGCCCACAGATATGGAGGACCGACTACACGTAACCACCTTAAAAGAGGCGTCTGCAGGCCAGGTGTGGTAGCTCACACCTGTAATCCCAGCACTTTGAGAGGCCAAGGTGGGCAGATCACTTGAGGTCAGGAGTTCAAGACCAGCCTGGCAACATGGCAAAACCCCGTCTCTACCAAAAAACAAAATACAAAAATTACCTGTGGTCCCAGCTACTCAGGAGGCTAAGGTGGGAGAATCACTTGAGCCTGGGAGGCAGAGGTTGTAGTGAGCCGAGATTGCGCCACTGCACTCCAGCGTGGGTGACAGTGAGACCCCTATCTGAAAAAAAAAAAAAAAAAAAAAAAAAAAAAGGGTCTGCAAATAGTATACATTTAAATATGAAGTTAATTTTCCTGAATTTCTAGAACCACATTTCCTAAGCCATCAATAGCCTCAGAATGTTCACACTGAATGTCATTTTCTGCAAACATTTGGCCTTTCTTGTGTGTTTTCATATGGCATACTTACCTTCCTTTTCTTTTTCACCTAAAGTAACCATCTGGTTCTGCTTTTCCATTAATCCTCCTTCCTTCCTTCCTTCCTTGCTTCCTTTCTGTCACTTTTCTAAGCGTTCTTTATGCCTTCTTGACATTTGACTGATAATGACAATCACCCCAGGAGCTTAAAAAAATGACAGTTTCCTGGTCCTCATGGCATCTGAGATCTGCTTGTTAGACATCCCAGGCGTCATTTGGTATGCAGCCAGATATGGGAGTCACTGTCCCAGAAAACTTGCCTTTCTCTCCTGTGCCCAGCGCTTACTTTGACATTCCTAACCCATCACTGTCTGGCCTCGATGTACATTTCCTGGCTCATTTTTCACCGTATTCCCCAGGAGGGCCATGCTTCCCTGCTTACGTTACCATTTCTGCACATGTACCCACCACCTTCTCCCTTCTGAGTCTTCGGTTACTGTCTCCCCAGATTTTGGAAGGAATGTTCTTTCTTTCCATTCTTTGACTTGTAGAAATTCTGTGCACCTCCTAGACCCAGTTTTGTGATTACTATACTGCAAAGTCTTTTCTGATTACAATTAGCTGCCCCTTTTTCCCTTCCTAAGTTTTATATCTATTAAAAAACACTGTTTTTCTTCTGTTTTGTCTTAGCTGCTCTCTCCTGAGCTGGATTCCTTCCTTATGTCTGAATTCTGCACAATGTCTAGCATAGTACACTTTAAGGTATTTGATAAATGCTTCCATTTTTTTCTTGGAGACTGGGTCTTGCTCTGTCACCAAAGCTAGAACACAGTGGCACCATCATAGCTCACTGGAGCCTCCAACTCCTGGGCCCAAACGGTCCTCCTTCCTCAGCCTTCCAAGTACTGGGACCACAGGCACATACTGCCATGCCTAGTTAATTTTTTGATTTTTTTTTTTGTAGAGACAATCTCAAACTCCTGGCCTCAGGCAATCTTCCTGCCTTGGAAGTGTTGGGATTATAGGCATGAGCCACTGCTCCAGGCCTGATAAATGTTTCTTTTTTTCTTCTTTTTTTTCTTTTTTTGAGATGGAGTCTCTTTCTGTTGCCTAGGCTGGTTTGCGGTGGTGTGATCTTGGCTCACTGCAACGTCTGCCTCCTGGGTTCAAGTGATTCTCATGCCTCAGCCTCCCCAGTAGCTAGGATTACAGGTGTGTACCACCATGCCCGGCTAATTTTTGTATTTTTAGTAGAGATGGGGTTTCACCATGTTGGCCAGGCTGGTCTCAAAACTCCTGACCTCAAGTGATCCGCCTGCCTCAACCTCCGAAAGTGCTGGGATTACAGGTGTGAGCCACTGCACCCAGTCTGTTTCTTAAAAGAATGAATGGGTGGAAACTCAACAGAGATTTGTAAAGTACCATATGTGTTTTACCAGTTGTCCAGCTGATTAAATCTTTGTGGGTTTCTTTTGCTGTTTTATGCCCGAAGTTAAATCCATGCTTTCTTTGGTTATTAATACTGATGTTATTTAAGAAATGCAAAAAGGCCTTACTTTAGTTTCTAAGCGGTCTTGGATTTACATAGCATAAAAATTAGAATGGATTTAAATGGGAGTTAAACAGCAGGAGCTGGCAAAGTCAGGCCCATCTGACATTGTTATCTAGGCTGTGTTCTTTGAGTATGGAAGATGACAAGGAAACATTAACACAATAGCTTAATAGTTTACTTCCTGTCTTTGGTCAAAATGTTCCAAAAACTGAATTCTTACCTCAAAGTCACTAGCCTTTGGGTGATGAATTCAATTGTAATTACTTTGGGTTTGCTCATGACAGTAATGCAGTAACTTAAAGTTAGAAAATAATTTCAACCCAGGAGCATCTTAAATAGAAGTCATTATTGTCTCTATGTAATTCTTGTTGGAATGTTTCTTTGGGCAATTTAAACTGCCCACACATTAGGGCAATGACTTTCTGAGCATTTTGTAGCAATTAAGAGTTGTTGTTTCTTGTTCTTGGCATTGTTTTTGTTGCCTTGTGAGAGAAGATCTGTGGCAGGATGCTGCTCTTAAAAATTTTCCTTTAAATTGACTCAAGCTGTTATTTCCTTCTGAATGTCTGATCTTATAAGACATAGTAGATGCTATTAAGAAAGATTTGTTTTACTGTTGTTTAGCACTTAAAACATATATTTTGTAGTTATATGTGTTAGCTAGGGTCAAACATAAAAACTCAAATGCTGGCTGGGCGCGGTGGCTCACGCCAGTATTCCCAGCACTTTGGGAGGCTGAGGTGGGCAGATCACTTGAGGTCAGGAGTTCAAGACCAGCCCGGTTAATATGGTGAAACCCCGTCTCTACTACAAATACAAAAAAACAATTAGCCAGGAGTGGTGGCAGGTACCTGTAATCCCAGCTACTCGGGAGGCTGAGGCAGGAGAATTGCTTCAACCGAGGAGGCGGAGGTTGTAGTGAGCCGAGATCGCACCATTGCACTCCAGCCTGGTCAACAAGAGCAAGACTCTGTCTCAAAATAAATATATTACAATAAAAAATAAAAACTCAAGTGATACCAGATTACTATAAATAAGAGTGTTATTTCAGATATTTTAATTAGAGCATCCATACTGTTATCTTCTGTTATTTGATTAGACTTTTACTATGCCTGAGCAAGGAAAGGCATTTGAAGAGAATTTCTTAAACTTTATAAACAAAAAATTTTGATTTGTCCCAAGATTTTCAGCCTATTTCTGATCTAGTACTACCCAAAGAAGAAGGTAGCATATTTTGTTTTTAACTCTTGGCAAGTACAATGTTTACATTTCCAGATCTTTATCCTTTGTCAAAATGTTCCTTTTCAATATGAGGAGAGAAATATATTGGTACTTGAGTATGTGGGCTAAAAACCAATTCCATCAAGATACCAGAGTAAAAAATGTGTTAACTTCAATTTCTGTCCGCGATAGCTACTTGTCAAACAGTCCTTTTTTTAAAAAAAGAGAAATATATCTTATACAAGAAAACGCTGCCAGCTTTTAGCAGTAAACTTTTATCAGCAATGTGACCAGATGTGTTTCTGCTGAACTATGATTATGCCAAGGTCAAGATCCAGTAGTAAACTGAACTATTTAATTCTTCTCTCTGTTTAAGTAATAGCATTAACATTCTTGAAACCCATATTTAAAAAAAGAAAAATGACCAACATAATTTCTTGCATTGCACGTTAACAATGACCATTGGCCCTCTCTCTACAGATGTTAGGATACTCTGACCTGACATCATTATCTAAATAATGGTTGTTCCATTGCTACGAGGGGCTTATTGTACATTAATGAGATAGCCCTCTATCTAATATTTAAATAAACCAATTTATGTATGTGGCCAATTTGCAAATTAAAAAACAAACATTTCACATTTGGCCTTATATCAGGTTATAAAAATATTATGTGCTGCTTATGGCAATTTGGGGGAAGTAAAGAGAAATACAAAGAAGCAAGGAAAGAAATTACCTATAATTCCAGGACCTTAACACAGTAATTAACATTTGAAGTACTTCTACTTAATCCACTGGGGGAGGGCATGCTTTTTTGCAAATTTAATTCCATCTTATATGTTACTTTTGTTTTTGTTTAACATCGTGTCATAAGTATTTTTCCTTATCATTACACTTCTCTGTGATTGTCATGTTAAAGACAGTGTAGTCATTTCATCCTGCTCAGTTTCCTGCTTGTTGGCCAGTAGTAGGGAGCAGCAGGAGTGTGTGATGTCCCTGCATCCTTCTTCCCATCCTAGAGGCCTGAGAGTCACATTTTCTGTCCTTAGCACACTGAGGACAAAGTCTCAGCTACTCCTGAGTTGCAGCATGCACATTTTGTCACTTTTGAACATTTTGAAAATTGAATGCAGCCAGAGATGACATGTTACATTTAATTGGTGGCATTGAGACTTTCACAAAGGAGAAGCATAAGATAATGGTACATTAAATCATGGCATGGCCTTTATCCTAGAGTTTCTTGTAGTCAATGAAATATATCTTCTTCTTTCCTTTGCTTTAGGATGAGCTCGTCTCCCTTTCATGGTTCTGACAAGTTTCCCTTCTTATTGACCTATTTTGTTTATTTCCACCTCTCATCATCAGTGCCAAAGTCTATTCTTGAGCCTTAACCCATCTGGCTAATCTGGACATCTGTTTCCTACCACTTTTTTGAAGGCTTTAACTTTCATGTAAACCGTGGGACCCCTATCCACAGGCATAGATCCCCCAGGGCTGATTCCATTCAGCTTGGATTTAATGCCATTTTACCCTGCTCTGCTTAGCTAAAATACTATCCTGCTTTCAGCCACTTCTGAAATCAGACAAGACTGCTGTGCTTGATTTGTGCAAATATGTTGTCTAAAGCCAGTGTCTGCAAGCTGGCTAACTCCTTAGTAAACTGGTTCCCTCCAGACCTTTTACCTAATATCGTTTTAGAGAAATGTAAGTGTATTGCATCTTAGGTTCGTGTTGAGGCATCAGGTAATGTCTAGTGGATAATAGCTTCTATGGGTTTGGAGACTCAGGAGAACATTGGGGAAGGAATACCAGGTGTAGATCTGAAAGTCATCTCTTTAGCAACGGATTGTAGTTAAAGGCAAGTAAGCAGATGGGATGACCCAAGAAGTGCCTAAAGAAGGCAAAGAGGGAGTCTGCGGGTGTTGAAGCTTTCAACGTGAAGCACATAGAGAATGAGTCTGGGAAGAATTTGATAAAGATACTGGTTGAATTCCATGCAACTCAAGGAAACAGTGAGTTTCCAGAAAGATTACGAAGTAAAGGTATGACAAAAAAGAAAATAGCTTTACCAGTTGGTCTTTAATTACTATGTCAAAAAGGAAGTATGGTGCAGTGTTTTGTGTGGAAGCCATTGTATAGAGGGATGAATGGGAAAGATGGAAATGGGGAGAGTAAATAATAGATCTGAATGTAATGAATACTGACCTTTTGAACCAAGAGTACCAATAATAAAGAAGTCAAAGGCATTTCCTTTCATCAGCTTAAAGAATTGCATAGCATATCTGCTAAAAACTTTACATTTAGAACATAGATATTGAAGAAAATGACTCATACTTTACCAGAATTCAAAGGTAAACAGTTACTATACTGCATTACATCTTCTACGGTTTTTATGCATGTTCATACATATGTGTCTATATTTCACTTATAAAATTGAAATCATGTTGTACATATTTTTGCAACTATATATATGTTATTAATTATTATTATTTTTGTGGAGATGGTGGTTTCCTTTTGTTGCCCAAGCTGGTCTTGAACTCCTGGACTCAAGCAATCCTCCTGCCTCAGCCTCCCTAGTAATTGGGATACAGATGTGCTCCACCACACCTGGCTAAAAATATTTTTTTTTGAGAGATGGGGTCTTGTTTGTTGCCCAGGCTGGTCTTGAATTCCTGGTTTCAAGTGATCCTCCTACCTTGGCCTCCCAAAATGCTGGAATTACAGGCATGAGCCACTGTGCCTGGCCTTCAACTATTTATATAGTTTATATGTTGTGAACAACTATGCCAACTTTGATCATCGTAGATTAATTTTGCCTGTTATTGAACTTTTAAATTTATTTTTGTTTTGCTTGTTTTTTAACTTTATATAAATGAAACGATTGTTTATGCCTTTGTGTCTGATTTCTCAACATTATAATATTATAATAACATTCAACATGGTGTTCAGAGATTCCTCCATGATTTTGCAAGTAATAGTGGTTCTGAATACAAGTCCAGATACAGGTACTGAATATATCTTCTCCCAGTCTGTCTTTACCAGTTTATTTATTTTATTTTATTTTTTTGAGGTGGAGTTTTGCTCTTGTTGCCCAGGCTGGAGTGCAATGGCGTGATCTTTGCTCACTGCACCCTCTGCCTCCTGGGTTCAAGCGATTCTCCTGCCTCAGCTCCCAAGTAGCTGGAATTATAGGCATGCACCACCATGCCCAGCTAATTTTATATTTTTAGTAGAGATGGGGTTTCACCAGTTTGGTCAGGCTGGTCTCGAACTCCTGACTTCAAGTGATCCACCCACCTTGCCCTCCCAAAGTTCTGGGATTACAGGCGTGAGCCACTGCGCCTGGCCTGTCTTTGCCAGTTTAAACTCTTAATATTGCTTGATAAACAGAGCTCTTCATTTTAACAAAGTCTAGTTTATCACTTTAAAAAAGTATATGTTTAGTGCTTTTTCTGTCCTATTTGTGAAATCTTTGCCCACCCCAAGGTCATGAAGATAGTTTCTTATGTTTTCCTCTTTCAGAAGTGTTGTTATTATTATTTTTCAATTTGGTCTGTGAATCATCTGAGATTAATTTGGGGGTATTGCATAAGGTAGGGGGTCTGGATTTTTTTTTTTAATGGACTTTATATTTTAGAGCAGTTTTAGACTCAAAACAAAATTGAGCAGAGGGTCCAGAGATTTTCCATATCCCCCCTATTCCATGCATGCGTACATTACCTCCTTATCAACATCACCCGCAAGAGTGGCACATTTATTATAACTGATGAACCTACACGGATCCATCATTATCAGCCATGGTCTGTATTTTACATTAGGGTTCATTGTTGTGGTTGTACATCTGTGGGTGTGGACAAATGTATAGTGACATGTATCCACCATTACAGTGTCATATGGGGTAGTTTCACTGCCCTAAGAATCTCCTGTACTCTGCCTGTTTATCTCTCCCTCCCTCATCCCTGGCAACCATGGATGGATCTTTTACTGTCTGCGTAGCTTTGCCTTTTCCAGAATGTCATATAGTTGGAATCATACTGTATGTAGCCTTTTCAGATTTGCTTCTTTCACTTAGCAATATGCATTTAAGGTTCCTTTCATGTGTTTTCACATGGATAGTTCATCTCTTTTTAGAGCTAAACAATATTCTGTTGTCTGGATGTACCACAGTTTACTCACCCACTGAAGGGCATCTTGGTTTCTTCCAAGTTTTGGCAATTTTGAACCCAGCTGCTATAAACATCTGTGTGCAAGTTTGTGTTTGCATATAAATTTTCAACTCCTTGGAGTAAATACCAAAGAGTGTAGTTGCTGGGTAGTTTCATAAGAGTATTGTTTAGTTTTTTAAGAAACTGCCAAACTGTCTTCCAAAGTGGCTGTACCATTTTGTATTCCCATGAGCAATGGATGAGAGTTCTGTCACTGTTGCTTTATTTTGCATTCCCCTGATGACAGGTGATGTGGAACATTTTTTCATATGCTTATTTGCCATTCATATATCTTTGATGAGATGTCTGCTATGGTCTTTGGCCCATTTTTAATTGGGTTGTTCATTTTCTTATTGTTGAGATTTAAGAGTTCTTTGTATATTTTGGAGTCCTTTATCAGATATGTCTTTTGCAAATGTGTTCTCCCAGTCTGTAGCTTGTCTTTTCATCTCTTGGCAGTGTCTTCTGCAGAGCAAAAATGTTTAATACTTACCAATTTTTTCTCTCATGGGTCATGCCTTTGGTTTGCTATCTAAAAAGCTATTACCAAATCCACGGTCATCTAGACTTTCTCCTGTGTTATCTTCTAGAACTCTTACAGTTTTGCCTTTTACATTTAATTTTGTAATCCACTTAGAGTTAATTTTTGGGAGAGGTATAAGGTGTTCGTCTAGATTCTTTTTTTTGCATGTGGATTTCTAGTTCCAGCACTATTTGTTGAAAAAAATTATCTTCTCCCCATTGTATTACTTTTTTCACTTTTTTCTCTTTTGCTAAAGATCAGTTGACTATATTTGTGTGACTCTTTTCCTGGGCTGTGTTCTGTTCCTTTGGTCTATTTGTCTGTTCTTGCAACAATATCACATACATTTCAGGGGATTTGATATAGTTGGATTAACATCTACTGTATTTGTTAATGTTTTCTATTTGTTGGTCTTGTTCTTTGTTTCTATTTTTGTATTCCACATTTTTTCTTTTGTGGTTTTGAGTATGTTAAATATGATTCCATTTTCTCTCTTTTCTTAGCATATTAATCATACTTCACTTGTTGTTTTTTTAGTGTTTTCCCTAGAGTTTGTAATATAGGTCTACCAGTAATTGAAGTCCATTTTCAAAGAACACTATATTCCTTCCTGAGTAGGACAAGTATTTTATGATAATAAAATAATCTTTTTTTTTTTTTTTTCGAGATCGAGTCTCACTCTGTCATCCAGGCTGGAGTTCAGTGGCCTGATCTCGGCTCACTGCAACCTCCACCTCCCAGGTTCAAGCAATTTGCCTACCTCAGCCTCCCAAGTAGCAGGGATTACAGGCGCTCACCATTACACTTGGCTAATTTTTTTAATCTTTAGTAGAGACAGGGTTTTACCATGTTGGCCAGGCTGGTCTTGAACTCCTGACCTCAAGTGATCCACCTGGCTCGGCCTCCCAAAGTGCTGGGATTATAGGCTTGACCCACTGTGCCCGGCCTCCTTATAATAACAAAATAATCCTGATTCTTCCCTCCTGTCCTTGTATCATTGCCATCACTCATTTTACTTATACATAGGCATGCATAATCAATATATTGTTGCTATCTTATTATTTTGGCCAAATTGCTATCTGTTGGATGAATTAAGAATAAGAAAAATAAACATTTTTATTTTACTCCTTCTCTGATGTTCTTCCTTTCTTTTCTTAGATCTGAGTTTCTGACCTGTATCATTTTCCTTTTCTCTGAAGAACTTCTTTTAACATTTCTTTCAAGGAAGATCTACTGGCAACAAATTCCCCCAGATTCCAGTTGTCTGAAAAAGTATTTCTCCCTTAGTGTTGAAGGACATTTTCATAGGGTGCAGATTCTAGGTGGTGATTTTTTCTTTCAGGGCTTAAATATTTCACCCTGCCGTCTCCTTGCTTGCATGCTTTCTGGGTAGAAGTTGAAATCATTCTTTCCTTTTCTATAGGTAAGGCTTTTTTCCCTCTGTCTTCTTTCTGGATTTTGTTAAATATTTGATTTTCTGTGGTTTGAAACTTACATGCTTATCTATAGTTTTTCTGACATTTATCCTACTTGGTGTTCTGGGAGCCTCCTGACTGTGGTTTGGGGCCTGACATTAACATGGGGAAATCCTGAGTGATTATTCGTTCAAATACTACTTTTGTTCTTTTCTCTCTTTCTTTTCCTCTTGGTATTCCTGTTACACATACATTACACCCTTTATAGTTATCCCACAGCTCCTGAATATTCCATTCTGGTTTATTTCAGTCTTTTTTCATTTTGCTTTTCAGTTTTAGAGGTTTCTGTTGAGAATCCTTAAACTCAGAGATTCCTTCATCAGCCATATCCAGTCTCAAGGCCATTCTTCATTTCCAAAGTTAGAGTGTTTTAGAGCTCCAGCATTTCGATTTTGTTCTTTCTTAGGATTTCGATCTCTGTTTACATTGTCTATCTGTTCTTGTGTGCTGTGTACTTTATCCACTGGAGCCCTTTGCATCTGGTCGGGTTATCCCAACATCCCTGCCGTGTCAGAGCCTGGTTTGGATCCTTGTGCTATCTCTTTAAACTTTGCTTTTTGCCTTTTAGTGTGCCTTGTAACTTCTTGTCACTGAACGTGATATCCTGGGTAAAAGGAACTGCTCTCACTAGACCTTTAATAATGTGATGGTATGGTGTATGGGGAGGGGAAGCATTCTGTAGTCTTATGATTAGGTCTCAGTGTTTTTTTTTTTTTTTTTTGAGACGGAGTCTTGCTCTGTCACAGGCTGGAGTGCAGTGGCACGATCTTGGCTCACTGCAACTTCTGCCTCCCAGGTTCAAGCAATTCTCCTGCCTCAGCCTTCCAAGTAGCTAGGATTACAGGCACCCGCCACCATGCTCCACTAATTTTTGTATTTTTACTAGATACGGGGTTTTACCATGTTGGGCAGGCTAGTCTTGAACTCCTAACCTCAAATGATCCACCTGCCTTGGCCTCCCAAAGTGCTGGGATTACAGGTGTGAGCCACCGCGCCCAGTCTAGGTCTCAGTCTTTTAGTGAGGCTGTACCCCTGGACTGTGAACTTCACAAATACTTCTCAGTTTTTTCTTCCCCCTTGGGACAGGTTGGCTAGAGTGTGCTGCAGTTGGCTATTTCCCTTTTCTTACATGGAAGGCCGGTGCTGGCTGGAGTTGGGTATTTCTCTTCCACTTGGTTAGTTAGGCTCTGATAAAACCAAGCAAGTTAGGTTCTGGTTAAATCGTTTCTCCTGGGAGCAGACCTTGTTATCAACAGAATGCTCTGACACATGTCAAATGGTTCCTGTTTCCCTCCCCTTACCGGAAGCACAAGGGATTTCCCCCTGTATACTTACTGTGAGAATCTGGCAGAGCTCCAGTAGGTAAAACTCACAAAAGTGTAGGGCCCCTAATGACTGGGTCTGTCTGGAATTTTTATGTGTCAGACTTGTCCACACTGAGCCTCCAGCACTTTGTCAATTACAGTTCAGTTTCCCTGTGTTAGCGCTGGTCTCTGTGGAGGTTTCTGCTCCTGTTAAGTTGTGATTCTCTGTGCCTGCCTGTTTTTCCCTCCAATTATGGGGACAGCAGGTTTGCCCTGTGACCTCACTTCTCTGATGGATCTAAGAACAGTTGTTGATTTTTCAATTTGTTCAGCTTTTTACTTGTTAAGACACAGTGATGACGTCCAAGCAACTTTCTTGCTGCATTGGAAACTAGAAGGCTCGTAGGGGTTAATTTTAAGTTTTAAAATCTGATAGTATAAGTCTCACAGCTTTTTTCTTTAAGACCTAGTAATTTTTGTCTTTGTGAATTCTCCTTTTAGTGTCATGCTTAGACCCTTAGGATATAAAAATACTTATGTATATTTTCTGGTTCTTTCCTAGCCCAGTTGTTTAAATCTCAACTCTTTAATCCAGTTGGGATATAACTTAGCATTCATTTTTATGTCGTTCCCAAGTACCATTTATTGATGAACCATCTTTAAAGTACAGATTTGATAAGCTATCATTACTACGTATTGAAACTTGATATATGTGCTGTTCCATTCCCAGAAGATACTCTGTGTGTTGATTTCTACTTTTTTTTTTTTGTTAACAGAGTGTCATATCTTTCTATAGAAGTAATTATAGGCCGTGCGTGGTGGCTCATGCCTCTAATCCCAGCACTTTGGGAGGCTGAGGTGGGTGGATCACCTGAGGTCAGGAGTTTGAGACCAGCCTGGCAAACACAGTGAAACCCCATCTCTACTACAAATACAAAAATCAGTTGGGTGTGGTGGTGGGTACCTGTAATCCCAGCTACTCGGGAGGCTGAGGCAGGAGAATCACCTGAACCCGGGAGGCGGAGGTTGCAGTGAGCCGAGATTGTGTCACTGCACTTCAGCTTGGGAAACAGAGACTCCATCTCAAAAAACAAACAGATGGCTGGGTGCGGTGGCTCACATCTGGAATCCCAGCACTTTGGGAGACTGAGGTGGGTGGATCACGAGTTCAGGAGGTCGAGACCATCCTGGCTAACATGGTGAAACCCCGTCTCTACTAAAAATACAAAAAATTAGCTGAGCATGGTGGTGGGTCCCAGCTACTCGGGAGGCTGAGGCAGGAGAATGATGTGAACCTGGGAGGTAGAGCTTGCAGTGAGTGGGGATCATGCCCCTGCACTCCAGCCTGGGCGACAGAGCGAGACTCTTAACTCAAAAAAAAAAAAATGCAAAATACAAAAATGAAGTAAATATAACACTCCAACACTCTTCTTACTGTCTGAATAATATTTTTTAATATGGATTTAACAAATAACCTCACAAGTCTTGTCTTTGGCAGCCTTCCCTAACTCCTTCCCTCCCCTCCCACAGTCTGCATTTGGCACTTCTGGGTGAAGGGTACTTGTGCTTTCTTTTACCACCCAGGAGAGCAGGGGTTGGTGTGACTGCTTATTTAATTGTCCTTGCTCTGAATTGAAAAGTCCCCTAGGGAAGGCAAGATGTGTGTTATGCCTTTTTGTTCACTGTGGTATTCAAAGCCCTTAACACGGTGACTGACACATGATTGCCACATAAGTATTTGGTCAATGAGCAAATTGCATTTATCTGATCTCCTCTTGGTGTATATTCTGTTATTTCCCAACAACCTGCTTGGTTTAGTAATTGAAAGCTTGGGTCTCTGAAACAAGGCTACCAAGGTTTGGATACTGGCTCTGCCACCTATTGTGTGTGTAATTTTGGGCAAGGGACTCACTTTTCTCACCTGTGAAATGGGGTAAATAACAGTGCCTACCTTATAGGGTCTAGACAAAAACACCTAGAAACATTACAGTAGGTAATTTTGTTTGAATTTTACAAAATGATGCCCTCTATTGTCATTTTTGTGTATATGATTAAATATTTTATACATATGAAAAGATACAGTGAATAAGATAGTAAGTACCACTATAACTATAGTCTAGCTTAAGAAATAAATATTACAAATTCATTTGCAGTCTCTGTGGACCTCATTTCTATCCTATCATACTTCTTTTCCTTCTCTTTCTTTCAGAGGGAATCAGTATCCTGTAATTGGTGTTTATCGTTCCATATTGTCTTCAGTATTTCATGTTTGGTGTTTATCATTCCATATTGTATTAATGAGGGTTCTCTAGAGGGACAGAACTAATAGGATAGATGTACATATGAAGGGGAGTTTATTGGAGAATTGACTCGCACTATCACAAGGTGAAGTCCCACAATAGGTCATCTGCAAGCTGAGGTGCCAGGAAGCCGTTCCAAGTCCCAAAACCTCAGAAGTAGGGAAGCTGACAGTGCAGCCTTCAGTCTGTGGCCAAAAGGCCTGAGAGCCCCTGGCAAACCACTGGTGTAAGTCCAAGAGTCCAAAAGCTGAAGAACTTGGAGTTTGATGTTCGAGGGCAGGAAGCATCCAGCACGGGAGAAAGATGAAGGCCAGAAGACTCAGCCAGTCTAGTTTTTCCACGTTCTTCTGCCTGCTTTTATTCCGGCTGCACTGGCAGCTGATTAGATGGTGCCCACCCAGATTGAGGGGTGGATCTGCCTTTCCCAGTCCACTGACTCAAATGTTAATCTCCTTTGGCAACACCCTCACAGACACACCCAGGAGCAATACTTTGTATCCTTTAATACAATCAAGTTGACACTCAGTGTTAACCATCACACAGGGTCTTGCTCTGTTGCCCAGGGTGGAGTGCCACAAGTATGATCATGGCTCACCACAGCCTTGAACTCCTGGACTCAAGCAGTCCTCCCACTTCAGCCTCCCAAGTAGCTAGAGACAATAGGTGTCCGCCACTGTGCCCGGCTAATTTTTGCATTTTGTAGAGATATGGTCTCACTGTGTTGCTCAGGTTGGTCTCGAACTCCTGGCGTCAAGTGATCCTCTCGCTTTGGCCTCCCAAAGTGCTGGGATTACAGACGTGATCTACTGCTCCTGGCCTATCATTCCATATTTATACTTCACTCTTATGTATAACTCCATAAGTAACAGAGCATAGTGTTTTCCATATTTTAAAACTTTATATAATATTGTAACCCTATATGTATCCTTAAGCAACTTGATTTAATTTTTGACCATTTTTTTAAAATAAAAAATTACATTTTTACCATTTTAAAGTGTACAGTTCAGTGGTATCATGTACATTCATATTATATGCAACTATTACCACCATCCATCTCCAGAGCTGTTTAATCTCCCCATTCTTTCCCCCAAACTATGAAACTTCATACCCATTAAATAGTAGCCTCCCTCATTTCTTCCTCCCTGCAACCTGTTTTTCTTTTGTTTGATATTATGCTCGTGACATATTCATATTGTTATATTTAGCTTTTGAGACTTTGTAACTGCTAGGTAGCCTTCTATCCTGTAAATATTCCCCGATGTAGGAGAAATTCATCCTCCTACAGATGGGCATTTGGATTGTTTCACAGTTTCTAACTCTGCAGTGAACATTATTGAGAGTGTCTCTTTGTGCACATGTGCAATAATTTCTTTCGGAACTAACCTGTGGTTGGAAGTTGCTGGATCATAGGATATGTACATCTTAAACTTGAACTTGATTAGATTTTTGTCACCGTACCCTGTCCTACGTGATTATACTTAGGAGACTACTGCATTAAATTTCTATTTTCTATCCTCACGAATACTTGGTCTTGTTAGTTGTTGATTCTATTTTATTTATTTTTTGAGACAGGATCTTGCTCTATTGGCAGACTGGATGCAGTGGTGCCATCATGGCTCACTGCAGTCTCAACCTCCTGGGCTCAAGTGATCTTCCCACCTCAGTCCCCCCACGAAGCTCGGACTACAGCCGTGCACCACCATGCCTGGCTAATTTTTTTGATTCTTTAACTTGTACAGATGGAGTCTCACTATGTTGCCCAGCTTGTCTTAAACTCCTGGCCTCAAGTGATCCTCCTACCTTGGCTTTCAAAAGTGCTGGGATTGTCCGGGCACGGTGGCTTACACCTGTAATCCCCAGCACTTTGGGAGGCCAAGGCAGGCGGATCATGAAATCAAGAGATCGAGACCATCCTGACCAACATGGTGAAACCCCGTCTCTACTAAAAATACAAAAATTAGCTGGGCGTGATGATGTGCGCCTGTTGTCCCAGGTACTTGGCGGCTGAGCGAGTTTCCATCTCAAAAAAAAAAAAAAAGAAAAAAAAAAGTTTTGGAATTACAGGTGTGAGCCACTGTGCCTGGCCATTGTCAGGGTTTTAGGTTTTGCCAGTCTGATTTGAGGTTTTATTTTATAATCCTCCCAGGAGTGGGTGAGCATTTTGTTGTGTTTGGCCATGTCTTTAATAGCCTTTCCATACCTTGCCCATTTCTCCGTTGGCTGTTTGCCTTTGTCTAGACTCTTAGAATTCATTCTTTCTGCCTGTAATGGGCTTCTCTATGTTGATATGGTTTGTTTTCTCATTTCCTTCAGGACTCCACTCAAATATCACCTTATCAGAGAGTTAGCCCCTCCTCATCCTGTGGAAAATAATATCCCTCCTCAGCAGCACTGCCCATCCCTCTTCTCTGCTTGTTTTTTTCCATAGCAGCATCAACTCCAGACTTGCATGTTATTGGTTTTTATTCCTTTCAACTGTGAAAGCAGAGACATTTTCTCATTCCCTGCACTATCCTCAGTGCCGCGGATAGTGCTTTGCCTGTAGTATGCATTTAGTAAAAATAGGATTAATATAATAATTCATGCATCCTAGTATTCAGGTTCCCAGAAATGATTACCTTCACCTTGGGCTAGGTGAAATAAACAAGTGCTAATAGATAAATAAAAGGGGCTGGGCGCGGTGGCTCACGCCTGTAATCTCAGCACTTTTGGAGACTGAGGTGGGTGGATCACTCGAGGTCAGGAGTTCGAGACCAGCCTGGACAACATGGTGAAACCCTGTTAGTACTAAAAATACAAAAATTAGCCTGGCATGGTGGCAGGCGCCTGTAATTCAGCTACTCAGGAGGCTGAGGCAGGAGAATCGCTTGAACCCGGGAGATGGAGGTTGCAGTGAGCCAAGATCACGCTACTGCACTCCAGGCTAGGTGATAGAGCAAGACTTCATCTCAAAAAAAAAAAAGATAAATAAAAGGATACCATATATCCAAACAACTCTGTGAACCTTAGCAGGGTGCATGTCGGAGAACCCAGGGAAAAGCAGAAAAAGTTTCTGCTAGGCCAGGAAGCGGAAGCTGTCAAAGATACAGGTAGCCATTCTTCATTCTGCCAAGGGCTCCCAACCTCCCTCAACTGTATAAAAACTCAGAATCCTGGAAATCAGGAGACAAATGTTCCATGCCCATGTGTTTTTTTTTTTTTTAATAATTGAGGTATAATTTACATATCATAAAGTTCAAGATGTGATGGCTCATGCCTGTAATCCCAGCACTTTGGGAGGCCAAGGTGGGAGGATTGCTTCAGCCCAGGAGTTTGAGACCAGCCTGAGCAATATAGCAAGACCCTTTCTCTACCAAAAAAAAAAAAAAAAAAAAAAAAAATCAACCAGGTGTGCTAATGCATTCTTGTAGTCCCACCTACTTAGGAGGCTGAGGTGGGAGGATCAGTTGAGCTCAAGAGGCCAAGGCTGCAGTGAGCTATGATTGTGTCACTGCCCTCCAGCCTAGGTGACAGAGTGACACCCTGTCTAGAATGGATGAATGAATCAATGAATACATGCATATGTATATACAGAGAGAGAGAGAGAGGAAGTTCACCCTTCTAAAGTATGATTTTTAGTATATTCACAAGCTTGTGAAATAATCACTACCTAACTCGAGAACATTGTCATCACCCCAACCAAGTTTCTTTTTGAATATGATGTTAAAACAGTTTTTTTTTTTTTTTTTTTTGAGACAGTCTCTCACTCTGTCACCCAGGCTGGAGTACAGTGGCATGATCTTAGCATGCTGCAACCTCCGCCTCCTGGGTTCAAGCGATCCTCCCACCTCAGCTTCCCAAGTATCTGAGATTACAGGCACATGCCACCACACTGGCTATTTTTTTGTATTTTAGTAGAGATGAGGTTTCCCCATATTGGCCAGGCTGGTCTTGAACTCCTGGCCTCAAGCAATCCACCGCCTCGGCCTCCCAAAGTGCTGAGATTATAGGCGTGAGCTACCACGTCCAGCCAACAGTTTTTTTTTTTTTTTTAAAGCCTTTATGGTTTATGCTGAAGCATCCAAATAACTGAGTTTCTCTGTAAATAAAGGATCTGCTCACTCCCAGAGCTGCTGCTCTTCTAGCACCTGGCCAGCAAATCCACCCTGTCCAGGTATGGCAGCCCCACCAGTTCCTTGTGTCTGACCTGGAAAGCCAGTCACTGTACCACTCAGGGTTTGCTGTTGAGACTCTGTTGTGTTTCATTATTGAACTAAATATAGTGTACAGCAGACATTGGGTCCTGCAGAGAACATTCTTATCATAAGTTCTTTTATTTAATAATCATAGCTCTAATAGCTAACATCTGTTAAACAACCTCTTACTAAATTCTGGTACTGCTAATCCTGAGTATGTATCATCTTATCTTCATACCTTTTATATGAGTCGTAGATATTGTTCACCTTGTTTTACAGATGAGGAAATTGAAGGTCACAGAGCTGTTTGGCTTCATGGTATATTTTTATTATCTTTTAGCACTTGTTTATTTGACATAGCCCAAAGTGGAGGTGATCGTGTGTGGGAACCTGAATACCAGCCACTAAAATCAAACTGGTATTTGAACCCCTGTTTAGCCCCAAAGAGCTTCAGTTTGTTAACCATAACCGTTTCCAGAACACAGAAGTTAGTCCTGCTACCTAAAGTTATCATTTTTCCTTCTCTTATTTATTCTTTGAACCAGAACAGCATAGTATGTTTCCATGTTATGTACTGTGATGTTAAGATTTTCATGGGTTAGCGTATGAAACTATTACAGTTATGTAATTCTGTAGTGATCTGTTGCCAAGGTATTATTAGTACTAGAGGAAGATTTCATCTGATCTGAATAATCTCTTCTATTATAAATTGGCTTTTTTTTCACATGAGAAGAAAATTGTTTTGTATTTAATCATTGTAATTAATAATGTGACATTTAAACTGTTAGCTGATGAACTGTGATGACTGTGGAGTAGTGTTTGTAATTTGATGAAGTGTAGATCCACATACCATATATTAGTATGTGTGTGTGTTTATACAGTGCGTGTGTGTGTGTGTGTGTGTGTGTGTGTGTGTGTGTATATATATATATGCTGACATCACTATATTAGGGCAACATAAAAATACTAAAATTATTGACTGTCAAAACTAATAATGTGTAGTTGTCCTTTTCCAGTTGACTTAGTGATGGGAAAAAATTGCAAGTTTTCCTGTTTTCTTTTTTTTCTTTTTTTGAGACAGACTTTCACTCTGTCGCCCAGGCTGGAGTGCAGTGGCATAATCTCGGCTCACCGCAACCTCTGCCTCCTGGGTTCAAGCAATTCTCCTGCCTCAGCCTCCTGAGTAGCTGGGATTACAGGTGCCTGCCACCACACCCGGCTAATTTTTGTGTTTTTAGTAGAGACGGGGTTTCACCATGTTGGCCAGGCTGGTCTCAAACTTCTGATCCACCCACCCTGGCCTCCCAAAGTTCTGGGATTACAGGTGTGAGCCACCGCGCCTGGCCTTTGTTTTGTTATTTTCCTACAGGATTTTTGGTTGGGAATCGGTTGTTTCAAGCAAACTCCTTCCTCCAGCACTTTCTAGAAAGAAAGATGCTAGAACTAAAAGTTATTCTAGGCAGGTCCTTGGAATTCCCACTTACTTGCAAGTCATCCCTTATTTTTTGGTACTCTTTTTATTCTAAGGCTAGAAATCCCTTTCTAAGGACAAGTATAGAAGATTTTAAGCCAGGCATGGTGGCTCACACCTGTAATCTCAGCACTTTGGGAGGCCGAGGTGGGAGGAACTCTTGAGCCCAGGAGTTTGAGACTAGCCTAGGCAACATGGCAAGACCTCATCTCTTTAAAAAAAATAAATAAAATAAAAGAGAAAAAAGGAAAATTTGAAACTGTGCTTTTTAAAAGATTGTATTTGACAGCCTACCTAACAGGAAACAATTCCATTGGGCAAAATGCTTTTAAGCACAGGAATCAACCTTAGTTGGAGTGGAATGATTCAACACTATGTGGCCAGTTTAAACAAGACTCTGGGAGGTGTGGTTGGGTGACTTGGTCTGCGTGGCTGAGCATTACATCTTCTCTATGTGGAAAGATTGGTGTGTATGGAGGTGTGGATTAAGACCTAATTAAAAAAAAATTTGAGGTGGAATGGAATCTATAGGAGGAATCTATGAAGACGCCCTGCATCAGACATCCTGTCCAAAGGGCCTAGTTTTCTCATCTCTGTGGTGCTTAGTAAGTGTTTCTCTAAGGAGACATCACAGCCACTGCCGAAAACAACCTCATCTTAGCAGCAGAGAGAGGCCCACACTCTCACACCATGCACCTCTTCCTCTTGATCCCAGAGTACCGAAAAAGAGTTTTGGACTAAGAAACCTGGGAGGTTGCTACCGATCTGGACTAGGCCTTGTGCTCTTGTTAATGCTTAAAGTGACTTTCTGAGAATGGGCTGGCCAGCTACCTCCTTGTGGCTAAGGGCTTGCTTTGCAGACACCCCACACTTCACAGAGAGGAGCGAGGGGTTCCATCCCCTGTGAAGCCTAGGCAGTGTCCTAGCAAGCCATCTGTATGATGCCCACAGGGAATAGTGCGTATTGAACTGGTAGTCCTCCTGGTTTCTCTGCTTCGAGTGTTTATTCTCTAGACCAGAAATTACCTTTTTAAAAAAAGTAATAATAATAACTCTATGAAGGAGGAGGGTTCTAAAAAGAGTTTTGTTTTTAAATTTTAAGTTTTGTGGGTACATAGTAGGTGTATATATTTATAAGGTACCTGAGATACTTTGATACAGGCATATAATATGTAATCATTATGTGATAGAAAATGTGGTATCTATCCCCTCCAGCATTTATCCTTTGTGTTACAAACAATCCAATTATACTCCTTTAGTCACTTTTAAATGTACAATTAAATTATGTTTGACTATATTGTCAACCTGTTGTGCTATCAAAGACTAGGTCTTATTCATTTTTTCTATTTTTTGTACCCATTAACCATCCCACCTTCCTCCCAACACCCCCACTACCCTTCCCAGCCTCTGGTAACCATCCTTCTACTGTCTGTCTCCATGAGTTGAATTGTTTTGATTTTTCGATCCCACAGTTAAGTGAGAACATGCGATGTTTGCCTTTCTGTGCCTGGCTAATATCACTTAGCATAATGACCTCCAGTTCCATCCATGTTGGAGATGACAGGACCTCATTCTTTTTTTATGGGTGAATAGTACTCCATTATATATAAATACCACATTTTCTTTATCCATTCATCTGCCATTGGATACTTAGGTTGCTTCCAAATCTTGGCCATTGTGACTAGTGTTGCAATAAACATGGGAATGCAGATGTCTCTTCCATGTTCGATATACTGATCTGAAAAGAGTTTTGATACAAATATATGTAGTATATAAACTTCTCTAATGCCTTACTTCAAAACCTGTAGTTATTTGTGGATCTTTTTATTTTATTGAGACGGAGTCTTGCTCTGTCGCCCAGGCTGGAGTGCAGTGGCCGATCTCGGCTCACTGCAGCCTCCACCTCCTGGGTTCAAGCAATTCTCCTGCCTCAGCCTTCAAGTAACTGGGACTACAGGTGCACGCCGCCACACCCGGCTAATTTTTGTATTTTCAGTAGAGATGGGGTTTCACTATGTTGGCCAGGCTGGTCTCCAACTCCTGACCTCAAGTGATCCAGTCACCTTGGCCTCCCAAAGTGCTGGGATTACAGGCATGAGCCACCATGCCCGGCCTATTTATGGATCTTTTGAAATCTTGAGTTTCTAAAATCGAGCAAGTATTTGTAATCCTTGAAACAAAATGTACACACATGTGTATGCACACATACATATGCATATACACATATGTGTATATATGTACATATATGCTGTTGTCTGTCAGTATCTGCAGGGGATTGGTTCCAGGACCCCCGTGGATACCAAAATCTACAGTTACCATCCTGCAGTTCACCCTGCAGAACCCACAGATATGAAAAGTTGGCCTTCTCTATTCAAGGTTCCCACATCCCTCGAGTACTGCCCTTTCTATTTGCAGTTGGTTGAATCTCCAGATGCTGAAGGAACCCAGAAATACAGAAGGCTAACTGCATATTACATACCTGTGTATACAGGTGTGTGTGTGTGTGTGTGTGTGTGTGTGTGTGTGTGTGTGTGTATGCCCAAATAAATTCAGGTCCTCAAACTGTAATGATCACCATATTTAAAAAAGATTTCCCTCTTAAAATTATCTTTTTTTGTGAATCATCATTTTGCTTCATGCTCTGTTAATGTAAGAGGAACAGAATCCCTTGGGTGTTAGTCCATTTTCATGCTGCTGATAAAGACACACCCGAGACTGAGCAATTCACAAAACAAAGAGGTTTAATGGGACTTACAGTTCCACATGGCTGGAGAAGCCTCGCAATCATGATGGAAGGCAAGGAGGAGCAAGTCACATCTTACATGGATGGTGGCAGGCAAAAAAAATGAGAGAACTTGTGCAGGGGAACCCCACTTTTTGAAGCCATCAGCTCTCGTGAGACTTATTCACTATCATGAGAACAGCATGGGAAACACTTGCCCCATGATTCAGTTACCTCCTACCAGGTCCCCCCACAACATGTGGGAATTCAAGATGAGATTTGGGTGGGGACCCAGCCAAACCATATCACCTTGTTCTTTGCCTTTAGACTTTATAAAATATTTATCCAGCCTCCTATTCTTTCCTTGAATTTTTCCCACTTACATAATGGTGTGTTTTGAGATTGAATAATTCTGAAAAAAAAAAAGACTTTTTAAATACAATTTTAAAAGAAATTAAAGTTAATAAAGTGAATAAAGTTGGTACACTTTTAAAAAATGTTTAAAGTTGGTACTAAAATGTCCTAAACATACTGAAAATACTACTGCCAATCATTAAATAAAGACCTATAAGCCAATAGAAAATAAGAAAATAGAAAAATAAGGAAAAGAAACAAATCCTTTAATGAAATCCACACAGCTCTTAAATATAGATAAAAAATTAGTGAAGAAGTAAGTACTCTCATACACCTGGTGAGACTATAAATTGCTTCAGCCTCATCTTTGAAGGTCACTTTTATGGTACCTGTTAAAATAAAAAATGTGCACTTTGAGTCAACAGTTCATATCTAGTAATTTCCCCTGAGACATACATTCATGTGAAGAAAAATATATACAAGATTATTCATTGTGACATTATTTATAATAGCAGAAGATTAGAAGCAAACTATCCATCAGTCAGGAGCCAGTTAAAATAAGTTATGGTTCAACCACACATTGAATTGGTTTTGACCCAAGTGTCTGGGGGTGGAGGGAGACCTTTGGCTGTATTCTTCCTTGTACCTTTTCTGAGTGTGACTTATTTTTAAAAAGGACAACTGTCAGAAGCCACCCCTAAGAAGATCATTTTTCTAAGGAATAATAACCTAGAAAGCTAGTATTTTCTATTTTGTAGGTTATTTTTCTGGGGAAAAATAGCCTATAAGTGTTTATCTTTATTCATTTATTTTTCTGTCTCTCTGACCAGAGAACAGGGCCCTTGTCGGCCTTAGTCATTGGTCCCCAGAAACTAGAAGAATTTTTACCAGATATTAAATGCTCAATAAATATTTGCTGAGTGAATCAATACAGTTTGTGCAGTTTAGTTCTTTTTAACATTTATTTACAGACTGGAATATTAAGCTTTATGCAAACCTAAGAGGCCATCATAAAAATAAAAATACATCATGTATATTTATTTTCCCTAAATATTCTAACCAACACGCAAAATAATTTTCCAAGTCTTAGACTAGTAATTGCTCAACTTGAATATGTTGTTTGAGCACCATTTGGTACAGTGGCTACTGAAAAGCACTGAGTGTTTCCTTTCATACTCCATTTATTCCCCCGCCTTTTGGAAGTGTTCAGACATTTTTACAGTTCGTGTTTGTCTAGCCAAAATATTTCACTGGAAGCCCATGGGGGTCTTTCTACTCCTCAGAAAGCGAGCAGAGTGTGAGTGTTTGACTCCCAGGGCACCATACTATAATAGCTATGCAACCTTGGCCAAACCACTGAACCTCTGTGAAGTCTTTGCTTCCTCACTGTAAAGTGGGGTTAAGAGTACTTCCTAATTGGAATTAAATGATAACACATGAGGCCAGGCATGGTGGCTCACACCTGTAATCCCGGCACTTTGGGAGGCCAAGGCGGGTGGATCACTTGAGTTCAAGAGTTTGAGACCACCCTGACCAACATGGGGAGACGCCCTCTCTACTAAAAATACAAAATTAGCTGGGCGTGGTGGTAGGCGCCTGTAATCCCAGCTACTCGGGAGGCTGAGGCAGGAGAATCGCTTGAACCCGGGAGGTGGAGGTTGCAGTGAGCCAAGATCATGCCATTGCATTCCAGCCTGGGCAACAAGAGTGAAACTCAGTCTCAAAAAAAGATAACACATGAAAACTCTGAATACATTGCTTGGCACATGGGCTCAATAATGTCAGTGCTATTATTATTTAGAGACAGGGACTTGTTCTGTCGCCCAGGCTGGAGTGCAGTGGCACAATCATGGTTCTCAGCAGCCTTGAACCCCTGGGCTCAAACAATCCTCCCACCTCAGTTGCCGGAGCAGCTGAGACTACAGGCATGTGTCACCACAGCCAGTTAATCTTTATTTATTTATTTATTTTGTAGAAATGGGGTCTCACTGTGTTGCATAGGCTGGTCTTCAGCTCCTGGCCTCAAGTGGTTTTCCTACCTTGGCCTCCCGAGGCACTGGGATTATAGATGTGAGCCACCACATCCAGCCAGTGCTATTATTATTGTTATTTATTTTTTATAATTTTTTTTTCGAGACAGAGCCTCGCTCTGTCACCCAGTCTGGAGTGCAGTGGCATGATCTCAGCTCACTGAAGTCTCTGCCTCCCGGGTTCAAGAAATTCTCCTGCCTCAGCTTCCCAAGTAGCTGGGACTACAGGCACAAGCCACCATGCCACCATGCCTGGCTGATTTATTTTTTAAGAGGCAGGGTTTCGCCATGTTGGCCAGGCTAGTCTTGAACAACTGGCCTCAAGTGGTCTGCGCACCTAGGCCTCCCAAAGTGCTGGGATTACAGGCATGAGCCACTGCGCCTGGCCAGCCAGTGCTTTTATTAATAAAATTAGTTCAGAATTAGGCCAGGTGCAGTGGCTTATGCCTGTAATCCCAACATTTTTGGGAGGCTGAGGTGGGTGGATCACCTGAGGTCAGGAATTCGAGAGCAGCCTGGCCAACATGGTGAAACCCCATCTCTACTAAAAACACAAAAAATTAGCCGGGCGTGGTGGCAGGCGCCTGTAATCTGAGCTACTTGGGAGGCTGAGGCAGGAGAATCTCTTGAACCCGGGGGGCGGAAGTTGAAATGAGCCAAGATAGCGCCATTGCACTCCAGCCTGGAACAACAGGAGCAAAACTCCATCTCAAAAAAAAAAAAAAGTTTAAAATTAAATAGTGGTTTGCTTCTTAGAATAATTTTTGTGTATAAATGACTGTCAATATTTTGGAGACTTTGTTTATACTATAATCATTTCCACCAACTCTTGCTTTGTGCGTAGTATATTTCAAGTTCTGTGCTAGGCCGGGGCATATAGTTACAACTGGGATGTGGTCTTTGCCTTAGAGGAATTGTTTGTGTGGGAGATAGATAGTTTCAGGACTTGGTGAGAAGTGCTGGGCTACAAGGAGCGTGAGGAGAGATGCTGACATTGACATCAGAAAAGGCATTCTGCAAGAAGTGATAGCGGAACTGAGACTTAAAACGTAGTGTTATTTAATGCATACTTTATTCATCTGGCATAAACTTAAAATGTCACAGACTGATAGGGAGTTAGAAGTAAGCTTTCCCTCCACTCTGACCTCCAGCTGCTCTGTGTTCCTTAAGAGCCACCACTGATTACTAAAGAGCCTTCCTGTTTGCGGAAGCAGGCAGAGTTTGGCGATTTGGGAAAGCACGTGTGGCTTGTGGAGCAGTTCAGTTCCACCAGAGTCCAAGAGCATGGGGTCAGATGGGGAGTGGAATGACAGTGGATAAGCTGGGGTGTTGAGAAGGAGTTTTCTCAGCCTTCATGTTAAAAAACAAAGCTACACTACTCCAAAAATGGGAAATGGTCTTAACGATCTAGCTGTCCACAAGCTGGTAGTGCCTGGCACACTGAGAGAGCTTTTAAAAGGCTGTTTAAATAATTCTGTGATTCTAAAAACATTCAAGTAATCATTTGACAGAAGCTGAGAAAGCGTTTTTTGGTGTATATGCTAATTAGCTAATTTTTTGACTTAAAACCGGTTGAACAAAAACATTTATAATAGTGTAAAAGTATTGAGTCATGGATGACATTTTCTCATGTTTTCCAGTTTCCACTGAAAACAAACAAAATCTATGATAACATTACAGAAAAACAATTTGTATTTTATCTTTAAAAGTTTAATGAAATTTTATATAGGTCATTAATGTAGCAGTGGATCATTAATTCAGTAGACATTTCTAGGACTCCAAGGCCTAGATGACCAAATACATGGGTAGTGTGTGTCATGGGAGGGTGACTTAAAGACTTTTTTCATTTGAGAAAGTATCTTTTATGTGACGCTAGCTGTGTATTAAGGTCAGCCTTGAGTAAATTATGGCTTGAATAGTAGTGACACACAACTACCTAAAAAATAAGAAAAATGGTTTTAAAGATCTGGCAAGCCACAAGGGAATAGAATTTTCTCTACCCTTTGACTTTTGATTCATATATCATCAGATTGTCTGAAGAGTATATGAACAGACATCTCTTCCAAATACAGGCGTACCCTACAGGTCACCTCTTTGTGTTGCTGGTTTTCCACTACAACATCTCTTTGTTTTGTTTTGTTTTTTTGAGCTGGAGTCTTGCTCTGTCACCCAGGCTGGAGTGCAGTGGCATGATCTCAGCTCACTGCAGCCTCCACCTCCCGACTCAAGCAATCCTCCTGCCTCAGCCTTCCGAGTAGCTGGAACTACAGGCGTGTGTCACCACACCTGGCTAATTTTTGTATTTTTTATAGAGACAGGGTTTCGCCGTGTTGCCCAGCCTCCTCTAGAGCTCTGAGCTGAAGCTATCTGCCCGGGTTGGCCTCCCAAAGTGCTGAGATTGCAGGCGTGAGCCACCGGGCCTGGCCTCCTCTTTGTTTTTAATATCCAAACTTCCTACAGCACAGCAGTCTTTCAATACAACGTTTTTAACTGATACTTACAAAGGCAACATTTATATTTATTTCCAAAAACTAATACAGCATTTTAAACAAAAACATATGCAGGAAAAATCCAGAATGCCAGCTCCAAATACAATCAGTCGATGGTGAGAGTCAGATGTGGGTGATTTGAAAGGCCTACTAATTTGCTTCTTGCTGGTGCTGGCACTGAGAGAGGCCACTTTCCCATCCTGAGCAGTTGATGTGAATCTTGTTTTTTTGTTTTCAGTTGTTAGCAGTCTTTTACATATTTTACAGACCAATACAATGGCTATTGTACATATGGGCATTTTACCCTGTTTTAGTTTCTTTTTTTTTTTTTTTTTGAAACGAGTCTCGCTCTCTCTCCCAGTCTGGAGTGCAGTGGCATGATCTTGGCTCACTGCAAGCTCTGCCTCCCAGGTTCATGCCATTCTCCTGCCTCAGCCTCCCGTGTAGCTGGGACTACAGGTGCCCGCCAGCACGCCCGGCTAATTTTTTTGTATTTTTAATAGAGACGGGGTTTCACCGTGTTAGCCAGGATGGTCTCGATCTCCTGACCTCTTGATCCACCCGCCTCGGCCTCCCAAAGTGCTGGGATTACAGGCGTGAGCCACCGCGCCTGACTGGTTTCATTTTTAAAAACTGGAGATTTTGAGTTGATGTGTAACACATTTTAATTTTTCCCAATTAAAATAGTGTGAAATATGCTTCATTTAGCATTTTCAGGAACAGGTTGGTGCTCTCAGCTAGGAGATTCCTGTGTTACTATTGTTTCATCATCTTAGATCAGCCAGTGATATGGTGGTTCTTTAAATGCATTGGGTATATATTTCCTATGGTCATTTTTTTCTGAATGCCTTCCTGCTGCCCACTGTATTTCAAGTAGTATTTTTCAAATTTATAGTATTTAGCTTATGATTTTTATGTTTTGTTTGTTTGGGGTTTTTTTGAGACAGGGTTTTGCTCTGTTGCCCAGGCTGGAGCACAGTTGCACAATCACAGCTCACTGCAGCCTCTGCCTCCTGGGCTTAAGCAATCTTCCCACCTCAACCTCCCAAATAGCTGGGACTACAGGTGCGTGCCACCATGCTCAGCTAAATTTTTATTTTATTTATTTATTTTTTTTAGAGACAGAGTTTGGCATGTTGCCCAGGCTGGTCTTGAACTCCTGGGCTCAAGCAATCTGCCCACCTGGACTTCGCAAAGTACTGGGATTATAGGTGTGAGCCACCGTGCCTGGCCTTTGTTCTTTTTTTATTATTTTTATGGTACTTATTTAGATATAAGCTTAAGTTTGGGGTTCATAGTTATAATCATACTATGTGCATAACTTTATCTCCTTTGTAACATAAGTAGTTTTCCATCCTGTGATAGAATCTTGCTCTATTTCTTCATAATGATAGATTGCCTTCCTCCAATACTTACCCATTTTCCCTTGTATTTTTATTTTTATGATGCCTTCTTATGTTTGCATAACATTTAATATACTAGACCATAAACAATGTTAAAAAGATCTGAACTGTCCAAACTGTATTCATTCACTCAACAAATATTTATTGAGTGCTTAATATCTGGTAAAGATTCTTCTAGCTTCTGAGGACAAGCGAATAGGCAGATAAGGCCCCTATTTTCTGATAGGAGAGATGAAAAATAAAAATATAACATAGGCTACTGCCACTGAACACAATGGAGCAAGACCAACAAAAGTGTAAACAAAGCCCAACCACTTGGTAATTCACAAGACTCAATTTTAATCTTCATTAAGTGAAAGGGAATCAAAACTACAATTATAGATACTTGTAAGATAGTGAAAATAAGAATATTGTATAACAATATTCAGAATTGGACCAAATGTGAATTATATCACTTGGGATTCAGATCAGCTGCATATAACATCCCCAGATAGTGAGTAGGTTAATCAAGTTAGAAATATCTTTTCTTCTAATGTCACAGAAGCCTGATTGTAGGTGAACCAGAGGCTGATACAGTGGCTTCACAGTGTCATCAGAGACTCAGATTCCTGTCTTCTTTGACATTCAACAGATGACTTTCATTCTGCAGTGTACTTCATGGTTCATAATGGTTGCTAGAGCCATCATGTTGGCATTCCAGCCTTCATTTTGAGTAGACAGTACAAAGATGTGTACAAGAAGGGCACATCTTCTTTCTTTTAAAATTATTTGCATAACTCTTCCATTTACATCTTTTTAGCCAGAACTAGGTGTCTTAGTCACCCCTTGCTAGAGGGAGACTGGGAAATAGGTTCTTTTAGCAGAGCAGAGTCAGCCCTCTGTATCCACAGGCTGTGTCCTTGCAGATTCAACCAACCACAGATTGAAAATATTCAGAAAAAAATAACAATACAACAGTAAAAAAATACAGTGTAAAGACTACCTAGCGTTTACATTGTATTAGCTATTGTAAGTAATCTAGAGATTATTTAAAGTATATTGGAGAATGTGCATAGGTTAAATGCAAATATGACATCATTTTATGAAGAAACTGGAGCATCCATGGATTTTGCCATCCATGAGGTTCCTGGATCCATTCCCCCACAGATCATATATTGCTGTGACCAAGTAGCTCAAGCATGCTCTGTATTTTTTTTTTTAACTCTTAAGTTCAAAGGTATACGTGCACATTGGTTACACAGATAAACTTGTGTCATGGGAGTTCGTTGTACAGATTATTTCATCATCCAGGTATTAAGCCTGCTACCCATTTGTTTTTTTCCTGATCCTCTCCGTCCTCCCATTCTCCACTCTGTGATAGGCCCCAGTGTGTGTTGTTCCTCTCTATGTGTCCATGTGTTCTCATCATTTAGCTACCACTTATAAGTGAGAGCATGTGGTATTTGGTTTTCCATTCCTGTGTTAGTTTACTGAGGATAATGGCCTCCAGCTCCAACCATGTCCCTGCAAAGGACATGATCTTGTTCTTTTTTACGTCTGCAAGGTTCTCTGCTTATAAGGACAAAGGGGAGAATAGGGATTGGTGGGCAACTAGTCATCTACTAGTTAGCTTAGTAAGCTAAGCATTAAATCTAAGAAATAGCAAAATAAGCCTATGGAAATTAGGAAGAAGGAAAGAATCAAGGTAAAAGAAAAAATAAATTAATTTGGAAAAAAAAAAAGAAACCCAAATATTTGACAAATCAGAGATTATTGATGCCTGTTACCAAAGTAATCTCAATGGTTTGGTGGAGATGGACGGCAGATTGTCATAATATTTGGCAAGAAAGAGAACAGATGGTCATCTTGGGAGGAAGGGTCACAGAAGGCTTTGGGGTTTGTGGGGGGGCTTTGAGGGGAGGGTTATTGGTCTGTTGGTTTGAAGTGGGGAGACTTGAACATGGACATGTAGGTAGAGAAGAAGATGTAAGAGAGTTGATCTTTATATATCTCAGTAGAGATATGTTTTATTTCTAATTTCTAGAATAATGGTTTCACCTGTTTCTCAGGATTCTTGAGTTATTGTGATATGTGTGTAAATGGTTTGTACTCGTTCAACAGAGTGTCGTAAGATTAAAAAAAAAAAATTAACATGAGTCCGAGACTCCAAGTTGGAACTAAGGTCACTTAACAAGGTTTACTTGAAAGTGATTTTTTTTTTTTTTTTTTTTGAGATGGAGTCTTGCTGTCTCCCAGGCTGGAGTGCAGTGGCGTGATCTCGGCTCACTGCAAGCTCCGCCCCCCGGGTTCACGCCATTCTCCTGCCTCAGCCTCCCGAGTAGCTGGGACTACAGGCGCCTGCCACCACGCCCGGCTAATTTTTTATATATATATTTTTAGTAGAGACGGGGTTTCACTGTGTTAGCCAGGATGGTCTCGATCTCCTGACCTCGTTATCCGCCCACCTTGGCCTCCCAAAATGCTGGGATTACAGGCGTGAGCCACTGTGCCCGGCTGTTGAAAGTGATTTTTATTTGTTCTAGGTCACACAGATAATGGATTTTCACCTAGCAGAGAATTGGGGGAGGGGGCACTCCAAGAGCACCCAGGTGGTTTGAACTGACATTTTAAAAAATAACCATTGCTTTCAATTTGTTTTTAATGATATTTCCTTTGAAATTTCAAATAGCATTGAAGGAACATTTTCATGTTTATCAAAAGTGGCTTGGGATTTAAAATGATTGTGACCCATTGCCACAAACAGATAACAAAGAAGTCATCGCGCACCACCCCCAACCCCCGGTCTTGACTAAGAGACCAGTGGCATTTTACCCCGTTACCAAGTAGATTTCATCCTCCTTAATTTCTTCTAAATGGAATCATTCACGGCCATTCACCTCACCACTTGTTTAAAAATTTTTAGCCTGGCTATTGCCATTTTGGAGATTAGAGCTGAACCTTTTTATGAGAATCATCATGTTTGATTTATGAAAAAGAGAATTTACAGGAAAGGGAAATTAAAAAGAATGATCAGAAGCTAATTTCTTTTGCTCATTCAAACTAGAAAGAAGGAAGCACTTTCTCAAGTTGACATTTGAAAACCTATATTAGTGCATCTGGGAAATGAAGATAATAGAAACTATATGGGTTCTATTTGATTTATGGCAGTGTGAAGATGGCTTGCTCTTCTGATGTGGGTCCATAAGAAACTCATATACATGGCAAAAACTCATTTGCCACTTTCCTAGGAATAAAAAAAATTTTGCCATTAGTTCCTTCATAGTCTGAGATATTGGATTGAAATAAATACCATTTATATTCAGCCATTTGCACCTTCCCTTCCACACACTGGGGGAAAAAATGTGTTTTGCCTGTTAGAAATGTTAAAAATCATGTAAATAAAATTTGAGCAGCTCTTAGAGTTTGTTAGCTTTTTCTCTACCAGTTTTAGAATCTTTCTGATGTGATATTTTTCTAGCTTTGGAGCTTGTCAAAAAAGGAAAAAAAATATCTATCTATCTATCTATCTATCTATCTATCTATCTATCTATCTATCTATCTCTCTATGTTAAAAACCTGAAGGGATATATCATCATTCATTTCTCCTCCTAACACGTGAACCACATCATGAGATGTGGGGAGACCCCGACCTGGTCCAGTGGCTGAAGGAACACTTCATTTTATTTTTGTTCACTCTTATCTGTTGACTCCATTGACTTTCAAAGCTAACTATTTAAAGATTTATGTCACCAGAAAGCACATTTCCCTTCTTTTCTTCTCCTGGCTTATGAAAGCAAATTACCATCTTTTGCCTTTATGTTCTTTGAAAATATCTGGTAGACTCTGAAAAACACTGGAGAATTCCCAGGTTGTAGGTCCATTTGTCTGTTTATAACCCATTATGACATGACCATGTCTTCACCATTCCTCCTAGCGTAAAGGCAGTGATTCTTTTTGGACTCCTGGTTGCCATTTTCTGGGTGTGGTAGGACTGAGGACAGGGATTAGAGGAAAGCTAGAGACTGCCTAGTTTTCTAGAACTTCCTCATAATCTCTGAAAGGGAAATAGGGAAGTAGAGAAGCAGAGTCCACAACAAACACAAACCTACCACCTTTGGTGTCATTCTCAGATCAGGAAAACAAAACAAAACCCAAAACAAAAAAACTACCACCTGCCCATCTCTTAGTGGAGGTGCAGTTTGGATACAGTCATTTCATTATCAAACACAAAGATTATATCCTACAACATCTGTGTGATAGGGGAAGTCAAGTTTGAAGAATTAAGCTCTTTAAAGCAAAATTTAGATCAAAGTTGGGAATTGTAGCAATCAGTGAAAACCCTTCTAAATATTATGTTCATTTAGTAAAAGGACCAAGGAAATAATGTTGAATAGAGAATATTAGTAACATTTTATACACCTTTAATTAGTAATGAGTACTATTCAATGAATTTCTACTTTTCTGTTTCTTTCTTGCAACTAAAATTTCAGATTCTCCTACAGCATCCACGTGATAATTATAAATTTGTTTTGTCCTGTGTTTGTGCATAGTAAATACAGGCCTTGTCTTTTTTTTCCCCCCTGTCTGACCCATGACTGAGCTATTGACTTTCAGGGTCCACTGGGCTCAAGAAACCCAGATAATTTCGTGCTTGAAATTAAAAACCTGTGGGTAAATTTTATTTAATCCATTTAATGTATCCTATTTCAAACTTACTTTCTAACACATTAGTTACCTATAGTGCACCCACGGTAACTTTACACCAGACCTCCCTAGAATTCAGCAGAGCTGCTCCAATTATTCAGCTGATTCTTTTCCTGCCATTATATTCTTCTTCTTTTTTTTTTTTTTTTGGAGACAGAATCTTACTCTGATGTCCAGACTGGAGTGTAGTGGCGAGATCTTGGCTCACTGCAACCTCCGCCTCCCGGGTTCAAGCGATTCTCCTGCCTCAGCCTCCCGAATAGCTGGAATTAAAGGTGTGTGCCACCACGCCTGGCTAATCTTTTGTATTTTTAGTAGAGATGAGGTTTCATGTTGGCCAGGCTGGTCTTGAACTCCTGACCTCAGGTGATCCACCCGCCTCAGCCTCCCAAAGTGTTGGGATTACAGGCATGAGCCGCTGTGCCTGGCTCACCATTAGAACCTAATTCTAAAGTGCATTTTTAAGGCCTGGGTTTGTTTTGTCTTTTAATTCTTACTTGTGACTGTAATCCAGAACCTTCTACTGCTCTGCCTTTTATTTTATATCCCTTTCTCTCTTACCAATACCTAGGTCTTTCTTTTTCCTAATGTCTCCTTTAGGAGTGATTCAGAATTCTTATATATTTTCATTTAAATCTTCACAGTTAAGGAAAATACATAGAGGAATATATCTACAAGCAGTAGCAGGATTTTGCAAACAGGAAACTGGTGTTCAAACAAGAATTATTGTGTCAGATGGCAGAATCTGAAAGTAGTTCTTTCTCAACAGAAATGGTAGTGACTGGTGTGAGGGGTCAGGAAACTGCAGCTCAGGGCCCAAATCTGGCGTGACTTGTTTTTATAAATAAAGTTTTATTGGAACACAGCCATGCTGCTGCTGCTTTTTTTGTTGTTGTTGTTGTTGTTGAGATAGGGACTTGCTCTTTTGACCAGGCTGGGGTGCAATGGCCCAATCACAGCTCACTGCAGCCTCAGTCTCCTGGGCTCAAGCGATCCTCCCACCTCAGCCTCCCCAGTAGCTGGGACCACAGGCATGCACCATCACACCTGGCTAATTTTTAAAATTTAATTTTAGTAGAGATGAGGTCTTGCTATGTTGTGCAGGTAGGTCTCAAACTCCTGGCTCAAGTGATCTTCTCACCTTGGCCTCTTAAAGTGCTGGGATTGTAGGCATGAGCTGCCACGCCTGGTCACCATGATTCTTGTTTACATATTGTCTGTGGTGCTTTCCTGCCACACTGGCAGAGTGGGGTAGCTGCCACAGAGACCATTTGGTTCTCAAAGCCTAAAATATTTACTATGTTTACATGGTATTTATAGAAAAAGTTAGCTGACCCCTGGATTAGACTCACCATTAGGATACTCGGAAACTGCTCTGCTAAGACTTTACTCATGAATTGCCCTATCTATAATGGCTTCCTCGTTCATCCTCCTGAATGCAGTGCTATTTCACCTTGCTCACCATCAGTTTCCTCTTGAAACTCTCTCCTTTGGGGGTTTTAGAAGATTTTGCTCTCATTGTTTTTTTCTTCTTTGCTGGCATCTTCCCCTCATCTTTTGACAATCTTGCTTGAGCATATCATTGTATCCTCCCTCACCCCGCCACCCTGTTTGCACACCTAGGTTCTGTTTCCGTATTTTGAACTCAACGTGCTGCTTACACATATTCACAGTTTTTTGTTTTTTTCTTTTCTTTTCTTTGAGACAGAGTCTCCCTCTGTCACCCAGGCTAGAGTGCAGTGGCATGATCTCGGCTCACTGTACCCTCAGCCTCCCGGGTTCAAGTGATTCTCCTGCCTCAGCCTCCCGAGTAGCTGGGACTACAGGTGTGGGCCACCACGCCTGGCTCATTTTTGTATTTTTAGCAGAGACAGGTTTCACCATGTTAGCCAGTTTGGTCTTGAACTCCTGACCTCTGGTGATCCGCCTGCCTGGGCCTCCCAAAGTGCTGGGATTGCAGGCGTGAGCCACCATGCCCTGCCATATTCCCCAGTTTTTTGCTGGCACCTTGGAATCTAAAGGAACACAACTGAGCTTATTGTCTCTGTTCTCAAGCCTGCCTTCCTCCTTGCTAGCTCCAGCTGTGTAGTTCTCCAGTCACATCACACCAGGGGGAGGTCATTTTTCTATTCTTGTAACATTTAGCCCCAGCCTTCACAGTTGCTAGATGATGTTTATATTAGGTTTCTTGGGCTTTCTTCCTAATGATTAAGGTAATACATGCTGAATGCATGCTTTTTAAATCTTATGTTTATGGGTGGGTGTGGTGGCTCATGCCTGTAATCCCGGCACTTTGGGAGGCCAAGGTGGGCAGATCACTTGAGGTCAGGAGTTCAAGACCAGCCTGGCCAACATGGCAAAGCCCCATCTCTACTAAAAATACACAAATTAGCTGGGTGTTGTGGTGCACATCTATAATCCCAGCTGCTTGGGAGACCGAGACAGGAGAATCGCTTGAACATGGGAGGTGGAGGTTGCAGTGAGCCGAGATTGTGCCACTGCACTCCAGCCTGGGTGACAAAGCAAGACTCAGTCTCAAAAAACAAAACAATACAAAATAGTCTTATGTTTATATATGTAGATGTATATTTGTACATACATAGCCATATTGTTTTAATGTATCATGCTATATGTATAATGTAGTCTGTTTTTAAGGAAAATAATTACTTTATCAAATTTGCTCTCATAAAATATACAGAAATATAAAAATGAAAACCACCCTGGTTGGACCCCCATTTCCTTCCCGCTTAAGTTTCACTCCCTAGAAGGAGTATCTATTTATAATTTAGAAACCATCTTTATTGACATGTTTAGTTTATACTAACTATACTTGAATTTTTAAAGTGCAAATTGAATCATGCTTTGCATACTGCCTACAAGTTGCTTTTTTTGTTTGTTTAACAATATGTTTAATGTGTTTTACCTCTTTGTATACAAGCAGTTTTACCTCAGTGTTTAATTAGTTGCATTGTATTCCATGGATATGTCATTCATTTTAACGACTTTCTTTTTTTTTTTTTTTTTTTTGAGACGGAGTCTCGCTCTGTCACCCAGGCTGGAGCGCAGTGGCGTGACCTTAGCTTACTGCAAGTTCTGCCTCGTGGGTTCACACCATTCTCAGCCTCCCAAGTAGCTGGGACTACAGGTGCCTGCCACCACACCTGGCTATTTTTTTTGTATTTTTTAGTAGAGATGGGGTTTCACCATGTTAGCCAGGATGGTCTTGATCTCCTGACCTCATGATCCACCTGCCTTGGCCTGCCAAAGTGCTGGGATTACAGTTGTGAGCCACCGCGCCTGGCCCATTTAACGACTTTCTGATGGTTACTTCCATTTGTCTGTGATTATAAACAGTTGAGCATACTTTTATTTTTCAATAAACTTGTATTTTGGAACAGTTTTATGATGGTAGATACCATTCTTTCACTTCCAGATATAGGACTCCCTTAAACATTTCTTGTACAGTCAGTCTAGTGGTGAGGAATTATCTGTTTTTACTTGTCTGGGAAAGACTTTATTTCTCCTTCATTTCTGAAGGATAGTTTTGCTGGATTTGATAAGCAGTTTTTTTCTTTCAGTACTTTGATTGTATCATCCCATTCTCTCCTGTTCTATAAGGGTTCTGCTAAGAAATTTGCTCTTAGTCTAATGGAGATTCCCTTATATATGACTTGACACTCTTGCTGTTTTTAGAATTCTCTTTCACTTTTGACAGCTTGACTATAGTGTGCCTAGAGAAGACCTTTTTGGATTGAATATATGTGGGGATCTTTGAGCCTGCTGTATCTGGTTGTCTATCTCTCTCTCTCAAGACTTGGAGAAATTTTAAACTATTATTTTATTAAATAGGTTTTTTATGCCTTTGTCCATTTCTTCTCTTTCTGGAACTCCTGAAATTCAAATATATGTTTGCTTTATGGTGTCCTGCATGTCACATAGGCTTTCTGTATACTTTTAAATTATCTTTTTTAAAAAAAATCCGAGTTGTTTCAAAAGTCTTGTCTTCGAGTTCAGAAGTTCTTTCTTCCACTCTAATCTCTTGTTGATGCTCTTGATTTTATTTTTTATTTCATTCATTGAATTCTTCTGTTCCAAGATTTCTGATTTGGTTCTATTTTAGGATATCTGTATCTTTGTATTGTTGATCTGTGTTATAATCCACTGAGTTTCCCCAAGATCATTATTTTGAATTCTTTTCAGGCATTTCATAAATTTCCTTTTCTTTGAGATCTTTTACTGGAGAATTACGATTTTCCTTTGGAGGAGATATAGTTTGGATGTTTGTCCCCTCCAAATCTCATGTTGAAATGTGATCCCCAATGTTGGAGGTGGGGCCTGGTAGAAGGTGTTTAGGTCATGGAGACAGATCCCTCAGGAATGAGTTGGCGCTGTCCTTGTGATAGTGCGTGAGTTCTTGCAAGACCTGGTTGTGTAAAAGTGTGTGGCACCTTTCTCCTCCTTCGCTCTTGCTCCCACTCTCACCAGGTGATGCACCTGCTGCCCCTTCACCTTCCACCGTGAGTGTATGCCTCCTGAGGCCTCACCAGAAGCAGGACACAGCACCATGCTTCCTGTACACCGTGCAAAACTGTGAGCGAATTAAACCTCTTTTCTTCATAAATTACCCAGCTTTAGGTATTCTTTTTTTTTTTTTGAGACAGAGTTGCTCTGTCACCCAGGCTGGAGTGCAGTGGCGCGATCTCAATATCAGCTCACTGCAGACTCCACCTCCCAGGTTCAAGTGATTCTCATGCCTCAGCTTCCCAAAGTGCTGGGATTATAGGCGTGAGCCACTGAGCCCGGCTAAGTATTCTTTTATAGTGGTGCAAATGGACTAACACAAGAGGTATCATGTTTTCTTGCTTCCTCATCGTTCTTGTGTCCTTATCATTGATATCTTACACCTGGTTTAATGGTCACTTCTTCCAATTTTATGGATTAGCTTTCAGAGGCAAAGACTTTTTCCTGTAGATGTATTTATACTATTGGTTGGGTAGTGGTTCTGGGTGGGCGCAGCAGTGTAGTCTTTTTATGACTTTTTTGATTGTAATCAATGTCAGTGGTGTCTGAGAGTTCCTCTCAGTGGCATAGGCTGTGGTTGTTAGTGGAGGCTGTGGTAGGGCTTTGCTGGGAAGGGGATACCAGCCCGATCATTCGTAAGGCACCAGTCAGTGGTGGTGGCAGCATGGCCCTGGATGGCAGACAAAGATGCCAGTGGTGGCTGTGGGGTCCTGGTCGGGCCAGTCTTTGGGCCTCCAGGTGGCATGCTCATGCAATAGTGGTGGCAGTCATGGGCTGGGCCTGTGTGTTCTTAGGCCCCAGGCAGTGTGCCATGGTGCTGGCTCTAGCAGTAGTGGCAGCGGACCAATCCTCAGGCCCCTGGGAGACACGCAGGTGGTGACAGTGGGCGGTGACAGGTGGAGTGGGTTGATCCCCAGGCTCCTGGACAGTGTGTGCAGATGGGCAGACACATCTTCATGCCCAGAGAAACCACGTTTTCAGGGCACCTGAAGGTGTGTGCAGGTACATTGGCAGCCCTGCCAGGGGTTGCTACTGGTGACTGTGGCCCTAGGCAGGTAGCTCCCAGGCTTTGGAGAACACATGTTTTGGCTCTTTTCGTCCTGGGAGTAGTCATCCTGGTGTGTTGGCCATCTGTTTCCCAAGGCATAGGACATGGGGTGGACTAGAGTGCTGGGGACCTGGCCACATCACTGGGTCTGGCTGGCATTGTGCTGCTACAGCCTTCTGGAAGAACATGGGAGATGCCAGCAGGGCTCCAGAGATGTGGAGATGCAGGGGCTATTGGTCTCCAGGGCAGGATGCAGTCTGGTGGGGGTTGAGCTCAATACGGTGCTGTGATGTAGTTGCTTGGGGCTCCTGGTGTGAGTGGGACCCAGTGTGAATTCTCTCTCTGGAACAGTTAGTCATGTGGATTCCAGAAAGCCTCCTGTACCAGGCTTAGGGCTTGTGAGAGCTGAGGGACTCTTCTGGGGGTAGGGTTGCAGGTGTCAGTGGTGGGGATGTGGGCCACTGGGGACCTCTCACTTACCTTTCCCCTTTCCTTCTGTGTCTTAGACATTCTCAGTCACTTCCCTGCCAAAAACCCCATATTGTCTCTTAGATGCTCTTTTCGAGGTGTGGTTATCTACTTGCTATTCTGGTCCTTCTTTGTGGAGGAGGTGAGTACCAAGCGCCTCTAGTCAACCATCTTGATGACATCTCCTATGACAGTTTTAGATTTACAGAAAAATTACAAAGATAGTACAGAATTCCCATGCACACCCCCTTTCCCAGCACACACCGTTTCTGTTATTGTTAACGTTTTACATTACTATGGTACATTTGTTACAATTTATGAACCAATATTTTTTGTTGTTTATTTTTTGAGATGGAGTCTCGCTCTGTCACCCAGGCTGGAGTGCAATGGCACAATCTCGGCTCACTGCAACCTCTGCCTCGTGGGTTCAAGCAATTCTCCTGCCTCAGCCTCCCGAGTAGCTGGGATTGCAGGTGTCAACCACCATGCCTGGCTAATGTTTGTATTTTCAGTAGAGATGGGGTTCCACTATATTGGCCAGGCTGGTCTTGAACTCCTGACATCAGGTGATCCACTCGCCTCAACCTCCCAAAGTATTGGGATTACAGGTGTGAGCCACCGTGCCCGGCCTATGACCAATATTAATACATAAAATTCATACATTTATTTAGATTTCTTTAGGTTTGGCTGAACGGATGCCCCTTTTATATTCCAGGATCCCATTCAGGATAGCACCTTACATTTAATGGACTTACTTCCTTAGGCTTCTCTAGGCGGGACAGTTTCTCAGACTTCCCTTGTCTTTGATACCTTGAAAGTTTTGAGCAGGACTGGTCAGGTATTTTGTAGAATGTCCCTTGATTAGGATTTTTCTGATACTTTTCTTGTGATGAAATCGTGCTTATGTGTTTTGGGGAGGAAGACCAGAGAGCTGTAATAAAATTTGTATATATTAAGGCTCATTCTTTGTGCTATAAAGTTCTGTGATTTTGATTAGTAAAGACTGTTATGTTTTAGGGGGAAAGTATGCACTTTCTTACTATTAAGTTTGCTATTGGCAGTAGGTTTTCTGTAGATATTTTTTATTATGTTGGGGAAGTTCCTCTTAATTCCTTGTTTGCTGAGGATTTTTTTTTTTTTTTTTTTTTTTTGTGATGGAGCCTTGCTGTGTCGCCTAGGCTGGAGTGCAGTGGCACGCTCTTAGCTCACTGCAGCCTCTGCCTCCTGGGTTCATGTGATTCTCCTGCCTCAGCCTCCTGAGTAGCTGGGATTACAGGTGTGCGCCACCACATGTGGCTAATTTTTGTATTTTTAATAGAGACAGGGTTCAGCTGTGTTGGTCAGGCTGGTCTCAAACTCCTGACCTTGTGATCTGCCCGCCTTCGGCCTCCCAAAGTGCTGGGATCACAGGCGTGAGCCACCATGCCTGGCCTGCTAAGGATTTTATCATGAATAGATGTTGGCTTTTGTCAAATGCTTTTCATCGTCAATTGATATGATCATATGATTTTTCTGTACTAGCCTGCCAATGTGTGATGTTGAATGAATTTTGAATGTTGAACCAGCCTTGCATACCTGGAATAAATCCCAGCTGGTCAGCAGGTATATTATTATTGTTATTATTTTTTTCTGGAGACGGAGTCTTGCTCTGTCGCCCAGGCTGGAGTGCAGTGGCATGATCTTGGCTCACTGCAAGCTCCGCCTCCCGGGTTCATACCATTCTCCTGCCTCAGCCTACCGTGTAGCTGGGACTACAGGTGCTCGCCACCACGCCTGGCTAATTTTTTTGTATTTTTAGAAGAGACGGGGGTTTCACTGTGTTAGCCAGGATGGTCTCGATCTCCTGACCTCGTGATCTGCCCGCCTCAGCCTCCCAAAGTGCTGGGATTACAGGCGTGAGCCACTGCACCCGCCCTCTTTTCATTTTTGATATTGGTAATTTGTGTCTTCTCTCCGTTTTTCTTGATTAGCCTGGCTAGAAGTTTGTTAATGTAATTTTATTTTTCCAGAGCCAAATTTTTGTTTTGTTGATTATTCTCTTTTGGTTTTCTCTTACCTATTTTATTGATTTCTGCTCTGACTTTTATAATTTATTTTCCTCTGCTCACTTTAGCTTAAATTGCTCTTGTTTTTCTACTTTCCTAAAATGAAGGCTTCGATTACTGATTTTTTTCACTTAGTAATATATCGTGATCCTTTGTCTAAGTATTATATTACCTCAAGTTTAAATTGCTGCATATTCATTAGTTGGGTTTGTCATGATTTTCTTAACCCATCTACTATTAAATAGCACTGCAAAAATTTATGTACACCTTTGCACATATTTCTGATCATTTACTTAAATTCTGGAAGGCAAATTCCAGGGATAGGAGGCTACAGTTGTAAAGTTTAACAGATATTTCCGAATTTGCCCTTTAGTAAGGTTATATCTCATGGTCTTGTCATTTTTGCACATTCTTACATGATGAAGTACAACTCCAGATGTTAATATTTCATCATTATCAGCTTTATAAACAATAACATATATGTCTGATTTTAATGTTAATGTTTTACAGTATACTATATCACTAAGGTGTATAAAAAGTGTACAGCTGACTTTCTGTAAGTTCAACTCACCAGTATAACTAGCAGTCCAAAGGCATTTTTCCTGTTTCTTCCCTGTCATCCCCCACCTCCAAAGGTAGCCACTATTCCCAATCATTCAATATAGTCTTTTATTTTGACTAGCTTCTTTAGTAGCATTATGTCTATCATTTAGCCATGCTGTATGTAGTAATAGTTAATTTTTTTCATTCCTTTGAAGAATTCCATTGTAACAATATCACAAAATTTTATTTTATTTTATTTATTTATTTATTTTTTTGAGACAGAGTCTTGCTCTGTAGCCCAGGCTGGAGTGCAGTGGCACAATCTCGGCTCACTGCAAGCTCTGCCTCCCGGGTTCACGCCATTCTCCTGCCTCAGCCTCCCAATTAGCTGGGACTACAGGCGCCCGCCACCACGCCCGGCTAATGTTTTGTATTTTTTTTAGTAGAGATGGGGTATCACTGTGTTAGCCAGATGGTCTCGATCTCCTGACCTCGTGATCAGCCCGCCTCAGCCTCCCAAAGTGCTGGGATTACAGACATGAGCCACCACGCCTGGCCCCAAAAATTTTTAAGTTGAGCCAGAGGCGGTGGCTAGTGCCTGTAGTCTTACCGGGAGGCTGAGGTGGGCGAATCCCTTGAGCCCAGGAGGTTGAGGCTGCAGTGAGCTGTGATTGCACCACTGCACTCCAGCCTGAGCCACAGAGCAAGACCCTATCTCTTAATTAATTAATTAAAATTGTTTCCAATTTGTGTCTATTATGAACATTGCAACTCTGAATATTTTTGTTACATGTGTCTATTGTTGTAATATGTGTTTAATTATTTGTGATATTGAAATAATTTATATTTTTGTTAACAATTTCTATTCTTTTTGAAGTATCTGTTTTGGTTCCTTGCCAGTTTTTTCTTTTGAGATGTTTGTGATTTTTTATGACTTGCAAATGTGTTTTATTAAGGACTTAAGGACTTAAGGTATGTGTATACATATACATATACATATACATATACATATACATATACATATACACACATTTATCTATATATTTTTAAAATTTTTCACTTTTTTGAATTGGAGTCTCACTCTGTTGGCCAGGCTGGAGTGCAGTGATGCGATTTCGGCTCACTACCACCTCTGCCTCCCGGGTTCAAGCAATTCTCCTGCCTCAGTCTCCTGTGTAGCTAGGATTATAGGTGCCTGCCACCATGCCCAGCTAATTTTTGTACTTTTAGTAGAGATAGGGTTTCACCACGTTGGCCAGGCTGATTTCGAACTCCTGACCTCAAGTGATCTGCCCACCTCGGCCTCCCAGAGTGCTGGGATTAGAGGCGTGATCCACTGTGCCCGGCCTCTCTATTTCTTTTTTAAGGTATGATAAGACACAGGGATATTTCACCCTCCCCAAGTGGATAAATGATTGAACCAGCATCATTTGTTGGATAATTCATTCTCTACCTCCATGATTTCTAATGGTGGCCTCTCATAATTAAGTTTCCATGTATGCTTGAATCTGTTTCTGAGCTTTCTACTGTGTTATATTGGTTAGTTTTTCTCTCTTGTCACTTACCTCACTAAGTTAGCATAGCTTTATAGTAAGCCTTGTTTTCTAGCATAAAATACATGCTATGTTCTTCAAAATTGTTTTTTTCCAGAATGGTCTTGCCTGTGCTTATCCTTTAATTACATTTTCATATTTATTTTAGAATCAGGTTTTGTTTTCACACACATACAACTTTGAGATATTGATTAGAATGCATTGAATTTGTAGATTAATTTGGAAAAGTTGCCATCTTTATGAAGCCATGTCTTCCATTTATTTTAAAATTGCCTGTCCTGTCACTTTAATTTTCTTTCACTAAAGCTTATGTTCTAATTGTAGATTAGGTTGGCTCTCTTTCTGAAATGTTAGATTACCACGTATCTTTTGGAATTTTGGTTTGCAGGCTCATCTTGAGTAGGTGTTATTTTTGCATGCCTGTGTGCTCTAACGGGCAGCTAGGTCCAATTCCTGGCCAGGAGATTGTTTCATTGTATGTTTTAACCAGCTTTATTTGATTTTCATTTTATCTGTGTTGCAGTGTGGATGTCTCAGGAGATGAATTTATAGCACTTATTTGACCATGTGTCCATTATATATATATTATTTAGTAAATAATGCACATTAGATAAAGAAGGATTTTGCATGGAAGGCTTAATTTTTGGCATCCTAATGTTAGTATAATAAGTGTGGTCTACTCTTCTTTCTGGGCTCATCTTCCTATCATTCCAGATTCACGTTCTTATGTGTCAGACATAAAGTAGACTGCTGTACCCCCAGGCATATCTTGTCACTAATAAGCTTTCCAGGGAGGAAACTTTATAGGCTTACTTCACGGACTGAGTCACCTTCTAAAGAGTCTGGTTTTTGTTTTTGTTGTTTTGCAAGACCAAGCTTCGGCACAGGGAGGTTAATTGATGGGTTAAAAACATTCTGGACCGGGCGCAGTGGCTCACGCCTGTAATCCCAGCACTTTGGGAGGCCAAGTTGGGCGGATCACAAGTTCAGGAGATCGAGACCATTCTGGCTAACACGGTGAAACCCTGTCTCTATTAAAAATACAAAAAAAACAAAAAAACAAAAAAATTGGCCGGGCGTGGTGGCGGGTGCCTGTAGTCCCAGCTACTCAGGAGGCTGAGGCAGGAGAATGGCGTGAACCCGGGAGGCAGAGCTTGCACTGAGCCAAGATTGCACCACTGCACTCCAGCCTGGGTGACAGAGCAAGACTCTGTCTCAAAAAAAAAAAAAAAAAAAAAAATTCTGAACATCCCTGGACTATAGAGTTTTTGCATTTGAATGATTAATTTTCCAGGGAGGGAGTATTTGCTATAATATTTGGGACTTTGGGAACTTGTAGATTGGTACAAGTAATATTTCTGGAGAAATAGACCTGCTCTAAGGCATATTGATTTTAGAGATGTATAGTTTGGGGCTGCCCTATATTCCTTTAAAATTTACTTTGTCTCAGTCGTTTTGTGAAGCATAATTTGGCTGTCTTAAATATCCTTCTCATACCCTGTCTTCTGCACACATGGAGTCCAGTTATTTCTATTCATTTGTATTTGATGCAGGAGTGATGGATAGATTTTGTGTGCAGGAACATTGCCAGAGATTTTACTTTTGTCAATATCCTCGGACATCCAAGTCAGTACGTTGCTTGAAGTCATGGGAGTCTGAGATGACATCCTGGTTTAGGCAATAACATGATCTTCTGCTGATTGATTTTTATGACATTGTTTCTCTTATTTCTGTTTACTATTCTGTAGATAGGGCACCTCTCTTGTTCATCTTGTGGTGGTGGTTTTAGATTTTTTAGAAAGCTCTTCTCCCAGATGGAAAGTATATAGAGTAGCCCTTAGGATTTTATAGTTGCATCTTTCTTTCTCTAGAAACCTTACCACTTATTTATTCTCTTTCAGCTATTTTGTCTTCAGCTGTTTACATTTTGTATTCCTTACTAGTCATTCGTTCTTTGAATATTCTCATTTCTTTGTCCTTTTCCATACAATTCCCATGTTGTAAATTTCCGCATTCTGCTTCTCAGGGCACATATCATTTTCATACTATGGACTGTCTTGTTCAAAATGTCAGTAAGCACCCTCATCTAATTTCTCCCAACCTCCAAAGGATGAGGAAACATTGCTCCATACTACTCATTTGATTTTCCCAAAGTGTAAATACCACAGTAGTATTTACACTAAAATTCCAGTGGGAATTTTATTTCTGCCATTACATGGTTACTTTGCTTACAGTCCCTCTTTTTCACATTCTGCTGCCAGTGCTCCGAGCCTCTTCTGTGTGCATCTTGCACCTCTCAGCTTTCTTGCGCTCATCTCTTCTTGTGGTTTCACCCTCCGCTTACTCCTTCACACAGATGATATCTTCCTGCACACTAACCAAGTTGCCGGGTGGATGTCAAGCTCTGTTTTTCTGTTTCCTGTTGTAAGTAACCTGTAGAGTACATGACTCTTCAGGCTCTGGCCACACTGTCCTACGATTCAGTTGATGTGCATGATCTTCTTAGGTTCTACTGAACTCAAGGCATGTCTTTTCTACTCTCTGCCAAATTTCTGATCTTTAAGCAGGAGAATTTTTTTTTTTTTTTTCTGAGACAGAGTCTTGCTCTGTCGCTCAGGCTGGAGTGCAGTGGTGTGATCTCAGCTCTCTGCAACCTCCGCCTCCTGGGTTCAAGTGATTCTCATGCCTCAGCCTTCTGAGTAGCTGAGTTTACAGGCATGCGCTACCACGTCCAGCTAATTTTTGTATTTTTAGTAGAGATGGGGTTTCACCATGTTGGCCAGGCTGGTCTCGAACTCCTGACCTCAGATGATCCGCCCACCTTGGTCCCCCAAAGTGCTGGGATTACAAGCGTAAACCACCACGCCTGGCAGAGCAGGAGAGTTTTAAGTATCTACTGTAATGGATAGCGGAGATCAGGCATATCAAGAGACTGTTAAACCCAACCAATCTCATCTTAAGTATCAATACTATTAAAAAGTGTGTATGTATACGTGTTTTCTGATCCCAAAACTTTTGTTGTATTTCCTTCTAAACCTTAATTTTTTTGGTGTAGATAGATTTATATTATTAATGCCATGCTGCGTTTATAAGTTTGTTTTCAGCTTTTAAAAAATTCATTTAAATTTTTTTGGTGTAGATATATTTATATTGTTAATGCCATGCTGCATGTATAAGTTTGTTTTCAGCTTTTAAAAAATTCATCATTGTAACATAAAAATTACCCCTTGCAGCCAGGTGTTATAGCTAATGCCTGTAATCCCAGCATTTTGGGAGGCCGAGGTGGGTGGATCACTTGAGGTCAGGAGTTCGAGACAAGCCTGGGCAACATAGCGAAACATCTCTACTAAAAAATACAAAAAAAATTGGCTGGATGTGATGGCATGTGCCTGTAGTTCCAGCTACTCAGGAGGCTGAGGTGGGAGGATGGTTTGAGCTTGGGAAGTCAAGGCTGCAGTGAGCTATGATGGCACTATTGCATTCCAGCCTGGGCAACAGAGCAAAACTGTCTCAAAAAAAAAAAAAAAAAGTTACCCCTTGTCAACAAATACTCCTCTAAAACAGTTATTCTCAATGGGAACGAGGTACAAAAAATAAGTCTCCCTCTCTTTCTGAGAGTCACATCTAGATTGACCCTGCTATTGTTAGGAGGATGTTCCTCAGATATGTTGGGGTTCGTGACCATTGTTCTGAAATAACATCTTTAGTGTTAGCTAAAGGGTGATATCATAAATCATCTAGCCATTCCTTGGGATTGAACATCTTGTCATCATCTTGAGTTTGTAGTGTCTCGTTATTATAAAGCTAGAATAAACATGCTTATTCATCAGTCTTTGTTCATAATTTTCATCATGTCCATAGGCTACATTTTTAGAAATGCAATTACTAGGTCAACAGATTTGAATATTTTTCAGATTCTTTAATCATCTTGCCATGTTACTTTTCTAAACGTTGGTACTGAATTACACTCCCACCGTCAATGAACAAATATGCCTGTCGTGCTAAACTCTAGGCAGCACTGAATATTGCTGTTTAAAAAAAAATCTTTGCCAATTTGATAAGCCCAAATAGTACCTCATTACTGCTTCAATTTGCATATCTTTGATTACTAGTAAGTCAGTACCATATTTTAGGAGACCATTTTATCTTGTTTTGACACAGCCTCAACTAGAGTATGTGTTGAATTGCAACTGTCAAGATAAATCATTGAAATTAAAAGCTGTAATCCTGGGTTATAATAACCTCATCCAGTCTATGTAGCACTGAAAGCTGCCTAATTAGAAGCAACAGAACTCTAACTCATGACTATATATTTTTAAACTTTTAATTGTGGATTTTTGTAATACTCAAGAGGGGAGAGAATAATATAACCAATTCCGTGTAACCATCATCTTAGCTTTGACAACCATCAGCATTCTACAGTTCTGATTTTCTCTATCTTCCCAGTTTTGGCAGTAGGGAAGGCATTGGAATATTTAAAATCTAATAACAGACATAATATCATTTTATCCGTGAATACTTCTGTATACAACATATAAAGAATTTTTAGGGCCAGGCGTGGTGGCTCACACCTGTAATCCCAGCACTCTGGGAGGCCGAGGCAGGCAGATCGCTTGAGCTCAGGTATTTGAGACCAGCCTGGGCAACATAGCAAAACCTCGTCTCTACAAAAAAATTACAAAAATTAGCCAGGTGCGGTGGCACACACCTCTAGTCCCAGCTGTTTGGGGGGCTGAGGCAGGAGGATCACTTGAGCCAGGGAGGTGAAGGCTGCAGTGAGCCAAGATCGTGCCACTGCACTCCAGCCTGGGCAACAGAATGAGACCCTGTCTCAAAAATAAAATAAAATAAAGACTTTTTAGGCCAGGCACAGTGGCTTATGCCTGTAATCCCAACACTTTGGGAGGCCAAGGTGGGTGGATCACTTGAGGCCAGGAGTTTGAGACCAGCCTGACAATATAGCGACACTCCATCTCTACAAAAAAATTAAAAATAAAAAAATAAGCTGGACATGGTTGTGTGCACCTGTAGTCCCAGCTACTCAGGAGGCTGAGGTAGGATAATCTTTTGAGGAGCCCAGGAGTTTGAATTCCAGGTACAGTGAGCTATGATTGTGCCACTGCTCTCCAGCCTGTGTGACAGAGCGTGAACCTCTCAACAAAAAACAAACGAAAAGACTTTTAAAATTTGAATGCCTCCTCCCAGTACTTTTTATATATAATATATAACATATATAATATATATAATATATAATTATATATAATACATATATACATGATTTTTAATAAGTTTTTAAATTGGAGTATACCATACACACAGAAAAGGGCACAGATCTTACATGAACTGCTGGATGAATTATTACAAAATGAACACAGCCAGCAAATAGCTCAAGAAATAGAACGTTAATAGCACCTTCAGAGTTCTCTCCTGGTCATCAGCCCCTCCCCTCTCTAAAAATAATTGCTATTTTGATTGCTAACACCGTAAGGTAGATTTGCCTGGTTTTGAATGTTGTGGAATCCTAACAATTTAAATTCTTTTGTGAATATATGTATTTTTTCTTTATGTATGTTTGTTAGATTCATCCATGATGTGTGCAGCTGTAATTCATCCATTTTCATTGCTATATGTCAATATATGAGTATGCCACGATTTATTCCTTCCACTATTGAGGGATATTCACATTGCATCCTGGTTGGGGCTATGATGAATAATTGCACTAATAACTTTTCTGTACATGTTTTTTGATATACATGTGGGCTAACTGATGTTCACTGTGTATTTGGGAGTGGAATTGCCACCTGATTGGGTGTTCTGCATTCAGTCATCATTAGTAGATAGTGCCAGACAATCGCACGGCCATATAAGAACATTCAAGGCTTTGGTCAATGTTTCTTTTGCATTGTCTTTTTCTTATTGGTTTATAGGATTTTTAAATGTATTCTAGACAGGAGTAAATGTCCCTTTCTGCTCTATGTCTTCTCTCTCCATTGCCTCATGACTTTTGATAAGAAGTAGCCAACTTCAATGTAGTCAGTTTATCAGGTGTCTTTATCTGGTGAGTGCATTTTATCCTGTTTAAGAAAGTCATGGCCGGGCGCGGCGGCTCACGCCTATAATCCCAGCTCTTTGGGAGGCCGAGGCGGTTGGATCATGAGGTCAGGAGATCAAGACCATCCTGGCTAACACGGTGAAACCGCGTCTCTACTAAAAATACAAAAAATTAGCCGGGCCTGGTGGCACACGCCTGTAATCCCAGCTACTTGGGAGGCTGAGGCAGGAGAATCGCTTGAACTTGGGAGGCAGAGGTTGCAGTGAGCCGAGATTGCGGCACTGCACTCCAGCCTGGGCGACAGAGAGAGACTCTGTCTCAAAAAAAAAAAAAAAAAAAAAAAAAAGGAAAGTCATGAAGAGAGTTTCTTCTGTAATTTCCTAGACATTGTGTTGTTTTTCCTTCCTTTCGCATTTTAAAGTCTATAATTTTTTTAAAGTCATTAAAATGGGGATTTTTTTTCCCACTGCAATGGGTATCATTTGATTCAATGCTGTTTATTTTTTTAAAAAACAATCCTTTCCTGCCCTGTTCTGCAGTGTCAGTTTTGTCATAAATTAAGTATCCTTACATGTTTGGGTCTGTTTTTATTTGTTTTTATTTATTTATATTTATTGATTGATTGAGACAGAGTCTCACTCTGTCGCCCAGGCTGGAGTGCAGTAGCGCGATCTCAGTTCACTGCAACCTCTGCCTCCTGAGTTCAAGCGATTCTCCTGCCTCAGCCTCCCAAGTAGCTGGGATTATAGGTACCCACCACCACGCCCAGATCATTTTTGTATTTTTAGTAGAGACGGGCTTTCACCATCTTGGCCAGGCTTGTCTCGAACTCCTGACCTCATGATCCGCCCACCTCGGCCTCCCAAAGTGTTGGGATTATAGGTGTGAGCCCCAGCCCCCTACCTACTGTTGATTTTTTATAAATACTCCACCATACTGAAGAAATTTCTTTTTATTCCTAGCTTTATGTGACTATTATCAATGGCTATTGGGTTTTTATCATATCATTTTTTTTGCGTCTATTGAGATTATATGATTTCCTTTATTCTGCTAATATGGTGAATTGCATTGATTTTCAAATAACAAACCAAATTCTATTCATGCAATAAACTCATCTTGGTTACTATGTATTATCTTTTTTGTGTATCTTGGGATTCTTTTGTATACTAATATTTAAAAGATGTTTCCATTTCTGTTCATGAGAGATGCTGAACTGTCATTTTCTTTCTTTTAATGATTTTAAGTTTTAATATCAGTATTATGGTGACCTCATAAAATGAGTAAGGAGAATAGGCCCTCTTTTTCTGTTCTCTGGAAGAGTTTAATATTTCAAATCAAACACCATAAATAATTATAGGACCATTTAGGTTTTCTGTTTATCAATTTTATTAAGTTGTGTTTTCTTTAGGACTTTGTACATTTCATTTAAATTTTCAAAATGACTTTGTGTAACTGCCCGTAATATTCAAATGCCAAATATCAAATATCAAATGCCAATTTGATAAGCCCAAATAGTACCTCATTCCTAGTAATAGTATGCATATTTTTATTTCTTATTCTTTTTTTTTCTTTTTTTCTTTTAAGATGGAGTCTGGCTCTGTTGCCCAGGCTGGAGTGCAGTGTTGCGATCTTGGCTCACTGCCACCTCCGCCTCCCAGGTTCAAGCGGTTCTCCTGCCTCAGCCTCCCGAGTAGCTGGGACTACAGGCATGCAACACCATGCCTGGCTAATTTTTGAATTTTTAGTAAAGACGAGGTTTCACAGTGTTGGTCAGGCTGGTCTCGAACTCCTGACCTTAGGTGATCCGCCCACCTCGGCCTCCCAAACTGCTGGGATTATAGGTGTGAGCACTGTGGCCGGCCTGTTTCTTACTCTTTCCATTAATTTGTAACTCTTGTTAAATTTTTTTACAAGTAATTTTTGGAATACTTGCCATCCTTATTTTATGGCATTTCTTCTATTAACTTCTGTTCTTTTATTTCCTTTTTTCTTATATTTATATTATTGTTTACTTTTTAACATCTTGTACATAGTAAATTATAGATGTTCATCCTTTCCATTTTAAAATTAAGAAATAATTTACTTTGCATAAAAATGACTTTTTAAAGTATATAATTTAGTGGCTTTTAGTTTATTTACAAAACAGTGTGACCATGTGGATTATTTAATTTCAGAACTTCCAATAGTGTCTGTCTTCTTACAGTTAGTATAATGTTTTCCAAGTTAGCGCATGTTATATAGCATGAATCAGAACTTCATCTTTTTTTTTTGAGATGGAGTCTCGCTCTGTTCCCCAGGCTGGAGTGCAGTGGCGTGATCTTGGCTCACTGCAACTTCTGTCTCCCGGGTTCAAGTGATTCTCCTGCCTCAACCTCCTGAGTAGCTGGGACTACAGGCACCCTCCACCACACCGAGCTAATTTTTGTATTTTTAGTAGAGATGGAGTTTCACCATATTGGCCAGGCTGGTCTCGAACTCCTGACCTTGTGATCCACCTGCCTTGGCCTCCCAAAGTGCTGGGATTACAGGCGTGAGCCACTGCTCCCAGCCTAGAACTTCATCTTTTTTGCTGAATACTATTCTCTTGGATGGATATGTACTATATTTTCTTTGTCCGTTCTTCAGCTGATGGACGTTGGCATTGTTTCCAGCTTTTGGCTGTTATGAGTAATACTGCTGGGAATATTCATGCACAGGTTTTAGTGTGAATATATGTTTCAGTTCACACTTATGAGTAAAATTGCTGGGTCATATAGTAATTCTATATTTAACTTTTTCAGGAGCTGCCAACTTGAAGCACAGAAAGTTTTAACTTTGAAAAGTCCATTGTATCTTTTTTTCCTCCTTCTGTTGCTTATGTTTTTGGTGTCATATCTAATTTCCTAATGCAAGGTGACAGAGATTTACCTTATGTTTTCTTCCAAGAGTTTTATTGTTTTAGCTCTTTGAGCAGTTTTGAGTTAATTTTGGTGGACAATGTGAGAGGTTCATTTGCCTGTGAATAACTAGTTGTCTCAGTACCATGTGTTGAAAAGACTATTTTTTCCCCATTGCATTGTCTTTGTACCCTTGTCAAAATCAATTGGCTGTTAAGTGTATGGGTTTTATTTGTGGACTGTCCAGTTCTGTTCCATTGATCTTCAGTTTTATCCTTATGGTGGTACCACATAATCTTGATTAACATAGCTTTGAGTATGTTTTGAAATCACAGTGTTTGAATCTTCTAACTTTCTTCTTTTTCAAATTATTTTGGGTCTTTGGGTTCCTATGCATTTCCATATGCATTTTGGGATCAGCTTTTAAAGCCTGCAAAACAGGCAGCTGGAACTTTAACAGGGATTTAAAATTTTGTATTGAGGTAGCATTCACGTAACATAAAATGAACTGTTTTAACATGAACAACGAAGTGGCATTTCATACATTTACAGTCTTGTGTAATTATCACCTTTATCTAGTTCCTAAACATTTTTATTACCCCAACATAGAATCCTGTACCCATTAAGCAGTTACTCCCCATACCTCGTAAACCAGTCCCTTATAACCACCAATCTGTTTTCTGTTACTATGGATATAGCTGTTCTGGAAATTTCATATAAATGGATTTGTGTGTTACGTGACTTGCTTTCATTCCTGGAATAAATCCCACTTGGTAATAATGTAAAATATTTTAATATGATGTATTTGGTTTGGTAGTATTCTGCTGAGAATTTCTACATCATAAGGGATTGGATTATAGTTTTCTGGTGATGTCTTTTTCTGGTTTGTTATGAAGATAATGCTGGCCTCGGAGAAGGAGGTGTGAAGTGTTTCCTCTGCTATTTTTTTTGGAAGAGTTTGAGAATATTCTTCTTGAAATGTTTGGCAATGAAGCCATCTGCTCTTAAGCTTTTATTTGTTGGGAGTTTTTTGATTGTTCAATCTCTTGACTTGTAGGTCTGTTCCGATTGTCCATTTCTCCTTGAGTCATTTTTGGTAATTTACATATTTCTAAGAATTTGTCCATTTAATTTAGGTTATCCACTTTTTTTGGTATATAGTTGTTCATAGTATTTTCTTATAATTCCTTTTATTTGTGTGAGGTTAGTAGTATTTTCTCCACTTTCATTTCTGATTTTAGTTATCTGTGTCTTCTTTTTCTTAGTCTAGCTAAAGGTCCGTTTAGTTGATTTTTTCATAGAACATACTTTTGGTTTCTTTGTCTCCCGAGTTGTTTTTCTGTTCTCTATTTCTTTTACCTCTGTTCTAGTCTTTGTTTCTCTTTCCTAACCCTGTTGATTTAATTTACTCTTCTTTTGCTAGGTCTTGGAGGAGAGTTAAGTTAATCATGTCGTTCATGTGTTCTGTGCTTTTACTCCTTTGTCTTTAATTGTTAGTTACTGAGAAAGTTCTTTTGTCTTATATTATTGGTTACTGAGAGAGATGTGTACAAATGTTCCATTGTGACTATGGGTATGTTCATTTCTCATTTTAGTTATGTCAATTGTTACTTCATATTGATGCTATATTGTTAGGTACTAGTATATTGTTATACTAGTTAAGAATTGTTACATATTTTGGGTGAATTGGCCTTTTTATAATGCCCTTCTCACCTTCTCATCTTAAAGTCTGTCTAATACTAGTAAAGCAACACTAGTTTTTTTTATGGTCAGTGTTTGCATAGTACAACTTTTTTCTTTTTGTTTTTATTTTCAACCTTTTTTGTATCTTTATATTTAAGTTATATCTCCACAAGACATTACCATTTTTGTGTCATGCAGTCAGTATTCATGATTTACCCAAAAATTTTCTCTCTAGTCTATCGTGCATCTCTGCTTCCATCTGAAGGACTTTTTAATAACATGTAATTGGGTTTGTTTTCTTAAACAGTTGGAAAATCTTTATCTTTTTGAGTGTTTATAGTTTGCATGAAATACAATAATTGATATATTTGAATTTAAATGTAGCATCTAATTATTTGCATTATTTTCCTCCCCTTTTCAGCTGTCTTTTTCTCTATTTTTTTGCTTTCTTTTGTTTTTAACTAAGGAATTTTATTATAAGTTTTCCATTCTGTTGGTTTTTTAGTATTTATTTTTTTATTATTGTTCTTTTAGTTGTTGCCCTAGTGATTGACGCAGGCATGCTTGACTTATTAAAGTCAATGTAAATTAACGTTTATATCATTTTATAAGCAATAGTACTTAGAATACTTAACTCCATTAACTCCATCCCAACTTTTATGCTGTTTTTGTTGTACATTTTACTTTTGCATATTTTTTGAACCCCACATGACCTTACCATTCTTTTTTTTGAGATGGAGTCTCACTCTGTTGCCCAGGCTGGAGTGCAGCAGCCCAGTCTCAGCTCACTGCAGCCTCTGCCTCCTGAGTTCAAGTGATTCTCCTGCCTGAGCCTCCCGAGTAGCTGGGATTACAGGTGTGTGCCACCACGCCTGGCTATTTTTTTTGTATTTTTAGTAGAAACTGCATTTCACCATGTTGGCCAGGCTTGTCTTGGACTCCTGACCTCAGGGGATCTGCTCACCTCGGCCTCCCAGAGTGCTGGGGTTATAGGCATGAGCCACTGTGCCCAGCTAAGACCTTACCATTCTTGTTTCATACATTCAGTATTCATGATTTAACCACAGATTTTCTCTTCAGTCTTTCCTATGTCTCTTCTTCCAGCTGAAGGACTTTTTAAAAAACAAACAAGCTGGATGTGGTGGCTAACACCTGTAATCCCAGCACTTTGGGAGTTCAAGGTAGGAGGATCACTTGAGTCCAGGGGTTCAAGACCAGCCTGGGCAACATAATGAGACCCTGTCTCTACAAAAAGTAAAAAAAATTAACTGGGTATGGTGATGCACCAGTGCACTCCAGCCTGAGTGACAGAGTGAAACCCTGTCTCAAAAAACAAAAACAAAAAAATTAAAAACAAAATATAAACACAATACCATTATCACTCCTAATACAATTAACAATGCATTTTAATGCATTTCCTGAAAATTCAAATGTATCTCATTTTCTCTGATAGTTTCCAAAAGAATGTGTTTTTATAACTTTTTTTCTCAGAGTAATATCTAAACAAGATTCTCACATTGTACTTTGTTTATACTTCTTGTAATGTGATTGCTCCAATCCTGTTTCCCTTTCTTGTGTGCTACTTATTTGTGGAAGAAGGTGGGTCATTTGTCATTAGAATTTGCAACATCCCGAATTTGGCTGATTGAATCCTTTTGGTATCTTTTAATATAGTCTGTGTTTCTTTGTAATTCCTGTAAAATGGTAGTTACAACTAAAGGCTCGATTGACGATATATTCAGTTTTTGTCAAGAATACTTAATAATTGTTGCTGTACTGTTTCCTAGTGCATCAATCAAGTGGCACACAACATCTGGTTGTTAAGATTGATTAGTAGATTTTCTACATAGATAATCATGCTATCTCTAAACAAAGACCGTTTTATTTCTTTCTTCCAAATCTGTTTTCTTTGTATTCCCCTGTCTTGTCTTAACAACATTGATTAGGACTTCCAGTACCATGTTGAAAAGCAGTGGTGAGAGAAGACATCCTTGCTTTGTTCCTGATATTAATGGGAAAGCTTCCAGGTTCTTGCCATTAAGTATGATGTTAGCTGTAGGTTTTTTGTAGATATCCTTATTAAGTTGAGAAAATTTTCCTAGTTTGCTGAGAGTTTTTATTATGAATGGGTGGTGAATGGTGTCATATGCTTTTTGGCATCTATTGATATGATCACGTGATTTTCCTTCTTTATCTTGTTGATGTGATGGATTACATTAACTGATTTTCAAATGTTGAATCAGCCTTACCTACAGATGGGTTGCAGGCAAACAACCCATTTTGTTTGCTTACATACAAGTGGCAAATGGTTTTCCTGGGAGTATTTTAGTGGAGAACTGTGAGAAGCTCTATTGCACAGTGCTGGTCTTTTGTTTGATAACCAAGATGTCTGTAGTTAGACTGTTTGGGACATTTGTCACATTAGGACCCCCTTCCCCTATGCTCTTGGGATATTCTGAATTTACCATTATGCTGCTTATCAGATTAACATTTCTGCATGTGCTTTTTTCCCCCATTACAAAAGTTTTACTCATTTACTGTAGAAATTTGGGGCAATACAGGAAAACATAAACCCAAACGGGATAAATAAAAACATTTTATGAAATTTTTAAAAGCAGGCAGAGATAAAGAGAGATTACTTTCAAAAGAGCAACAATAGGCCAGTACTTGATTGCACAACAGAAATGAGAGCACAAACCATGGAGCCTCAAAGGGCTGAAATTTGCCAAGAGCTGCCAATCTAGAAGTCTGTTCCCAATGAAAATATTTTTCAAGAGTGAAGGAGAAAAAAAAAGTTTTGAAGAAGACAAAATGCCTACTTAGTAAAGGAAATAGGTTAAAAATCAATAAGCTAAATGCATATATTGAGAAGTTAATTGGTACCCACAATGTTTTTTTTTTTAAAAAAAAGAACAGAGCAGTAAATTAAACATAGAGTAAGTACTTGGAAGGAAATAAAAAGAGCAGAAATTAAGGAAATAAAAAACATCCATAAAATAGGATTATAAAAAAGCGGAAGTTGGTTATTCAAAAAATCTTACAAAACTGATGATTACCTGGCAAGTTTGATCAATAAAATGAGAGATGGTACAAATAAGTAATGTTAGAAATGAAAATGAAACATCACTATAGATCCTATAGACATTAAAAAGATAGGAGGATATTTTGAATTACTTTATGCCAATTAATTTGGGAATTTAGATGAAATACACAAATTCCTAGAAAATGAAGCTTAAGAAAATTAATACTAGATGAAATGATCTACATGGACTTATAATTGTTAAATAAATTGCTTTTTTAAATTTAAAACCTCGTCCAAAGGAAACTCCAGGCCCAGATGATTTCATCGTTGAATTATACCAATTCTTGATGATACCAGTCATCAGGAGAACTAACACCAACCCTACACAACTATTCCAGAGAGGAATAGTAGCACTTTCCATCTCATTTTATTAGTTCAGAATTTTTTTTTTTTTTTTTTGAGATGGAGTTTTGCTCTTATTGCCCAGGCTGGAGTGCGATGGCGTGATCTCAGCTCACCGCAACCTCCACCTCCTGGGCTCAAGTGATTCTCGTGCCTCAGCCCCACGAGTAGCTGGGACTACAGGCATGTGCCATCATGCCCAGCTAATTTTGTATTTTTAGTAGAGATGGGGTTTCTCCATGTTGGTGAGGCTGGTCTCGAACTCCCAACCTCAGGTGATCCACCTGCCTCAGCCTCCCAAAGTGCTGGGATTACAGGCATAAGCCACTGCGTCCAGCCAGTTCAGAATATTTATACCAAATTCTAAGAAGAATAAGACAAAAGCGATTTTTACTCATAAGCATAGAAGCAAATATTTTAAAGAAAAGATCAATAAACTAAATACAGCAGTCTATAAAACCATGAAAAATTGGCTTTATTCTAAGAATGCGAGTTTTGTTTAATGTGTAAAAATCAACCTATTTATGATGTCATAATAAAAAGAAAGCTGGTAGGATAAGGTTAATAGATGCATAAAAAGAATTTGACAGAAATCAATATTTATTTATGATTAAAATCTTGTAGCCAATTAGGATTAGAAGGAAACTTCCTAATCTGATATATTTACCCATAAAAGTCATACTTCTTGAGTAAATGTTTAAAATCTTACTGTGCAGAATAAGACAAGCATACCCACTATATTTATCACCACTTCCATTTAACATGGAATCAAAGTTCTGGCTAGTGCTAAAAGACAAGAAAAAGGGGAAAAAGTTATGATTGGAAAGGAAGATGTCATTTTTAGTAAATAAATGTGTACATAAACAATCCTTTCCAAAATTTGTAATTATTCGCTTTAATAAATGTATTTTACAAGACTGCTATATAGATACACAGTCAGCTTACAAAAATCAGTTATATTTCTGTATACCAGCTATTAAAATATCAGTTAAATATTAGTTAAAAGAGGAAAAATAGAAAAGATACTACCATAACAAAGCATCAAAAGTATATTACCTAGGAATAAATCTATGGAAAGATGTTTTTGACCTTTATATTGAAAACTATAAAATATTATTGAGAGAAATTTTAAAGGATCTAAATAAAGGTAATTATTTTGGCAGATTCAGGGTTGTAAAAGTATCATTTCTCCATACACTGATTATATTTATTTATGGTAGCCACTAGCTACATGTGACCATTGAGTACTTGAAACGTGGCTACCCTGAATTGAGCCGTGCTGTGCATTGGAATTTAAAGACTACACTTGATCTTAGCCAAAAGGCCAAGAAGCGATGGAATTCAAAGACTTAGTCTGGTAAAAAGAATGTCAGGTATCCCAATATTTAAATATTGATTTCTTCTTGAGTTGATAATTTTGAGGATATGTTAAGTTAAAATACATTAAAAAAAATTTCACCTGTGAACTTATATTTCTGTTGAGCAACACTGGCTTATAGATTCAATGCTATATCAGGCAGAATCATAAAGGGTTGTATATGTTTGTGGAAATTAATAAGCTGATTCTAAAATGTACATGGATATGCAAAGGGCCAAGAATGGCCACCATACTCTTTCAGAAGGACGACATAAGAGAACTTGCTCCACTGTAGGATTTTTCAACATTGGCACCATCGACATTTTAGACTGGATAGTTCTTTTTAGGAAAAGGGTTGGGGAGACTGTCCCGTGCATTGTAGGATATTCAGCAGCAGCCCTGGCCTTTACCCACTAGATGTCAGTAGCAGCCCCCATTTGTGAAAACCAAAAAATTTTCTCAAGATGTTGCTAATTGTCCCCTGCGGTGCAGAATCGCTCCTGGTTGAGAACCGTCTCTATTGGATATCAAGTCTTAGTGTAGAGCAACAGTAATTAAAAGTGTGATATTGAGACAATGAGAAACAATTAGATCAGTGGAACAGAATAGAAAAAACCAGAAGCAGATCCTCACATGCATAGACAATGATTCTATCATATTTATTACAGTGGACTATCCATATGTTAAATAAGTTTAACTTCTCAACACCACACGCAAAAGTCAGTTTTGGTGGATTTTTGACACAAATGTGAGTGGCAATATGATAAAACTTTAGAAAAAAATGTAAGAGCTTATCTTCATGCTCTTGATAGCATGGAATGATCCGTTAAAGAGACACAAGAAACACTAATATGAAAGAAACGCTAATAAGGAAAGAAAGTGGAAATGTGTGAAAGTTAGGAGTTCTTATTGATCAGAAGACATTGTGAAAAAAAGGAAGCCATAAAGTGGATGAAATTATTTCTAATACGTTTATAACAGAGCTTTTCTTTCCAGCAAATGCAAATAATTTATTGAAAATCAGTTGGAAAAAAGACAAATATTCCAACAGAGAAATATTCAAGACATTTGAACCAGTACTTCACAAAAACAGAGATACAGATAGCCAGAAAACATATGAACTCAGCTTGCTTACATCCACAGGCAGATGCAAAGCCAAAACAATGCAAAAGTGGTGAAAACTAGCAACACTAAGTGTTGTTGAAGATAACAACCAACCAAAACTCTGATACAACGCGGGTGAAAGTGTGGCAAAATGACTTTGGCAATCAGATTGCCAATATCTGCTAAGGTCGAATGTATACATATCCCCCATGACCCAGCATGTCCATATTTAGGTAGATCCTAGAAAATGTGTGTTCTTGTGCATCAAGAGACAAGTACAGCTGGGCACGTTGGCTCATGCCTGTAATCCTAGCACTTTGGGAGGCCAAGGCAAGAGGATTGCTTGAGCCCAAGAGTTCGAGACCAGCCTGGGCAACAAAGTGAGAGCCTGTCTCTACAGAAAAAAAAAAAGAAAAAAAAAAAAAGCTAGGAGTGGCAGCATGTGCCTGTAGTCCCAGCTACTCAGGAGGCTGAGACAGGAGGATCCCTTGAGACTGGGAGGTTGAGGCTGGAGTGGGCCATGCTTATGCCACTGCACTCCAGCCTGAGTGGTGGAGCCAGACCCTATCTCAAGCCAGAAAAAAAAACAGGAGGTGGGGAGAGGGAGAGAGAGATGAGTACAGTAGCACTCATGGCAGCAGTATTTTCTAAGAAACCCAAAGTAGAGGGTTAAAATCGTTCACTAGTAGTGTGTTCATACAATGTGGCCATAAAGATGTATTTATGGTGACACATAAGTACCATGCACTCTACTGGGCCACTGGAGCTCCAGTTACATCAACAGCATGAATGAATCTTGCAAACATCGAATTCAGTGAAAGAAGCCAGACACAAAAGAATGTATGTCACAGTAGCATTTTATAAAATTTCCTTAAACAGGCAAAACTAAACTCTGGTGTTCAAAGAGATAACCACATTGTTTTATAATAGCTAAAACCTGGACATAATCCAAATGTTTAGGGAATGGTTGAATAACTTGTTGTATATTCATGCAACCCAATACTGGATAATGAAAATGAACAAACCTAAACATGGAGCAACATAGGTGAATTTTATAAACACAGTGTTGAGTGATAGACACCAAACACAAAATAATGTATGATTCCACTGACATAAATTCCAAACACAGGCAAAAACTAGACTATTATGTTAAAGTCAGGATATTAGATATTAGTCAGGTGAAGGGAGTGGATATTCACTGGGAGGAGCAGAAGGGTGTCTGGGTGATGGGCATTTTGTGATAATCCCTGGAGTTATACATTCATGTTTTGTGTACATTTCTCTTTGTGTTTCATTTCACAGTTTTAGAAGATTTAGCAAAGTGAGAGAGAGCCTATTCTGGTTCCTACTGTTGCATGACAGGTGAGCCCCAAAACCGGGGCTTAGCTTGGGAGGATTTTTGGCTTTGTCCAGTAAAGAATTCAAGGGCAAGCCGGTGGTGTTAGACGGGAATCTTTTATTGAAGGGTACAGCTCCTTGCAGAGCAGGGCTAACTCATAGGCAGCGCACCCAGAATGGGCATTGTATGGGCTCCTGGCAACTGTATTTATGCACATATTTACATGCAAATTAAGGGGCAGGCCAATGCAAATAAAGGGATGTGTTATTTAGAACTTTCTAGGAAAGGGGCAGTAACTTCTGGGTTGTTGCATGGCATTTGTAAACTGTCATGGCCCTGGTGGGAGTGTCTTATGCTAATGAATAAGAAGGCTATCTTGGGATCACCTTAGTGGCCATCTGCTGGTTCCTGCTGGTTTCTTCACTTCATCCTGTCTGGACCTGTTTTGGTCAGCAGGGTTGTGACCAGAAAACAAGTCCTGCCAGTCTCCCACCTCACTACTGCTTGGGTTCACACCCCAGCTTTGCTGCTCTCCAGCTGTGTAACTTCAGGCAATTTACTTAACAGCTGTCAGCCTCACCTTCGTATCTGTAAAGTGAAGATAATAATCCAATCTATTTTGTGAGATTTGTTGTAAAGATTAGACAGATATTGGAATCTTTGCCAAGCTACAAAGCACTTTATAACAACAGCTGGCACATAGTAAGGGCTGAGTAATTGCAAACTCCTGCTATTATTTTTATGGTTACTGTTGCCAGTTTATTTGTTCAGATGAATTGTAAACTCTCATTGGAATTACATTATATTTATAAATCCATCATGGCTCTCCATGTAGATGGGTTTTTGTTTAGGTCTCTTAGAAAAGTTTATTTTACTCACTGTCCTGCATGCTATTTCATAATTTAATCATTAGGAATATATATATATATATATATTTTTTTTTTTTGGCGGGGGACAGGGTCTTGCTGTGTCACCCAGGCTGGAGTGCGTTGGTGTGATCATGGCTCACGGCAGCCTCCACCTCCCAAGCTCAAGCAATCCTCCTGCTTCAGCCATGCCCAGCTGTTGTATTTTTTGTAGTGATGGGGTCTCTTTATGTTGCCCAGGCTGGTCTCGAATTCCTGGCCTCAAGTAATCCTCCCATCTTGGTCTTCCAATGTGCTGAGATTACAGGCGTGAGCCAGTGCACCCAGCTGAAACACTAGGCATTTCATAATTATAAGTAGAATATGCTTTCTCTTGAATTTTGAAATTGCTGATTGCTGGCATATAATAGCTAATATTTGGTATGATACGCTGCTGCCAAGCTTGGTTCCAGATTCCACATGCTAAATGCTACATTCAGGTAGAAACTAAGAACAGAGAGGTAATGATACCTAGTACATGGGTTGGGATTCATTCTGGCCCCCGTGTCCACATTTAACTCACTACCGTATCCTTGGAAAGCTGTTGGTTTATATATATATATATATATTTATATATATATATATATAATTTTTTTTTTGGTAACTGGCCTAATCTCATTTTTAGTTGATTCTTTCAGGTTTCCAAGAAGCCAGTCATATTATTTACAATTAATTATTTTTCGTATATTCTCCAGTAATTCTTATCCTGGCCTTGTTGCTTTGATTATAACTTGTAGAAAAGTGTTTTTTAAGAAAGAGCAGAAATTCTTCTGTTAGTCCAACTAAATAGAAATGCATTTATTTATTTATTTATTTATTTATTTGAGACAGAGTCTCACTCTGTTGCCCAGGCTGGAGTGCAGTGGTGCAGTCTTGGCCCATTGCAACCTCTGCCTCCCGGGTTGAAGCAATTCTCTTGCCTCAGCCTCCCAAGTAGCTGGGATTACAGGCGCCTGCCATCATGCCTGGCTAATTTTTGTATTTTTTAGTGGAGATGGGGTTTCACCACGTTGACCAGGCTGGCCTCGAACTCCTGACCTCAAGTGAGCCACCCACCTCGGCCTCCCAAAGTGCTGGGATTACAGGCGTGAGCCACTGCGTCCGGCCCCTCCATTTTTTTAGCCAGTAAGAGTAGTGTTGACTATTGACTGGAGAATGTTGTGGATTTTTTTTTTTTAATGTTAAGGATGTGTTTAATTAACTGAATTTACCAAATGGTGTTTGATTTGCTCATTCTGTTTTGTTTTAAAAGCAGGGATGGCTTTTAAACTATATCAGATACCTTTGGGTATCTATGAAGATGATCATGTGGTTTTTCTGTGTTGAACTACTAGTATAATGAATTGTATTACTGTATAGCCTAATATTGAATTGTTTTTGCATTCCCGGAATTTTTAACAAAATGCTGAATTTTACTTGCTAAAATTTCTATAAGATTTTTACATATATAAGTATGAGTGAGATAGGTCTGCAGTTTTCTACTATTTTTGTTAGCTTTTGGCATTGGAAGAATTATATGTAAAGGGAATCTGGAAGATTTCTGTCTTTCCTTGCATGATATACTGCATTTTGGAAGGAACTTTTGAGTACACATGAGTAAATATGCTTGGAAAACATTAATTTCTGGTGTGGCTGCCTAATATTCCTTATTAACGATCTCTTAGTTTTCTTCAATGAAGGTCTCAAGTGTTTCTTCTTTTTTATTAATGTTGGAAGTTTTCAAACATAGACTAATAAGATTGGTATCATTTTGTGCATCCCTTTCACTTTACTGTTTTTTTTTCTTGAGTATTTTGAGCATTGCTACTTCAGGTGTGGTTTGAGGGTTGGCAGCCTGAGTGTTACCTGGGCATTTGCTACAGATGCATGTAATCATGTACATAGAACCACATGCATCCCATCACCTTTGCCATAGTCTGTTGGTTATAGGCAAGTCACAGGTCCTGCACCTACTCAAGGGGTGGGTCTCACTTTAGATTTTAAGCCATTCTTCTTCTTATTTTTATTTATTTATTTATTTTGAGACAGTCTTGCTCTGTCTCAGTGCAGTGGCGTGATCTCAGCTCACTGCAACCTTCACCTCCCAGGTTCAAATGATTCTCCTGCCTCAGCCTCCCAAGTAGCTGGGATTACAGGTGCATGCCGCCACGCCTGGCTCATTTTTGTATTTTTAGTAGAGACGGGGTTTCACCATGTTGGCCAGGCTGGTCTCAAACTCCTTACCTCAGGTGATCCCCGCACCTCGGCCTCCCAAAGTGCTGGGATTACAGGCATGAGCCACCACACCCGGCCTTAAGCCATTATTAATAATGTTGTCCTGAGATTTTTTAGTGTTTTTGAATTTTTAATCATTTGTTTTGGGTTCTAAAAGGGAGCTACAAAGTCAGAGTGTAAGCTTTTTAAAGGCTTTAATGCCTAGTGTCTAATTACATTTTCAGAAATCTAGCTTGGCTCAGTGGTGTGTGCCTATAATCCCAGCCCTTCGGAAGCCTCAGGCATGAGGGTCACTTAAGGCCGAGAGTTCGAGACCAGCCTGAATAACATAGCAAGGACCCCATCTCTAAAAAAATTTTTAAACTTAGCCAGGCGTGATGACGTGTGCCTATAGTCCCAGCTACTTGGGAAGCTGAGGCAGGAGGATCACTTGAGTCCAGGAGATTGAGGCTGTGGTGAGTTAGGATTGCACCACTGCACTCCAGCCTGGAGGGCGAGACCCTGTCTCTAAAAAAATAAAGAAGAAAAGAAAGCAAGCCAGTCCCTCTTGTGGTTATATGGCACACAAATGGCAACATTGATAATCCATCCATGTGCCTTTTCTGCCAGCAAGAAATGCCAAGAGATCATTAAATAATGAGGGAGTAGGAAAGAAGACAGGACTTACTAACAATTCTTGTCACTAACAACTTGGGTGATTATTACCTGAAAGCCTAGAGGGTATTTCAATTAATTTTTTATAGCCTAACACTGTTTGGTCAGTTTATCATTCCTTACTAAATGTAATTCAGTGTGTCTGTGTCAAGAAACCTCTGGGTGCCTGGCATAGTGTTAAATGTTGTGGGGAAGAGAAAATAAATATGTCAGTATCTCATGTGCCTTCCATAAGGCATGTTAGAATCATAGTGTTTATTTTTGTTTCATCTTTCCTCAAAATATAGCTTCAGTTTACAAAAGTTCATGATGAGTTTTGCCTGCCCTGGGTTCTCTGGATTGAAAAAGCTTGAGAAACCCTCTAGGTTAAGAGGTGACGTCCACCAAGATAACAACGAACTTGGCTTTTCCTTTGTTTTAGCAACAACGAACTGTCTACAGACTGACGCTCGTGAAAGCATGGAACGTGGACGAGCTCCAGGCCTACGCGCAGCTCGTGTCCCTGGGGAATCCTGACTTCATCGAAGTGAAGGTAAGCCCCTGCTGACTCTGGTGGCTGTGGTGGAGTGACAAAGAATCGTGGTGCTTCGTTGGCCATCGTGGAGTTAAAACCTTGTAAAACTCTAGAGGTCCCAGGAATTTTATTGATGTATTCATTTCGTGATCGATATTCATCAAGAACCTGGAATTGTTCTAGGCCTTGGGGATAATAGCAGTCAAGAAGACCAAGCTCTTGCTCTTATAAAGCTAGTATTTTAGTGGGAGGATGGACAGTCCACACAAAGTGAGTCATTAAAAACCATGTAGTGACATGAATATGCTGAGAAATAAAATAGTGTGGTGGTGAGTAATTGGTTGGCTTTTACATAAACCTTTATTTCAGACATATACGGAAGTAGAGAGATTGGTCTAATGAACTCCCATCCAACCATCACTCACCTTCAAAAATGATCAACTCATGACCCAGAGTTGTTTCAATTATACCTTTACCCATTTTTTCTGCTCTTAGCCCAGATTATTTTAAAGCAAACCACCAAAATTATATCATTTACCCAGAATTATTTCAGCATATATTCCTAAAAGATTTCTACTCTTATTTTATTTACTTTATTTCATATTTTATTTTATTTTATTTTATTTTGAGACAAGGACTTGCTCTGTCACCCAGGTTGGAGTGCAGTGCTGTGATCGTAGCTTACTGCAGCCTCCAACTCTTGGGTTCCAGTAGTCCTCCTGCCTCAGCCTCCTGAGTAGCTGGGACTAGAGGTGCACGCCACTATGCCTGGCTATTTTTTGTAGCGAGAAGGTCTCACTGTTTTGCCCAGGCTGGTCTCAAACTCCTGGCCTCAAGCGACCTTCCTACCTCGGCCTCTCAAAGTGCTGGGATTATAGGTGTGAGCCACTGTGCCCGGCTGATGTGTATTCTTTTGAAACAGTTATTCAGAGTGCTGGGCTCATACCTAAAAATTTTCAACTAAAAATTTTAATTTCCTCTTCTATGTGTTTTGTTTTTCCTCTTAGAAATCACTTTGCTGTAGAAAATGGATCATGCATCTTGGCTGATGCCCTGTGTTTATATTTTAGATTTTGTTGAGTGCATGTTCCTGTGTATCCTGTGGATTGGTGCCTACAGTTAGATCAAGAGAAGATTGATTAAATTCAGGGGTGCATGTGTGTGTGGGTTTGTTTGTATTTCAGGAATATTTCACTGGTGGTCTTGTATACTCCAATCAGGAGTCACATAATGTCTGCTTGCCTCTCATATTTTTGCAAGTGTTTCTTTGGGATAGATTCCGATGAGTGTATTGCTGGGTCAAAGGGTAAATGCATATATTATTTTACTAGATATGGTGGTTGACTATTTTAGGGAAGCTTTTCTGAGATGACATTTTATTTTATTTTATTTTATTTTATTTTATTTTATTTTATTTTATTTTATTTTATTTATGTTATGTTATGTTATGTTATGTTATGTTATGTTATGTTATGTTATGTTATGTTATGTTATGTTATGGTTTTTTGAGATGAAGTCTCGCTCTGTCACCCAGGCTGGAGTACAGTGGCGTGATCTTGGCTCACTGAAACCTCCGCCTCCCGGGTTCAAGCGATTCTCCTCCCTCAGCCTCCCAAGTAGCTGGTGCTACAGCTGCCCACTACCGCACCTGGCTAATTTTTCTGTTTTTAGTAGAGACGGGGTTTCACCATGTTGACCAGGCTGGTCTCGAACTCCTGACCTTGAGTGATCCACCCACCTCAGCCTCCCAAAGTGCTGAGATTACAGGGTTAGAACTACCGCGCCAGGCCTGAGATGACATTTTAAAAACTGATACCTAAATGGTAAGCAGAAACCTGGGGTAAGGGCGTTCCAGGCAGGTGGTGCTAGTGCATGGAGGTCCTGTGCTATCCTAGTGGAGTGGCTGAGGTTGGCAGCGGCACAGGATAAATCAGAGCAGTGGGCTGGGGCAGCTTTTATGAGGCCTTTCAAGCAAAGATAAGGGGATTGGATTTTAAACTAAGTTTGATGGTAAGCTTTGTAAATATAGGTGCACTAGGAAAGGGCGTGAAGCTGGGGAGAGATGCAGTCTGATTTGTGATTTTAAAAGATCACCCCACTGCTGCAGCATGGCTTGGTTATAGAGGGCAGTAGAGTAGGCACAACAGTCACAAAGTGAGTGGTTAGTCCAAGCAAGAGATGGTTTGGGGAAGGTCAGTGGGACTAGGGCCGGAGAGCCGTGGGTACATTTAGGATTCCTTTTGGAAGTAGAACCAATAAAACATTTTGCTAGATTATAGGTACGGGCTGAAAGAAAAAAGAATCAAGAATAGCACCTGGGTTTTTGGCTTAAGCCATTGCGTGGATGGTGAAACTGTTTGCTGAGATACAGGAAACCAGGAGGGAAAAGGGGACATATTTGGGGAGAAATGTTGAGCTCCCTGTTGGCAACATTAAATTTGAGATATCTTTTAAATATCCAAGTAGAAGTTTAAATAGATCATAGGTTTTATAAGCTCGAAGTTTCAGGGGTAAGATAGGGCTAGAAATAATGTTTGGAAGTAATGGCTTTTTTAGGCAACTAATTGTCCACAAGACAAGAGAAGTGATGAGAAAATGTACCCTGTCTGGGAAAGCCAACTCTGCTCATTTCCGTTTATGGCTTTGAAACTGAACCCTGTCTGTGTCATATCAGAGGTTTTACAGCTGTCTTTTGGTGAGTTTAGCTTTTGGTGTTACTCTAGAGGGGTGGGGAGGTGGGAACAGATGAAATACTGCTGTCTGAGTACGTAACATTTTATCTCTGGTCAGGCTGAAGACACTCTTGAAATTGCACTTAATTTCAAAAGGCTACTCTTGGCAGGAGCTCTAATGATGCAAAGATACAAACTGCAGCTGAAAATATATGTATCAGCTTAAGCAAACCTTGCCAACATCAGAGATTAGTGGTGTTTTAATTTATGATTTAGCTATTAAAGAATGCTGCCTCAAATTATGTTGTAGTAAAACCTCTATTATAATAAAGCAGCTTGGCTGGATCTCCCTTTTTTTCATTTCCTTCCTTTCTTCCCCCCCGCCCCACCTCTCCCCCCTCCTTTCTTACTTTCGCAGTCATGTTTTTCTATAAAGGACAGGTATTTTAAATCTGAAAAAAATCAGTCAACATTATTTTTTAAAGAATGACAGCTACTTGGTAAACAGTATACTTCTCTGATGGGTATTATTTGGTTCACCAAACTATGAACATCACTAGGAAATAGATAAAGCCTTCTGTCTATAGCTGAGATGTTTTGTTTTGTTTTGTTTTTCTGAGACAGTCTTGCTCAGTTGCCTAGACTGGAGTGCAGTGGTGCAATCATGGCTCACAGCAGCCTCCAGCTCCTGGGCTCAAGTGATCCTCCCACCTCAGCCTCCCAAGTAGCTGGATGACAGACGCACACCACCACACCTGGCTAATTTAAAACATTTTTGTATTTATAGAAATGGGGTCTCACTATGTTGCCCAGGCTGGTCTTGAACTCCTGGCCTCAAGCAGTCCTCCTACGTTAGCCTCCCAAAGTGCTGGGATTACAGACATGAGCCACTGCAGCCGGCCTAGCTAAGATGCTATTAACAACAAAGTTTTCTTTCAAAATTTCCATTTTACTATTTTGTCCTTGCATTCAACAATATTTGTGAGCTCTCTCCATGTGATAGGCCTTGTTAAAGCTCTGGAGATGAAAAATTTTATATGAATGTGCTGTTGGGAAATGAATGTTTTATTGAAAATAAGCAAAAATCTATAAAAGTAAAATGACCTACTCTGAGAGATTTTATAATTGAAAACTCTTGGAGAAATGTATAACCACAATTAAATTTTTTTTTTTTTTTTTTTTTTTTTTTTTGAGATAGGGTCTTACTCTGTCTCCCAGACTGGAGCGCAGTGGCACAATCTCGGTTCACTGCAACCGCCGCCTCCTGGGTTCAAGCAGTTCTCATGCCTCTGCCACCCAAATAGCTGGGATTACAGGTGTATACCACCATGCTTGGCCAATTTGTGTACTTTTTGTAGAGACAGGGTCTTGCCATGTTGCCCAGGCTGGTCTTGAACTCCTGAGCTCAGGTGATCCACCCGCCTTGGCCTCCCAAAGTGTTGGGATTACAGGCGTGAGCCACCACGCCTGGCTTAAAATAAATATTTTGATGATAAAATATAATGTAATAAATAACAGTTCATGTTACATCAGAGGGAGGCACATTCAGTCATGTCATATCTTTCATAAAAGACCCCAGGGAGAAATGTCCTGCAATGAATGTCAAATGCCTGGTCACTGGAGGTCAGTCTCATGCTTTGTTAACTTACCTGTCATTTGTCCAGCAAGTTAATGAGATTCTTCCTTTGATGCTGTAGTCGCAAAAGGGATGTTTATAGAATATAGCATACTGCTACTAAGAGGAAAAACAAATTCTAGAATAATATTTATTATGCAATTCCATTTTTTAAATTTTAATTTGCATTTTAAATCCTTGATTACATTTTCAATGTTGTATGTTCAGATGTATTTATGTAAGAAAAGTATGGAAGGATATCTGTCAGATTGTTAACAGTGACCTATTTGGGAGAAGGGGAGGGAAATGTTTATTAATTTTACTTTTTGTAATTATGTATTGTGTGGATTATTACAATGAGCATGCATTGGTTTGTAATTCAAAAGACAAATGAAATCAGTAAATGGAGAAGGCATGCTTTTCCTGTTCAATAGGATTGAACTACAGAATGTCTGAAAATACATCTTTTTGTCATTGTTGTCTTATTAATTAAAGTTAAAAATTTCTAAAATAGAGGAGTTTTAAAAATCATTGTCTGGGCCTCATGGCTCATGCCTGTAATCCCAGCACTTTGGGAGGCCGAGTCAGGCAGATCACTTGAGGTCAGGAGTTCGAGACCAGCCTGGCCACATGGTGAAACCCTGTCTCTACTAAAAATACAAAAATTAGCTGGGCGTGGTGGCAGGTGCCTATAATCCCAGCTACTCGGGAGGCTGAGGCATGAGAATCACTTGAATCCAGGAGGCAGAGGCTGCAGTGAGCTGAGATCATGCCACTGTACTCCAGCCTGGTCAAAAGAGCGAGACTCTGTCTCAAAAAAAAATTAATAAATAACAACAACAATAATAATAATAAGACCTCTCCATAAAACATTTGATAAGAACTAGCAATATGGCAGGCTATAACCTCAAACCTCTCTAAGGATTAACACTTAGAAGTGAATCTGTTATGAAAACCATACGTTTGGGAAGGTGCATATCTGTCAGGGCTGTAAGGGAGACACTCTTGGAGCGGGAAGAAAAGAGACCATTCTGGAAGTACTCCATGGTCCTAGTAGACAGTACTCGGGTTTAAAGGACAGAAGACTAGGCCCTTTCACCTTCAATGAAAGGATGGATTAGGGAAAAACTTACCCACGGACACAGTAACACTTGGAAGGCTTGTTCCCTACCCGTGCGTTTGGTAAAAAGGAAAAGTCTCTCCAGGGCCTTACCCTCAAATGGCCTTGGAATTCAAATTTAGTATTATGGTACCTCAAGGTCATATAAATGCCCCCAAGATGTGAAATCAATAATACAAATTGGCCCTAGATTCACAGATATGCCTGGAGCTCCCTGCAGATGCAGACACAATGCTGTTCATACCCTTTGTATTTCAATTGAGTTGCTTATCTTTTTGTTATTAAGTTCTTTGATTTTAAAATGGAAACACACATGTATGTGTATGTGTGTGCATTCAGAGTACTGTACTGAATTGTTGACAAATTTCTAAATCCAGTGTGAGGAAGGTTTCTAACATGTATGTATCACCCCATTCAACTTCTTTTTCTCATTTTGCTTGTAGCACTAACCTAATTGGATTTAGGAAACGCTACCTTCCTTTTTCTATCTACCCTGTGTGCAGTTTCTCTTTTGTGAGTCAAAGGAAAAATCATCTTAACTTTGGTCATAGAAGTGGTAGCATGAACAACCCTTGGGTCAGGAAGGGCGACTGTAAATGCGGGAGTGGCGTCATGGCCAGGCATGCCCTCGGCATCTTTTCTCCCTGACGTGTGAGTGTGTGGTGTGTTTATGTGTGTGGTGTGTGTGCATCTGTGTTGTGTGTGTGCATGTGTGTGGTGTGTGCACTTGTGTGTTGTATGTGTGCATGTATGTGTGTTCATGTGTGTGTTGTGTGCGTGTGTTGTGTGTATGTGCATGTGTGTGTGGTATGTGTATGTATGTGTGTGTGTTTGTGTTTGTGTGTGTCTGTCCGTGTGTGCGTGTCAGATCTGGGGTCTCCCATAGTCTGCACTTACTAGAGTCTCATGTGGGGTGAGAGGCAGTGCCCAGTTTTGATACCCACCTAAAATGTGCCAGTGTAGCCTAGGACAGGTTATTCATCCTCCTTGAGCCTAAATTCTGTCAATATTAAAATTTGCATAAGAATATCTCTTTAATAAGTTTGTTTTGAGAATTCAATGGGGTAATGTATGCCCAGATTCATTAAGTTTTTAGATCACTTTCCATTAAGCACATTTATTTAAACAAAATCAATAGAGGCTATTGCTTTATCATATCGATTTCCTCTTTTCTTTCTTTACCAGTCTTGTAAAATATTTTTCTGCTATATTCCTTGTAAATTAGCATGTATCTTAGCTTCATTAGGCTTAAAGAGGCCTTTATTTGCTAGCCTGAGAATCTTCCTTGTCATTATTTGCTTGCTTGCTTGTGAAAAGGTTTCATGTTACAACCATCTGTCTTGCTGAAAACTTTTGTAACACAATCCATTTGTAAATGAAATACTGTCTGTGTGTTCTCTGCCTAGCATTACACCTTGAGAATAGGACGTGCTCAGTAATTATTTGTTGTCAAATGACTTAAAACTACTTACTGTTGGCACCCTAGCTGTGTGTAGTGCTCAATCCTTGCAGAACGCACCCTGCAAAATGATTGTCTTAGCATAGCCTCACTCTCTCCCACAAAGGTGAGGAATACTGTCAGTTTTTCTTGTATGTAGCAGTCCCTAGCCAGCGTTTATCAGCTGGTTCATACCTGTTACAGAGTAGAAAACTCCTGAGTCATGTGAATGAAATTTTGTACTAGATTAGAAAAGAGTTGTGGAGTTTAATGTCATAGGAGAATGTCTGACTTGATTTTTTGTTCATTTAGCATAGATTGATTTGGGGTGCCAAGAAGAGCAAGGCACAGCCCCTGCCCTCAAAGGGCTCAGAGTTTTGACGCTTCTTTATACCAGTTACCTGGTAACAGATAACTGCACAGGATGTGATAAGATCAGGGTCAGATAGCGTAGAGGTTCCTGAATGGAGGTTAAAGAAATGATGGGTCACTTTAGCCAGGTGCAGACAGGATGCTGAGTGGGCAGTCCAGCTCTAGAGTTACTTGTGCATATGGCCAAAGACAGGGGCTTGAATGGCTGATGGTCCATTGTTAGCGCAAGCTACGGAGGCAGGTGAGGAAGGCCTCGTGCCGTGGTGAGAAGCTCGGGCTGGTTTAAAGAGTTATTGAAGCATTTTTAGGATAAAGGAATGAAGTATTTGGGGTATATTATGGGGAAAAAATGTCATAACGTCATTATTTATTTTCTCATCAAACTATAGGGGACAAAAACAGTATTAGGAGTCTTTTGACACCCAGTTGGTTTAATTAGAATATCAAATAGTCAAACCAGCAAAATACTGCTCTTCCCACAGACCATGAATCCCAAGGCAAACTCTCCAAGCAGCCAGTGAGGAAGACTTTATGGCCCCATCTTAGTCTGTTTGCATCACTATAAAGGAATACCTGAGGCTAATTTATAAAGAAAGGAGGTTTGTTTGGTTCATGGTTCTGCAGGCTCTACAAGAAGCATGGTGCCAACAGCTGCTTGTGGTGAGGGCCACAGGCTGCTTTCAGTCATGGCAGAAGGCAGAGAAAGAGAGACAGACGGACGGACAGAGAGACAGACAGATGGACACTGCCCTTGTGACCCAAACACCTCCCACTGGGCTCCACCCCCAACACTGGGGATCACATTTCAGCATGAGGTTTGAACGCTCAGATAGCCACAGTATAGCAGCCCCCATCTCCTAGGGCAGTGGGGTGGGTCCAAAAGCCACAGGTTATAAAAGTGTGGGTTATGCTTTTCACTGCAAACTCAAGGATGCATAAATGATCCTGTTCTTCACAAACATTCTTGGGGTCTGCTTGTTACTCCTCAGCCTGCAGATTCTGGTGTGAGTGACTTGGCTTTTCCATCACCACGCTGTACCCATCTATTTTCTTCAGACTGTTCTTTATTCAGAGTTTTGGTGAAGAACTTGCTGCTTCTGATAAATGGAGTTGGGGGTGAGGGTGAGGGTGAGAGTGGGTGAGAAGGTGGCAGACAGCTGTGATATGAAGGGAAAGTTTTTTAGATAATTCTGTGCTCAGGAATAAAGTCAGGGCAAGCCATCAGTAGACTAGAGGGTAGGATGAAGTGGGGCAGTCGCAGCAGAGAGAAAACCAGACAGAGCCATTGGGCTCTGAGTGAGAGCTCGGGGTCCCTGAGGTGACCCCCAGTCTAAGTCACCAAGAACATTTTCTGCCCAGAGCATTTCTGTCACGGTGCAGCCTCTGGCTCTGCGGTTGACTCAGGAAGTTACCCAGGACTGCTTCCCTCAGAGGGTTTTGTTGCTGTTGTTGTTTGGTTTTTGTTTTGTTTTGTTTTGAGACAAGAGTGTTGCTCTGTTGCCCAGGCTGGAGTGGAGAGGCACTATCTCAGCTTGCTGCAATCTCCGCCTGCCGGGTTCGAGCTATTCTCCTGCCTCAGCCTCCCAAGTAGCTGGGATTACAGGCGGGCACCACCACGCCCAGCCAATTTTTGTATTTTTAATAGAGACAGGGTTTCACCATGTCGGCAAGGCTGGTCTCGAATTCCTGACCTCAAGTGATCTGCCCGCCTCAGCCTCCCAAAGAGCTGGGATTACAGGCATGAGCCACCGTGCCTAGCCTCCTCAAAGGGTTTTGTCTGGCAAAAATGAGAACTTTTATGTGAAAATACCATAAAGCATCATAGAGTCATAAGGAATGGGTGGAGTCATGATAATGAACCGCAGCAGGCATTCTCTCATTCCATTCCCAAACTAAATCTCCCCTCAGTGCTTCATGGCTATTTTTGCTGAGTAATAAAATATTAAAATATTTTCAAAAGCTGTTCTCACGAAGACAAGATTTTATCTAACAACTCTATGATTCAGTGAACTAACTTTTTAAATATTAAAAAGAAAGTCCTTTGAAGTAGCTACTGCATACATGGTTGTTTGTGTAATCCACACATAAGCAGTATTTAAATTGAGGTAGAGTACACTTTTATGACTAATGCTTATCAATAAATAATTTTCATGTTTTTTATGCACTTGGTAAGGCTAGCAGTTTTCCAGCCATGCTTTCGTAATGATGTCTTGAACCATATCATTATTTGCCTTTTTTATTCACCTTAAGCTCTGTTACTGAGCAAAAGGGGCTCACTACCTGATGCTCTGGAAGCCAATACTAATTGACATAGGGTTTTTGAGGGGGGAAAAGAAAGCTTTTTTATTGCAAGTCGACTAATAAAGAGACACTGAGTCCAGCTCAAATTTGTCTTCCTGTGCAGGCTTTAAGGCAGTGATTTTATTAGGGGATGGATTCTCAGATTAGTAAGTGATTGGTGGAAGGAAAGGGGAGATCTGGAAAGTCCTCGGACACGCGCAGTTGTCTGTTTGATCATGCTTGCTTGTGGTTTGCATATGCAAATTCAGGGGGAGTTAGTATGAAATGTGGTGGAAATTCGGGCTGTGATGTCAGCAAGCTCTTTCTATTCAGACTCCATTGGACATGTTGGTTCCAACCAATTTCAGCCAGTTTTTTTAAATCTCACAAGCAGAGGGAGTTTCAGCAGTTTTAGCAAGTTGTTTATTTTCTTATACGGCCATCCTGCAAACACAAGGATTTCTGTTAGTCGTTGGTTTCTTTAACTCTGTAGGGCACAGTTTCAGCTTGAACTCCGTTTAATGAATTCTCTAAATCACCGGGCAAACTGAGAAGATTCTCTTGTTTATTGTAATTAAGCTGGGTGGCTGTGGTTTATATTCCACAAAGGCCATCACAGTTTAGTGCACCAGTCATCTGTTTGAACAGCTGTCTTGAGTAGAGTGTTTGGCAAAGCTCATGTGAGTCTTCATCCAAGTCCCAGCTCTGTCATCAGGGTCAGGGTCACTCTGCTCATTTGTTGGTTTTTAAAAATTAAGTGTTGGCCAGGCGTGTTGGCTCACATCTGTAATCCCAGCACATAGGAGGCCGAGATGGGCAGATCAATTGAGGTCAGGAGTTCAAGACCAGCCTGGCCAACATGGCGAAACTCCATCTCTACTAAAAATACAAAAATTAGCTGGGCGTGGTGGCACGTGCCTGTATTCCCAGCTACATGGGAGGCTAAGGCAGGAGAATCACTTCAACCCAGGAGGCGGAGGCTGCAGTGAGCCGAGATCAGGCCACTGCACTCCAGCCTGGGCAACAAGAATGAGACTCTGTCTCAAAAAAAAAAAAAAAAAATTCAGTGTCATTCTGCATTCTCCAGTTTGTCTGTGGTGTGTGTGTGTCCTGTCTTTATATGTATTTGTGTGTGTTTGTGTGTGTGTGTGTGTGTGAGTGAATGTGTATGAGGGGTGCACATGCCTTTCTCCCCACTCCCTCCAAGTTATTCCCCACTTAGCGGAATCATTTCTGGGATTTTCTCAACAAGTTGTTGAGAAAAGTTTGATTTGTGGGTATTTGAAGAGCCCACAGAGTTAAGATTTATTTGAAGAAATAAGATAAATCTTTTAGTATTAGAAAATTAATCATTTTACCATTATGTAATTTACCAAATAAAGAACTTAGTTATGAAATTCTGGGGTCTTGTATGCCTTGGCTATTAGGTAGAGTCCAAAAGAGTTAGATAACTTAACTTTCTGCAGTTGTACTTAAGAATTTCTGTGTTGGTGAAATACATGTGTATATGTAGTTGTGTGTAAAGGTATATAGGTACATGCACAAATATATTTCCCTTTTGGCATGATTGTTTATGTAACCACATTCAAAGTGCATTACAAAATTAACTCCCTAAAGAATAATTTTAGGCCAGGTGTAGTGGCTCACACCTGTGATCCCAGCACCTTGGGAGGCTGGGGCAGGTAGATTGCTTGAGGCCAGGAATTCAAGACCAGCCTGGTCAACATGGCGAAACCCCATCTCTACTAAAAATACAAAAATTAGCCAGGCATGGTGGCAGGCGCCTGTAATCCCAGCCACTCAGAAGGCTGAGGCACGAGACTCTCTTGAACCAGGAAGTGGAGGTTGTGGTGAGCCCCGATTGCGCCACTGCACTCCAGCCTAGGCGACAGAGCAAGACTCTGACTCAAAAATGATAATAATAATAATTTTAAAGGGATCCTTATCTGTCACTTTAAGGAAAAAGTTTGCCAGTTTCAATCTCAATTATACTAGAAAATGGAAGCTCAGCTTATTTTCCCAGTGAATCAATTACTTGGTCAGTGAATTTTTATGAGTGTCCACTATGCCCCCATTATTGTCCTAAGGGGTGATAACCCCTTCATAATTCCTCAATTATAGTGCACAGATGAATCTGAATCAAAAGACATGCTGTTGATTCAAATACATTATTGTGACCAGACAGCCTAGATTGCGACAACGGTAGAAAGCGCAGGTACTTAAGCCCCAGCAATGTCATAGAGTAGCAAGAGCATCAGCCTGCTGTCTTTGTCAGTAGCTACTTGTATGGTCTCCTAGGCAGATTTTATCATCTCTATATTCACTTCCTTCACTGTAAAATACGGACTGGATTGCATTGGTTGACCTCAAGAAGGTTTTCCGGCTCTGAAAGTCTTCTTCTATGACATGCAGGTAGGTCTGTAGTCATCTCTGATGGTTATACTGTTTCCACAGGGCGTTACCTACTGCGGAGAAAGTTCAGCAAGCAGTCTTACCATGGCCCACGTGCCCTGGCATGAGGAAGTGGTACAGTTTGTCCACGAGTTGGTGGATCTGATCCCCGAATATGAAATTGCATGTGAACACGAACACTCTAATTGCCTCCTGATAGCACACAGAAAGGTAAGAATAACTCAAACATGGATTCTTCTGTTCCCCGACCCTGCTGTTCTTTCCTTCTCTTCTCTCTTTATTTTCCTCTTACATTGTTATAGGGATTATCTGCTTGTTTGCTACCTTTCCCAAAACAAAAATAAGAGAGCACTAAATTCTGTCTGCTGGGCTCATAAACTCTTTTCCATGTGAAATTGCTTCTTGTTTAGCCCTCCTCTGGACATCTTGAAGTACTTTCTGGTTTGCAATTTTAGAAGGTGCATGCTAACAAAACAAAAGCAAAATGCCCTTGTAATAACCTCTAGTCCTTTCCTGGAATGACAGGGAAAAGCTAAAATAGTAAATAGTCCCCATATGAGTTTCTAGCTGTCAGAAGCAATATTGTGGTATCTATCAAATTTTAGATTGCTTGAATCTTGGCATCTGGAGAATTTTGTTTGGGATTTTAGTTTATAACACTATTTCCATTTTTCCCCTTTAGTCCTTTTATTAGATAGAACAAGTATATGAATCTAGTATCTTTCTTAAGTAAATAACTCCTAGCAAAGGAAAAATCCAGTTCTTGATAGAGGTGGGCCACTAAAATAGTTTGCTAATTTTCTGGAGAAGTTCTGGAAAATTTCTTAGTCTTTATTTCTTTAAATACTTATTCTTTCTCATTATATGTTCTCCTCTAGGACTCCAATTAAACATATGTTAGACGTCATTACATATTTTTTTAATATCTCTTGCCTTCTCATTTGTATTTTTTGTGCTTTTGTCTCTCCATCTCTCCATATTTCATTTTGGGTAGTTTCTATTGATTCATCTTCCAGTTCACTAAGTCTTGCTTCAGCTGTGTCTCCTGTGCTATTAAATTCAACCATTAATTTCTTAATTTTGTATTTTATGTTTTTTTAATTGTATAATTTCTGCTTGGTTTATTTCAAAAATGCTATTTTGTATAATTTCTATTTCCCTGCTGAAGTTTTCAAGCTTGGGTTTTATCTTCTTGAGTACTGGAAGTGAGTTGTTTTATGGTTTGTATCTGATAATTCCAATGACTAAAGTTCCTGTGGGCGTGTGTCTGTTGTCTGTCATTTCTGCAGGTTCTCATTCATGTTGCCTTGTCTTCTCCAGTGCCTTGTTACCTGTGATTGCATTCTGTACGTTGCATTTAGAAGATTATTTCTAGAAATCAAGTCAAGCCTAGGATCAGAAGATCTCTAATGTGGTGTTTTAGATATGTGATTTAACCCTTTCACTTTTTCCTTATGGAATCTGAGGTCTGAACGGTGAAGAAACTGGCTTAAATGGCTGTGTCAAACTGGAATCACAGCCTTCTCTCCCTCTAGTCCATTGATCTTTTTTATAATACAAGGCATCTTTCAAAACCATTGGCAGTATTCAAAGGAACATTTAAAACAGGACAATTTAATTTTAGTCTAATCCTTTACTTCAGTCTGTAAGATTTCTTCTCTTTTCCCATGAGGATAGGGGAAATAGATAGCAAACCATCTCATTCAAGCCAATTCAGTTCTTCAAGTGTTTATTGAATGCCTGCTGAGTTCTGGACACCAGGGTGTGCAGCAAGGGACACAGTGCTCAGACATGAAGAATGGAAAGCCACAGGGTTAATTGAAAAGTAGACTTGGCACAAATCTTACACTACCACTTGTTAACTAGGTGACTTTGTGCAAGTTCTTTCATCTTTCTGTAGTGTAATGAATGAGAAGAGATTATGCGTGGAGTCAGATTGATTAGAGGGCTTTAATCTTGGCCCCTGTCTCTTTAGCTTTTCATCTGGAAAATGGGTATATTGCTAGCCAAGGCCATTATTATGAAACACTTAACACAGCACCTGGCTCATAGCATGATTCAGTTATTGCTGCTTCAGTTATTTTTATTTTTATAAAACCACCTAATTTGGTGAATGCTTAATATGTGACAGACACTGCCAAGTGTATTTTTAAATCCTCACAGCATCCCTACAAGGTAGGTACTATCGAGACCTCTGTCTTTTTTTTTTTTTTTTTAAGATGGAGTCTTGCTCTGTTGCACAGGCTGGAGTGCAGTGATGCAACCTCGGCTCACTGCAACCTCTGCCTCCTCGCTTCAAGCGATTCTCCTGCCTTAGCCGCCCGAGTAGCTGGGACTACAGGCGTGAGCCACCACACCCAGCTAATTTTTGTGTTTTTAGTAGAGACGGGGTTTCACCGTGTTAGCCAGGCTGGTTTCGACCTCCTGACCTCAAGTGATACACCTGTCTCAGTCTCCCAAAGTGCTGGGATTACAGGCATGGGCCACCATGCCCAGTCTGAGCTCTGTCTTATGGAAGAGAAATTGACACATCAAGGGGTTCAGTAACTTGCCCAAGATGAAACAGCCAGTAAGGAGTAGAAATGGGATTTAAGCCCTGGCATCTGACTCCAGAGCCTGTATTCCCTTCTTTCCTTCCTTCTTTCTTTTTCTTTTGTTTTAAATTTGGAAATTATTTCAAATTTACAAAAAAGTGCAATGATAAAAATAGAACAAAGGACATAGATTTGCAAAATCACCTGTTACCATTTTTCTGCCATTTGCTTGTTCTCTTGCTCTCTCTCTTTTGCTCCCGTTCTCTCTCGTTCTCTCTCCCTCCCTTCCCTACCCCTGCCCCCCGCCCCCGCAGCATACACGTGCACGCATCGTCTTTTCTGAACCCTTTGAGGAAATGTTGCATTGGTCATGGTCCTTTGCCCTAAATGTTTCAGTGTGAATTTCTTAAGACTAGGAATATTTTCTCTTACAACCACAATACAGTTATCAACTTCAAAATTGTAAACTGATACATGACTTTAATCTACCATCCATATTCAAATTTTGTCAGATCAGCTTGTAATGTCCTTTATAGCATTTCCCCCTCCAGTTCAGGATCTACTCTATAGGAGTCAGCCAACTTTGTTTATAAAGAAAATGTAGGCCCGGTGTGGTGGCTCATGCCTGTAATCCCAGCACTTTGGGAGGAAGGCTGAGGCGGGCAGATCACTTGAGGTCAGGAGTTCGAGACCAACCTGGCCAACATAGTGAAACTCCATCTCTAATAAAAATACTAAAATTAGCGGGGTGTGGTGGCGGGGGCCTGTAATCTCAGGTACTCAGGAAGCTGAGGCAGGAGAATCTCTTGAACCCGGGAGGTGGAGGTTGCAGTGAGTCGAGCCTGGGCGACTGCACTCCAGCCTGGGCGACAGGGTGAGACTCCATCTCAAAAAAAAAAAAAGAAGATATAAAGTAAATATTTTAATTTTTATATAAAGTAAATATTTGAGGTTTGCAAGGCACATACAGCCTCTGTCAGATATTCTTCTTTGCTTGTTTACTCATTTGCAACCTTTTAAAAATGCAAAGACTGTCCCTAAAACAGGTTTGTGAGCTAAATGTGGCCAGATTGGGCCTACCAGCCACAGTTACCCAACCCCTAATCTAGGCAGATACTATATTTTCTTCTTAAGTCTCTGTAGTCACCTTCAATTTGGAACATTTCCACAGTCTTCCTTTGTCTTTTATGATGTTGCTATTTTAAAAGAATACAGTTCCCCCCTTCCCTTTCTTTTAATAGAAATGTTTCTTGGTGAGGTGCAGTGGCTTACACCTGTAATCCTAGAACTTTGGGAGACCGAGGCAGGTGGATCCCTTGACCCCAGGAGTTCAAGACCACTCTGGGCAACATAGTGAGACTCCATCACTATTTAAAAATAGAAAAATTTCCTAGGCGTGATGGCATGAACCTGTAGTCCCAGCTACTTAGGGGACTAAGGTGGAAGGATCATCTGAGCCCAGGAGGTCAAGGCTGCAGTGACCCGTGATTATGCCATTGCACTTTATTCTGGGCAACAGAGTGAGACCATCTCAAAAAAAAAAAATAAATAAATAAAAGAAATGGTTTTTGTTTTATATTTGCCTGATTTTTCCTTGTGGCTAGATTGAGGTTGTATGTCCTCAGATGGAATACTGTGTTGGCGACGTGTCCTTTTCAGCGTGTCACACTTGGTACCCGGTGTCCACATCTCCCTCGTTAGTGGTGATGATTTTGTTCAGCCAACTACTTTGACCCAGTTCTTCTGTTTCTCTCCTTTGCACCTGATAAGCTATCTATGAAAAGGTACCTTAAGACAATGCAGTATCTCGCTTCTTACCAAAATTTCCCCATTGACTTAGCACTTATTGATGGTTCCTGCCTGATAAAATGTTTTATTGATTGTAAAATAGTGATTTTTGTAAGTGTACCACTCCTTCCACATTTGCCTTCAGCATTCTATTGTAAACAAAAGCCCTCCCTTTCCTCCCATTTATATGTTTATTTATCAGTACGGACTCAGGAATTCTACTCTTTGTCCCAGTGGGTCATTATTCATTACTGTACTGATTTTAAACCACTCTTCTAGACTCCCTGTTCCTCTCTCTCTGTCTCTCCGTTCTCTCTAATTAAATCCCTCATATCCTTATTCAAAATTGATACTAATAGTATTGCTTTCAAGGCCATTATCAACATTAAAAGTAACATATTTAAAGTACCTAGAAGGATTCCAGCCTGGGCGACAGAGCGAGAACCCATCAAGAAAGAAAGAGAGAGAGAAAGAGAAGAAGAGAAGAGAGGGAGGGAGGATGGAAGGAAAGAAGGAAGGAAAAAGAAGAAAGAAAGAACTTAGAAGGGAACCTGAAGTGAAGTAGGCAGTTAATAAATAGTTGTTACTGCTGCTTTTATTGGTCTTCCCCCACCCACAAGGAGCTCGCGGTTTAGTGGGGAAAATGACTGAAAATCAGTGTGATCAGTGCAAAACCAGACATGGCACCAAGTGTGCGCCAGGACAAAGGAGAGAATCTGAGATAGACCCTCATTATTCTCTATAATGTTTGTTGAATACCCATGTGTGTCAGGCACATGGGTATTCTGAGAATACAGAGGGCTGGGTACTCTGAGAATACAAAGATGAGTAAACAATGGTCCCTGTATTTGTCCGCTTTCACGCTGCTGATAAAGACATACCCGAGACTGGGTAATTTATAAAGGAAAAGAGGTTTAATGGACTCACAGTTCCACATGGCTGGGGAGGCCTCACAATAATGGTGGAAGGCACCTCTTACATGGTGTTAGACGAGAGAAAAGAGGGCCAAGCGAAAGAGGAAACTCCTTATAAAACCATCGGATCTCATGAGCCTTATTCACTACCACAAGAACAGTATGGGGGAAACCACCCCATGATTCAGTTATCTCCCACCAGGTCCTTCCCACAATACGTGGGAATTACGGGAACTGCCATTCAAGGTGAGATTTGGGTGGGGACACAGTCAAACCATATCAGTTCCTGCCTTCAAGAATGGGCTAACAGAAAACGACAAATATCTCAACAAAAAAAGTGCTGAGAAGTGTAATCAGAGCTATGGTGGAAGAATGGAATGGAGCTCAATGGGTGCATTCTGAGGACTACTTGGTCCCATCAGGAGAGGCTTCACAGAGGAGGCACCATTTAACTGGATCTTAAATGATGGCTGAAGTAGGAAAAACATTTAAGCAGAAACAGTACAAGCAGAGGTCCAAGGAAAAGCACGGAGACATGGCACATTGAGAACCACAAGTAGTTTGGGATGGCTGAAGGTCAAGAGAAGGGTTGCAGGGAAAGGAGATTATTAGGCAGGGTTAAGATCACAGATAGCATTGAATGGCATCCTAAATGTCATTTTCTCTATTTCCCTAAAGGGCATGGGGAGGCACTGAAGAGCTTTAGGTAGGGGAGTGCCACAGTGAAGATTTGTGTTTCAGAAAAAATTGTCTGGCAGCATTACAGGGGATGGATTGAAAAGCTGCAAGACAGAGAAACCAGTTAAAACACTGTTGCGATAGCCAGCTGTGGTGTCGTGTGCCTGTAGTCTTGGCTACTCGGGAGGCTGAGGCGGGAGACTCACTTGAGTGCAGGAATTCTAGCTCAGCCTGGACAACAGAGTGAGACCCTCCTCCATTTCTAAAACAACAACAACAACAACAACAACAACAACAACAACAAACCTGTTATAACCCTCAGGTCCAGCAACTGTTTCACCCTCAGGTCTAGCAATCTGAGGGTGAAATGGGGGTCTGAGACAAAGGCTGTGATGAATGAGAGTGGTGAGTGGTAGACCTGGCAAAGTATTAAATGAGGACCATTAACGAGTGTGCAGGTTCAGGCATGACTCCCTGGCCTCTAACCTGGGAAATGAGTGATTGTGATGGTGTCGTCCATGGAGATGATGTTACTTGCATATTTATTTTTCATGTAGGTAGAGAGTGAATGGGTTGACTCGGTGACGTCAGGAAGAAATTCCAGCAAAGATATAGATATCAAATTATGGAGTCCAGATTATGAGAAGTTGTCCTTAGAATGCCCAGAGTGAGACAGATGGTCAAGCATCCAAAATGCTTTGAAATTAATTACTTAAACACCAGATATACCCTAACGTGGAGGTTTCCAACTTGCACATTCATAGTGCTCTAGTGCCTCAATAGCTTTTTCACAAGACCTGTAGGTCAAAAGAGATACCTAGCAGTTCTATTTGTTATGACATCATTGAAAGAAGTGTGACACAGCCTAACGTTGAAACTGGGAACTATCTCAAGCTAGCAGTTGTTGAAATGCCCAACAGATGTCCAGTGTCACTGCGTTCCTCTTTAAAATTCAAGATACCCTGCAGTGTCCCAGTGAGTACTCTGTTCCCACTGCTTGGGAACCATGGCCACGAAGAAATAATACAGAAACCCATCCAAAAAGCAAAACAAGGCTCATTTAGATTCCTTCCAATTATGTGTTTTCTGGCGCTTCTTTTCCTTTTCGTTGTTGATCTCGGAGTATGCAGATCTTGTCATTTTCCAGTCATGGCCTCTGTATTCTTATACTAGTGTCTAGTGAAAGAAATGAAAATATGGTACCACTTCTTAGGAAGTAGTCACTTCTCAGGCCTGGTCCATTGGCCCTGTCTTTAAGCTCCTGAGCTGGGTCAGGTGACCTGAAACCAGAGAGGTCCGAATCATCAAATACCTGTTTATCATTCTCAGCTTTCTCAGGAGATTGCTCAATTTATTTTTTTTATTTTGGAGACAGGGTCTCATCTCGCTCTGTCACCCAGGCTGGAGTGCAGTGGCGTGAACATGGCTCATTGCAACCTCAACCTCCCAGGCTCCAGCAGTCCTCCTGCTTAAGCCTCTCGAGTAGCTGGGACTATAGGCATGAACCACCATGCCCAGCTAATTTTTAAATTTGTTATTGAGATGGGGTCCCACTGTGTTGGCCAGGCTGCTGTCAAACTCCTGGGCTCGAGCAGCCCTCCCACCTCAGCCTCCCAAAGTGCTGGGATTACAGACATGAGCCACCGTAAGCCCAGCCTCAATTTCTACTAATAATCCCGGGACTTCTGAAAGAGAGTGCAAACTGCTGCAGTCATGTTGAATGAAGGACTACTTTCCTATTCTTACACCAAGACAGCCACAAAAGAAAACTGAATACCAAGTCTTTACTTTAAAACAATTATAGATTCACAGGAAGCTGCAAAATGGTACAGAAAGGTCTCAGGTACCCTTCATGTAGTTTTCCCCAGTGATAACGTCTTACGTGATCATAGTACGTTATCAAAATCAGGAAATAGACATTGGTACAACCCATAGACCTTATTCAGATTTCACCAATTTTAAATGCATTCACATGTGTGTGTTTAGTTCTGTGCTGTTTTGTGTTTAGATTTATGTAGCCATCACCACGACCCAGATAGAAAACTGTTCTATCACCACAAAGATCTTTCTCATGCTATTCCTTTGTAGTCCGATACCAACTATCCCTAGCCTCTGGCGACCGCTAATCTCCTCCATCTCTGTAGTTTCCTCATTGGAAGAAGGATATATAAACAGAAGTTTACTCTATCTGACGATAATAGAGCCACTTCGGCTTTCTTTTGATCAGTGTTTGCATGGTATATGTTTTTCTGTCCTTTGCCTTTCAACCTGCCTGTATCATTATATTTGAAGTGTTTCTTATAGGCAACATACAGTTGTCATACTTTTTTAGTCTTCTATGCCAATCTATTTTAGAATTCCATTTTTATTTCTCTGTACTGTTGTTGAGTGCGTCTCTTCGTATAGACTTTTTAGTGGTTGATTTACATATTACATTATGCATATATAATATATCACAGTCTACTGGTGTCGGCATGTTAGCAGTTTGAGTGAAATGTGGAAACTTTACCTCTCTTAAATCTCTTTTCCCTCCCTTACTTAGAATATCTTAGGTGTTTCCTGCACCCACAGTGAAAATCACATGGCATCATATTACAATTTTTGCTTCAACTATCAAAGGTAACTTAGAAAACTCAAGAGAAGAAGAGTTTATTGTATTTACTCATATTCTTACTCCTTCTGTTGTTCGTTCTTTCTTCCAGATGGTCCAGGTTTCCTTTGGAATCTTCCCCATCTGTTTGAAGAACTTCCTTTAGCAATTCTCTTAGAGCCAGTGTGATAGCAACCAGTCCTCTTAGTTTTCCTTCATCTGCCACTGTCTTGGTTTCCTCTCCATTCCTGAAGGATGTTTTTGGCAGGTAAAGTATTCTGGATTGACAGCTCTTTTCTTTCCTTCTGGCTTCTCTGGTATCTGATGAAAAATTCTTTGTCATTTGATTGTTTTTCTCCTTTAGGTAAGATGTTTCTCTCCCTGCTTTCAAGATTTTTAAAAATATTCAGGTCTTGAGTTTTCAGAAGTTTGATTACAGGTTGCCTTGGACTGGATTTCTTTGGGTCTGTTGTTTTGGAGGCATGCTCAGCTTCCTGAATCTGCAGGTATATGCCCTTTACAAATTGGGGGAATTTCTAGTTGTTCTCCAGATACTTTTTTCAGCCTCATCTTATTTCTCTTTTCTTTTTAGATCTCTGATGACACAAATGTTAGATTTTTTTTTGTTATGGTCCCACAGGTATCTGAGGCTTTGTTTGTTTCTCTTTTAGTCTCTCTGTTTTTTAGACTCTTGTTCTAACTTTAGATTGATTCATTCTGTCTTTTTACTCTTCCATTCTGTTGAACCATTTATTATTTTAGTTATTGTATTTTTCAGTTCTAAAATTTCCATTTGATTATTTTCCTATTTCTATTTAACTATTTCTCCTTCCTCCCTCCCTTCCTTCCTTCCTCCCTCCCTTCCTTCTTCTCTTTTTTTATTTTCCTTCTTCTTCTTCCTCTTCCTCTTCCTCTTCTTCTTCTTCTTCTTTCTTCTTCCTTCTTCCTTCTTTCTTCTTCTTCTTTTCTTTTTTTTTTTGAGAGAGAGAATCTCACTCTGTCATCCAGGCTGGAATCCAATGGCACAATCTCGGCTCACTGCAACCTCCACCTCCGAGTTCAAGTGATTCTCCTGCCTCAGCCTCCTGAGTAGCTGGGATTACAGGCGTGTACCACCATGCCCAGCTAATTTTCTCATTTTTATTAGAGATGGGGTTTCACCATGTTGGCCAGGCTGGTCTTGAACTCCTGGCTTCCAGTGATCCACCCACCTCCACCTCCCTGGGATTACAGGCATGAGCCACCACGCCCAGCCAACTTTCTATTTATCATGTCCGTTTTTAATTGCCCATTGAAGCACATTTGTGATGGCTACTTTAAAATCTTAATCAGATAATACCAACGCACATACCACGTTGGCATCTTTTGATTGTCTTTTCTCATTCAAGTTGAGATTTTCCTGTTTCTTGGTATGATAAGTGATTTTCAGTTGTTTCCCAGACATTTTGGGTGTTATGTTAGGAGACTCTGGATCTTATTTATTAATAAATCTTCTGTCTTAGCCAGCCTCCTTTGACACTGCACTGTGGGGATGGCATGAGAGGGTGTTACCTCCTTACTTCCAGGGAGAGGTAAAAGTCCATTTCCCCCCTCAGCTTCTATTGACCTATTGTAGGAAGGGTGCCTTGTTACTGCCAAGTAGGGGCAGAAGTTCTGGCTCCCGTCAGCCTCCTGTGATACCATTCTGATGAGGAAGGGAGAGCCATCTTGTGACTGTTCCCCCCTTAGACTCCACTGACATTATAGGATGGAGGCGGGGGGGGGGCCTTATTGCTGCTGGGTGGTGGCAGAAGTCCTGGTTCTCCACTAAGCTTCTTCTGACACCACTCAAGTGTATGGGGGAGAGGTGCCTTGTTACTGCTAGGTGGAGTGAAAGTCCAGGCTCCCTGTGTAGTCTGTATGACATTACAGCTGGAGGGGAGGAGGAGGGCAGGATTCCCCGCTCACCTTCTCTGATACCGCCCTGGTAGTAGGAGTCAAGAAGAGTGCCTCATTATAACCAGGTGAAGGTGGGAATCTAGGTTCCCCACTCAGTATTTGCTGACCGGATGGGAATGAGGCCCGTTTTTCTCATGGCCTAGGTTGGTTATTGTCTAAAAATTTTCTGTCTTGCTAGGCTGCCCTGTTCCTGCTGTCCTAAGAGAGCAGCCTTTACTTGGGACTCTTTTTTTTTTAATCCAATAATTGTCCGCAGCCATTGGTGTTTCTGGCTTGCAGCCCAGTCCAGGATATCTGAGCCAAAAATAAAACTCAAGAAAGCCACCACCATGTTGTTCCTCAGATCCCAAGGCCCCTAGCCAGTGTGCCTTCTTATCTCTACCTTTGAGAATCTTTTTGCTTGCCTTATATGTAATATCCTCTATTTTTAGCTGTACTTAGCAGGCAGAATAGGGAGAGGCACGTCTACTCCATCTTGTCCAGAACCAGACATTATACCACTGTAGAGTTGGGGTTCACATCTCCTAGTGAACAGTAATGCCAATCCAGATGGGACTATTTGATATTGGTAGATTATTTCCAGGTGAACTCATTTTCTTTATTTAATTGAAAGGTGTCGCCCAGTTAAGGTTGTATGGCTGCTCTTGCAGTGTTACTGGAAAGAATTTCCTGACACATGAAAACATCTTTTCCTAATCCTAATCAGATCTCATCAGATCCCATTTAATAAATGGCTAGCAATTTACTCTAAGGGTACTAGTGTTGAAAAGCAGAGATGTGGCCAGGCACGGTGGCTCACACCTGTAATCTCAGCACTTTGGGACGCCAAGGCAGGTGGATCACCTTAGGTCAGGAGTTCGAGACCAGCCTGGCCAACATGGTGAAACCCCATCTTTACTAAAAATACAAAACTTAGCTGGGTGTGGTGGCTGGCACCTGTAATCACAACTACTTGGGAGGCGGAGGCAGAAGAATTGCTTGAACCTGGGAGGCAGAGGTTGCAGTGAGCCAAGATCGTGCCACTGGGCGACAAAATGAGACTCTGTCTCAAACATAAATAAATAAATAAATAAATAAATAAATAAATAAATAAATAAAATGAAGCAGAGATGTAACTAAAAGACAAGGGAAAGAAGCAGAAAAGGAGCAAAACAAACCCTAAAGACTAGAAGAATACACTAAAATGATCATACAATCCATACATAACCGAGGGCAGATATCAACTACTCAACATCTTCCTTGTTTATGCCGCTAATTCCAAGCTTATTGTTTCTCTACATTTTGGAACATGTGACATATCACATAACATGCAAGAGAAACACCTAATCATTTTATTGGATTTGTAATGGCCTTCACAATCGGTTCCTTTTTCACTTCATTTCATGCTCCCTCCCTGGGCTTTTAAACGGTACTGCCATATTCCTTCTTTCTTCTGTGCATTTATTTGCTCAAGGTATTTCTTTGGCCAGAAACGCCCTCCTTTCCCTACCCACCCCAATTCACCTTGTGTAGTTCCACTCTTTAAAATTGTAAAACAAACTTCTTTTCCTTTGAGACTACTTCTGTCAGATCTGTATGTACATATACCAAGCATGCCTCCTCCAGGAAGCTGTGAGTTCCTAGAACACCAGGACCGTTACTCCCAGTACTTTCTAGAGTAACTGGTACATATCAGATTCTCCGTGTGCTTAGTGGATCAATAGCCCCCTTTCCTTCATCCGCTTTCCTTTCTCATTGTCTTCCCTTCTGGAATCAGAAACTTTGTTCCATCTTCTTTGCTAGTTTTGGTACCTACCAACCTTCTTCCTTATCATTCATTCACTCCATTTATTCAGTAAATATTTACCAGGCTGAGTTTGCTATTTTGTATGTCATCAGTGACCTGCTAATTGTTAAATCCAGTGACCTTTTCTCATTCACCATACCTTCCTTTTTCTGCAGCAGGAAACTGATGCCATCCATGCTTGGTGAAAGTCATCCCTATCTACTGTACTGTACTTTTTTGATTATAGTAAAATTGGCTAGCAGAAATAAGAATATTGTTACAAAGTAGAACATTGAAAATTCCCCAGTTGTGACATTTGTTTATCTACTTCACAAATTTTGTTTGCCTTTTTTTTTTTTGGAGATGGAGTCATTTTGTTTGCCTTTTTTTTTTTTTTTTTTTTGGAGATGGAGTCTTGTTCTGTCTCCCAGGCTGGAGTGCAATGGCACAATCTTGGCTCACTGCAACCTCTGCCTCCCAGGTTCAAGTGATTCTCCTGCCTCAGCCTCCTAAGTAACTGGGACTACAGGTGCCTGACACCATGCCCAGCTATTTTTTGTATTTTTAGTAGAGATGGGGTTTTACCATGTTTGGCAGGCTGGTCTTGAACTCATGACCTCAAATGATCCACCTGCCTCGGCCTCACAAAGTGCTGGAATTTTAGGTGTAAGCCACTGCACCCAGCTCACTTCACAAATTTAAAATACCCTCTGGCTGGTGTGGTGGCTCACATCTGTAATCCCAGCACTTTGGGAGGTGGAGGTGGGAGGGTCACTTGAGGCCAGGAGTTTGAGACTAGCCTGGGCAATGTAATGAAACCCCATCTCTACAAAAATTAGCCAGATGTGGTGGCGTGTGCCCATGTAGTCCCAACTACTTGCGAGGCTGAGGCAAGAGGATCGCTTGAGCCTGGGAGACAGTGGTTGCAGTGAGCAGAGATTGTGCCACCGCACCCCAGCCTGGGGAACAGAGCCAGACCTTGTCTAAATAAAATAAAATAACAAAACATACCATCTGATTCATGATACCACATAATCCAAAATGTAAAGTGATTCTTTTAAAAAAAACCCACAACCATCGGGCGCGGTGGCTTACGCCTGTAATCCCAGCACTTTGGGAGGCCGAGGTGGGCGGATCATGAGGTCAGAAGTTCGAGACCAGCCTGGCCAATATGGTGAATCCCCATCTCTACTATAAATACAAAAATTAACCAGGCGTGGTGGCGCGTGCCTGTAGTCCCAGCTATTCAGGAGGCTGAGGCAGGAGAATCGCTTGAACCCGTGAGGCGGAGGTTGCAGTGAGCCGAGATCGCGCCACTGCACTCTAGCCAGGGCAACAGAGTGAGACGCTGTCTCAAAAAAAAAAAAAAAAAAAACCACAACATTCTAGAGGGATCCCAGACATCAGTTGAATATTTACATTTACATGACCTTTAAAGATCCCGCATTAAATTTGTAAGATTTTCACAACATGATATAGCCTCTGGAGAGTGTCTTATGATCTGTATCACCCTATTCATACCTGGAATACTTTGTGGTCGTTGGCAGTGCAGTGATATTGTCATTGTCATATTCTATGCCACATGCGAATCATTTCTTAATTGTAGTGAAATATTTTTGAAAATGGATGATTTATTTAAATATCCTTCTGAGTTTTGTCATGTAGATATTATGTCAGAGTCTAGAGAGTGGAGCTTCTGCATTTGATAAGAGGCAGGCTACTTAGTGGCTAGGATAGTAAGTATGACTTTCAGTGGCAAAGACCGCAATTACTTTTGCACCAACATAATAGAAGGGTGCAGAAAGCTCAATGACCTTGGCTTTGAGCAGCGGAAAGACAAATCCCACTCACATTCAGGTAAATGAGCCTGCATGTTTTAGTTTCAGGGTTGAGCTAGAGGGACAAGGAGATGACCACAGTTGCCTACAGGGGAGGGTGGGCCTCTGTGCTTTGGAGGGGGTGGCTGGGAGAAGGTGGTACAGTCAGCTGTTTCTGGGCTTTCAGCCTAGCAGCTTAAATGTAACCTTGGTCCTATCAGTCTGGAAATTAATTAGACCATGACAATCCAAGAAGCTTTGATAATTTTAGTGCAGAAACACTGAAATTCCCTCCACATATTGGCAACATCCTAGTACAGCGGGTCACAGGCCAGTGGAAGCTGAGTGATAAGTGATATATATGGCTTGCAGAATCCACATAGCAGTGTTTCAAAACTTCATTCTTCCTGTAAAATTTTTTTAAATTTTTTTATTTTTTGAGACAGAGTCTTACTCTGTCACCCAGATTGGAGTGCAGTGGCGCGATCTCAGCTCGCTGCAACCTCCATCTCCCGGGTTCAAGCAATTCTCCTACCTCAGCCTCCTGAGTAGCTGGGATTACAAGCGCACGCCACCACGCCCGGCTACTTTTGTATTTTTAATAGAGACAGGGTTTCACCATGTTGGCTAGTCTGGTCTTGAACTCCTGACCTCAAGTGATCCACCCGCCTTGGCCTCTCAAATTGCTGGGATCACAGGCATGAGCACTGCACCTGGCCAATTATTTTTTTTTTCAATAGACTTTATGTTTTACAGAAGTTTTTGATTTACAGAAAAATTGAGACTGTATTATGGAGAGTTCCCATATACCCTAGATTTGTCCTATTAGCATCTTACGTTGGTGTGGTACGTGTGTTACAATTCGTGAGCCAATATTGATTTGTGATTGTTAACTGAAGTCCACAGTTTATTTAGATTTCCTTAGGTTTTACCTAATGTCCTTTTTCTGTTCTAGGATCCCATTACATTTAGTTGTCAATTCTCTTTAGGCTCCTCTTGGCGTGGCAGTTCTCAGACTTTCCTTATTTTTGATGACCTTGATAGCTTTGAGGGGTACTCGAGGGATTTTGTGGAATGCCCTATTATTGAAATTTGTCTGATGTTTTTCTCATGAGACTTGGGTTATGAATTTTTAGGAGGAAGATCACTGAGGTGAAGTGCCATTTTCATCACATCATGTCAAGGGCACGCACCTACTGCCAGCATGGCTTATGACTAACAATGCTGACCTCGATCCTCCAACTGAGGCAGTATTTGTCAGGTTTCTCCACTGTCAAATTACTGCATCTGCTCCTGCTTTTCATACTGTGCTCTTTGGGAGGAAATCACCGTGTGTGGTCCATATCCAAGGGGCGTAGTGTTAGGCTCCCCGTCCTTGAGGGCAGAGTATCTATGTAAGTTATTTGGAATTCTTCCACACCGAAGGTTTGTCCCTTCTCCCTCATTTATTAACGTATTCAGTCATATATCTGTATCACCATCTCTGTCTTTCCATCCTTCTGTGCATCCATCCATCCGTCATCTGTCTATCCATCCATTCGTCCATCCATCCATCCATTCATCATCTGTATGTCCATCAGTCATCTGTCATCTGTTTGTCTGTCGTCTGTCCGTCCATCCATCCATCCATCCGTCCATCATCTGTCTGTGTCTATCTGTCCAGCTAATCTCTGTCTATTCATCCATCTATCAATCCATCCATCCACCTTCTATCATCTATCTATCCATCTGTCCATCCATCTATCCATCTGTCCATCCATCTATCCAACCATCCATCCATCCATCCATCCATCATCTGTCTGTCTGTCTTTCTGTGTCTGCCTGCCTGCCTGTCTGTCTATGTGTCTATATCAGTGTGAATGCATGAATATTTATTTTTTACCTAGGGTTATAATCCAGTACTACCTTATTTCTTTTGTTGCTCAAATTGTCCCAGCTTTGGCCATTCGGATCTCTTTCAGTTGGCTCCTGTGTTACTTTGCCATACCCCCATCAACATTGTGTGTGTGTGTGTGTGTGTGTGTGTGTGTGTGTGTGTGTTTTGAGCACTTTCTTTCTGGCACTACAAGATTCTCCAGGATTATCTCACACACAGATGGTCCCAACTTACAGTGGTTCAACTTGCAGTCTTTTGACTTTATGATAGTGTGAAAGCGATACAAATTCAGTGGAAACTGTACGTATGCTGCCATGCTGGGCACTGGCAGTAAGCCGCAGCTCTCAGTCAGCCACGTGTTTTTGACTTATTATGGGTTTATCAGGACATAACCCCATTGTAAGTTGAGGAGCATCTGTATTTTCTGCCTCAGCCATGGTTTATTGGAGAATGGTGTTAGAAATCAAGCTCTGGGGAAGGTATGCTCATTGTTGGGCTGTCTTTTTAGGCCTTCTCAGCTGACAGAGCAGAGAAATACATGTGTGTATCCACATTTCTATATTTCTGTCTATACCTATATTCAAGTGAACACACTGATGTCTCTAATCCATCTCCCCATGGGTCATTCTAGCCTCCTCCCCTTGCTCATCTGTAAATTCCCAACCCAACAGTGAGAGACCTGGCTCCCACCCTCAGCCATCCATTTACTTCACTATTCGACTGCAGTGTATATAGCGGCGTTGGAGTTGTTAACCCTGGAGCACAGCGCTATGTGCAGTTCCTTTTGCCTCTAGTCTTGCAGACTCCACCCGTTTCCAAAATGACTTAGGTCAGCGTCTTTCCCCCTCTATGCCCTTCAGCGAGATTATTTCATACATTTGTAATAGAATTCCATTCTCTTATCACAGTCTTCACTCCTTCCTGGGATCTCCTAACTTCTGCATTTAAAAAAATTTGCATACATTAAGATTCAGCATTTCAGCTATAAAATGCTATAGATTTTGACAAGTGCATAATGTCATACATTTACCATGACAGTATCACTTAGAATAATTTTCTGCCCTAAAAATGCCCCTGCACTTCCTCTTTTCGTCCCTCCCGCCAAACTTGGAACTGCTGGCAGCCACTGATTATTGTTCTATATTTATAGTTGTGCCTCTTCCAAGGGTCATATAATGGGAAGTATATACTATGTAGTTTTATCAAACTGGCTTCTTTCTTTTTTTTTTAACCTTTTTTTTTTTTAACTTAGCAATATGCATTTAAGATTCTTTCGTGCATTTTCCTGGCTTGATAGCTCATTTTTTTTTTTTATTGGCAAATAAAACTCCCATTGTGTGGATGTACCACAGTTGGTTTATTCATTCACCTATTGAAGGACATCTTGGTTGCTTCCAGTTTGGGACAATTATGAACAAAGCTGCTATAAACATTAATGCACAGGTTTTTGTGTGAATATGTTTTCAAATTAGTTGGGTAAATATCTAAATGCAATTGCTGGATCATATGGTAGGATTATGTTAAGTGTTGTAAAAAACTGTCTTCCAAAGTAGCTGTGCCATTTTGCATTCCCACCATTGATGAATGGCTGTTCCTGTTGCTATACATCCTTGCCAGAATTTGGTGTATATCACGGTTTTTTTGTTTTTTTTTGTTTTTTTTGAGGTTTAGCTATTCTAATAGATTTGTAGTGGCATATTGCTGTTGCTTTAATTTGAAATTTTCTGATGACAAATAATGATGAGCATCTTTTCATATGCTTATTTGCCATCTGTGTATTTTGTATTATGATGTGTCTGCTCAGATCTTGTGCCCATTTTTTAATTAGGTTGGTTTATTTTTATTTATTTATTTTTTTATGTTTTGAGACAGAGTTTTGCTCTTGTTGCCCAAGCTGGAGTGCAATGGCGAGATCTCAGCTCACTGCAACCTCTGCCCCCCAGGTTCAAACGATTCTTCTGCCTCAGCCTCCCAAGTAGCTGGGATTACAGGTGCCACCACACCCAGCTAATTTTTTGTATTTTTAGTAGAAACAGGGCTTCACGATGTTAGCCAGGCTAGTCTCGAACTCCTGACCTCAGGTGATTCGCCCTCCTCAGCCTCCAAAGTGCTGGGATTACAGGTATGAGCCACCACGCCCGGCCCTTTTTTTTTTTAAGAGACAAGGTCTCACTCTGTCGCCCAGGCTGGAGTGCCATGACACAGTCATGGCTCACTGCAGCCTCTAATTCCTGGGCTAAGGGGATCCTCCCACCTCACTCTCTTAAGTAGCTGGGACTACAGGTTCATGCCACTGTGCCTGGCTTATTTTTAGTTGAGACGGGGTTTCATTTTGTTGCCTAGGCTGGTAGTTGGTTATTTTCTTATGGCTGAGTTTAAGAGTTCTTTATATATTTTGGATGCAAATTGTTTAGCAGATATGTATTTTGAAAATATTTTCTCTTAGTCTGTGGTTTGACTCTTCATTCTCTTAATTATGCCCTTCTCAGAGCAAATGTTTTCAATTTTAATAAAGTCCAACTGACTAATTTTTTGTCATGGATCCTACTTTTGATGGTGTATCTAAAAATTCATTGTGACATTCAAGGTCACCTAGATTTCCTCCCATGCTATTTTCTAGAAGTTTTATGTTTTATGGTTAAGTCTGTGATCCATTTTGAAAGAGATAAGTTAGATCTGTATCTAGATTTATCTTTCTTGCATGTGGACATCCAATTGTTAAAGTACCATTTGTTGAAAAGGTTATCATTTCTTCATTAAATTACCTTTGCTCCTTTGTCAAAGATGAGTTGACTGTATTTGTGTGAATCTATTTCTGGCCTTTCTATTCCACTGCATTGATCTATGTGTCTGTTCTTTCCCCAATACCATGCAGTCTTGATTTCTGTAACTTTATAGTAAGTTTTGAAGCTGAGTAGTGTCACTCTTCTAACTTGTTCTTCTTCACTATTATGTTGGCTATTCTAGATCCTTTCCCTTTCCATATAAACCTCAGAATCAGTTTGTCAATGTCTACAAAATCACTCTCTAGGATTTTGATTGGGATTGCCCTGAATCTACAAACCCATTTGGGAAAAACTGACAGCTATATTGAGTCTTCTAATCCGTGAACATGGAATATCCTCCCATTTACTGAAATATGCCTGATTTTTTTTAATCAGACTTTGTTTTCTACATATATATATCCTGTATATGTTTTGTTAGATTTATATTTCAATTTTTGATGCTAATGTAAACATGATTGTTTGGAATTTCAAATTCCAGTTGTTCCTTGCTAGTATATAGGAAAGCAATTAATTTTATATATATATTAACTTTGTGTCTTACAACCTTGCTATAATCACTTGTTAGTTCCTAGAGGGCTTTGTTTTTCATTGATTCTTTGGGATCTTCTACATGTATAATCATGTCATCTGTACACAGAGAGTTTTATTTCTTCCTTCCTAATCTGTATATCTTTTATTTCCTTTTCTTGTCTTATTGTATTAGCTAGGACTTCCAGTATAATCTTGAATAGGAATGGTGAGAGGGGACATCCTTGCCTTATTAAGATCTTAATGGGGGAATATCTAGCTTCTCACCATTAAGTATGATGTTAGCAGAAGGCTTTTTGGTATATATTATTTATTAGGTTGAGAAAGTTCCCTTCTGTTTCTAGTTTGCTGAGGGTTTTTAATCATAAATCAGTTACAATTTTGTCAAATTGATTTTCTTCAACTATTGATAAGATCATGTGATTTTTTTTTTTCTTTAGCCTATTGATATGACAGATTACATTAATTGATTTTTGAATGTTGAACCAGTCTTCCCTACCTGGAATAAGTCCCACTTGGTCATGGCATATAATTCTTTTGATACATTGTTAGATTTGATTTGCTAACATTTTATTGATTTTACATCTGTGTTTATGGCAATTATTGTTCTGTGGTTTTCCTTTCTTGTAGTATCTTTATCTCATTTTGGTATCAGGGTAATGCCAGTCTCATAGAATGGGTTAGGAAGTGTTTCCTCTGCTTCTATTTTCATGAAGGTACTGCAGAGAATGGATGTTATTCCTTTCTTAAATGTTTGGTAGGATTCACCAGTGAACCCACCTAGGACAAGGAACTAGGAAACTATCAGGCCACTCCTCACCTCCACCTGTCTGTCTGTCTTCCTCCACCTGTTTATCCCTTCCTCCTTCCTCTCTGGGCTCTTTTTGCATTTTAATTTTTCAAATCACCTGCTGTAGACCCACATTAGCTCAAGCACCCACCCCCACTTGACGCAGTCACAAGTCCCAAATTCTCAAGACAAAATTAACCTAGGTTAACTCTTAACAGCCCCTTCCCTTTGATCCAGTTGAGTAGCCCACTCTTACTTGTAATAACTCCTCAGGCTATTAAACTTACTAAAGCCATTACTGGACAAAATGAATTTTTCTTCATGTTTCTTCCAGTTCATTTACTTTTTAAAAGTTCTTCTGCATAAACCTGCTTTTCAGCCTCATTGAGAGCTCTGGCCTCAAGACACCTCCACTCTTCCTGTCACCTCTCCCTTTTCTGTACAACTTTTCCTGCATATTTTGGATTTTGTTGTGTAATATTTTACTTGGTATGTGTATTAGTCAGGGTTCTGTTAGAGGGATAGAACTAATAGGGGAGTTTATTAAGTACTAACTTACACGATCACAAGGTCCCACAATAAGCTGTCTGCAAGCTGAGGAGCAAGGAGAGCCAGTATGAGTCCCAAACCTGAAGAACTTGGAGTCCGATGTTCGAGGGCAGGAAGCATCCAGCATGGGAGAGAGATGTAGGCTGGGAGGCTAGGCCCGTCTCTCCTTTTCATGTTTTTCTGCCTGCTTTATATTCACTGGAAACTGATTAAATTGTGCCCACCACATTAAGGGTGGGTCTGCCTTCCCCAGCCCACTGACTCAAATGTTAATCTCTTTTGGCAACACCCATACAGACACACCCAGGATTAATACTTTGTGTCCTTCAGTACAATCAAAGTTGACACTCAATATTAACCATCATGTTCGAATCTGTCCTCATGAGATTAATCTGTTCTTTTTCCTTTCTGTACTGTCCTTATCTACCTTGGACTTAAGGTAATATTCAGCTCATAATAGGAGATAGGGAGTGTTTTCTTTCTTTTCCCTGAAGTTGCTTGTTCTTTGAAGTCATCTAGGGCTGCTGCCTTCTATAGATAATTTTTTTCTTTAATGGATATAATATGATGCAAGTTTTTCTCCTTGAATCATTTTTTGTAATGTGTATTTTTCTAGAATATTGTGCATTTCATCTAAGTTCTCAAAATCTTGGCAAAAGTTACTTACGATTTTCTCTAAGATAAAAAATTTCAAATCTGTAATCCTATCATTGTCACTATTGGTCTCATCTCATCTTTTCTTAATTGTCTTGCCCAGAGGTGTGTCTAGTTCAGCCGAGATCGGGTGCGTTCAGGGTGGTACCGCCATAGACGAGGTGTGTCTATTTCAGTGTGTTTACAAAGAACCAGCATTTGGAATTTTTGCTTATTTCTCTTGTTTGCTATTTCACTAGAATGCTGTTTATTTTTATTGTTTCTTTCCTTCCTACTTTCTCTGAAATGACTCTGTTATTTTTCTATCTTGAGTTGATTACGTTGCTCATAATATTTTACTCTACCTCTTTTTTTCTCTAAGCTAACATGGGCATTTGGGGCCATAACTTTCCCTTTAGGTACTACTTTAGCTGCATCCCACAAATTTTGCCCTATAGAACTTTTCTTGTCATTGAGATCTAAGTTTGTTACAATTTCCATCATGATTTCTTATTCAATCTATGAATTATTTAGTAGTATTTTTTAATCTGTCATATGAATATTTTTCATTATTTTGATTTGAATTTTATTGCATTTTATTCATATGTAGTGGTCTGCCTTATATTTATCTGGAGTATTTTTTGAGACTGGTTATGTGGCTTGGTGTGCAGATAATTTTATCAATACTCTGAGTTCTTATTGTAGTTTTGACTTATATTTGCCTAATAAGTGATGCTGAGCACTTTTTTTTCTGTGCTTATTGTCCATTTCTATATCTTCTTTGGAAAAGAATTGGGATTTTGTTGTTGTTGTTGTTGAGTTTTAGGCATTCTCTATATATTTTGGGTAGTATCCCTTACCAGATACATCATTTGCAATTTTTTTCCCCATTTTCTGAGTTGCCTTTTTACTCTGTTGATACTGCCTTTTGATGCATGCCTTTTAAATTTTTTCATAAAGTCCAGTTTGTCTATTCTTTCTTTTCTTGCCTATTCTCTATACCCACGAAATCACTGCTATATTCAATGTCATGAAGCTTTTGCCATATGTTTCCTTCTAAGAGTCTTATAGTTTTAAGTCTTATGTTTAGGTCTTTGATCCATTTTGAGTTAATTTTTGCATGTGGTGTTAGATAAGGGTCCAGCCTCATTGCTTTGCATGTAGTGTTTTTCCAACACCATTTGTTAAGGATGCTGTCCTTTCCCCATTGAGTAGTCTTGGCACCCTTGTCAAAGATAATTTGACTATATTTGTTAGGGTTTATTTCTGGGCTCTCTATTCCATTGTTCTACATGTCTGTCTTTATGCCAGTATCACACTGTTTTGATTATTATAGCTTTGTTGTAAGTTTTGAAATCAGGGAGTGTGAGTCCTCCAGTTTTGTGTTTTTTCTCAAGATTGTTTTGGCTATTAAGGGTCCCATGAGAATCCATATGAATTTTAGGATAGATTTCTATTTCTACAAAAAATGTTTTTGTTATTTTGATAGATATTGTATTGGATATGTAGATAACTTTGGGTAGTGTTGATGTCTTTTTTTTTTTTTTTTTTTTTTTTTTTGAGACAGAGTTTTTCACTCTTGTCACCCAGGCTGGAGTGCAATGATGTGATCTTGGCTCACTGCAACCTCTGCCTCCCGGGTTCAAGTGATTCTCCTTCCTCAGCCTCCCAAGTAGCTGGGATTACAGGCACCTGCCACCATGCCCGTCTAATTTTTGTGTTTTTAGTAGAGATGGGATTTCACCATGTTGGCCAGGCTGGTCTCGAACTCCTGACCTTAGGTGATCTCCCTGCCTTGGCCTCCCAAAATGCTGGGATTACAGGTGTGAGCCACCATGCCCGGCCAGTGTTGACATCTTAATATTAAATCTTTCAATCCATGAACATGGGATGTATTTCTATTTATTTATGTGTTCTTTACTTTCAGTAATATTTTATACTTTTCATTGTACAAGTCTTTCATCTCTTTGGTTAAATTTAATTTGAAGTATTTTATTATTTTTGATGCTATTGTATTTTTAATTTTGTTTTATTTATATTTATTTATTTTTTTTTTTTGAGATGGAGTCTCGCCCTGTTGCTCAGGCTCTAGTGCAGTGGCATGGTCTCAACTTGGTGCTACTTCCACCTCTGAGACTCAAGAGATCCTCCCACCTCAGCCTCCTGAGTAGCTGGGACTACAAGTGCATGCCATCACAACTGGCTAATTTTTGTATTTTTTTAGAGACAGGGTTTTACCATGTTGACCAGACTTACCTCAAACTCCTGAGCTCAAGCAATCTGCCCACCTCGGCCTTCCAAAGTGTTGGGATTACAGGCATGAGCCACCACTCACTATGGTGGCTATTGTTTATGAACCTGTTTTTGTTTTTGTTTTTTCTTTTCAGATTGTTCATTATTAGTATGTGGAAATGCAGCTGATTTTTGCATGTTAACTTTGTATCCTGCCACTTTGCTGAATTCCTTTATTAGTTTAAACAGTTTTTTGGTTGAATCTTTATAATTTTCTACATATAACATCATATCATTTAAAAACAAAAATTGTTTTACTTTTTCCTCTCCAATTTGGATACCTTGTATTTCTTCTTCTTACCTAATTGCTGTGATGAGAACTTCCATTATTATTTTGAACGAAAGTAGTGAAGATGGTCATCCTTGCCTTGCTCTATTTTAGAGGAAAAGCTTTCAGTGTTTTACTATTGAGTATGATATTCACTGTAGGTTTTTTCATATGTGGCTTTTATTATGTTAAGATAGTTTCCAGCTATTCCTTCTTTGTCGAGTGTTTTTATCATGAAAAACGCGAAAGGGTGTTGTTTTGTCAGATGCCTTTCCTGCATTAATTGAGATGATCATGTGGTTTTTGTCCTTCATTCTATTAATGTGGTATATTACATGGATCCATCCTTGCATTCCAGGGTTAAATCCCACTTGTCCAGGGCATATAATTCTTTTAATATGCTGCTGAATTTGGCTTGCTGGTGTTTTGAGGATTTTTGTGTCAGTATTCAAAAGTGATATTCATATACAGTTTTCTTCCAGTACGATCTTTGTCTGGCTTTGGTATCAGGATAATGCTGACCTCACTGAATGAGTTGAAAGTATTCCCTCCTCTTCAGTGTTTTGGAAAAGTTTGAGAAAGATTGGTGTTAGTTCTCTTTTAAATGTTTTGTAGAATTCACAAGTGAAGCCATCAGGTCCAGGGCTATTCTTCGTAGGGAGATCTTAAATTACTGATTTAATCTCCGTAATAGTTATAAGTCCAATCAGATTTTCTATTTCTTTGTGACTTAGTCTTGGTAGATTTCATGTTTCTAGGAATTTGTCTGTTTCATCTAGGTTATCCATTTGTTGGCGTACCATTGTTTATAGTACACTCTTACAGTTTTTTTTTTTAAATGCAGAATTGGTAGCAAAATCATTTCTGATTTTGGTAATTCGAGTCTTATTTCTCTCCTTTTAAAAATTCATCCAGCTAAAGGTTTGTCAATTTTGTTGATCTTTTAAAAGAACCAGCTTTGGGTTTTGTGGGTTTTTTTTTTTTTTTTCTATTCTCTATTTTGTTAATCTCTGCTCTAATCTTTATTATTTCCTTCTGCTAGCTTTTGGTTCAGTTTGTCCTGTTTTTAGTTCCTGAAGTTTTGAAGTTAGGTTGTTGATTTGAGGTCTCCTTTTTTAAAAATCAGTGTTTATAGCTATAAGTTCTTACCTTAGCATTGCTTTCACTGTGTCCCATACGTTTTGATATGTGGTGGTTTCATTTTCATTAGTCTGTAAGCATTTTCTAATTTCCCTTGTGATTTCTTCTGTGATCCATTGGTAATATTTAGGGGTGTGTTGCTTAATCTCTACAAATTTGTGAATTTTTTAGTTTCATTCATTTATTGATTTTTTTTTTTTTTTTTTTTGAGATGGAGTCTGGCTCTGTCACCCAGGCTGGAGTGCAGTGGCGCGATCTCAGCTCACTGCAAGCTCCGCCTCCCGGGTTCATGCCATTCTCCTGCCTCAGCCTCCCGAGTAGCTGGGACTACAGGCGCCTGCCACCATGCCTGGCTAATTTTTTGTATTTTTAGTAAAGATGGGGTTTCACCGTGTTAGCCAGGATAGTCTCGATCTCCTGACCTCGTGATCCGCCTGCCTTGGCCTCCCAAAGTGCTGGGATTACAGGCCTAAGCCACCACGCCTGGCCTCATTTATTGATTTTTAACTTCATCCCATTGTTCTTGGAGAATATGCTTTGTATGATATCTATGTTGTTGAATCTAGGCCTAATTGGTAGCCTAACTTACCGCCTTTCCTGGAAAATGTCCCATGTGTACTTGGGAAGGATGTGTATTCTGTTGTTGTTAGGTACAGTGTTCTGTGTGCCTGTTAAATCAAGTTGGCTTATCGTGCCCTTCAAGTGCTTTATTTTCTTTCTTTCTTTTTCTTTTTTTTTTTTGAGACGGAGTTTTGCTCTTGTTGCCCAGGCTGGAGTGCAATGGCGCGATCTCGGCTTGCCACAACCTCCACCTCCCAGGTTCAAGCGATTCTTCTGCCTCAGCCCCCCGAGTAGCTGGGATTACAGGCATGTGCCACCATGCCCAGCTAATTTTGTATTTTTAGTAGAGATGGGGTTGGTCAGGCTGGTCTTGAACTCGGGACCTCAGGTGATCCACCTGCCTTGGCCTCCCAAAGTGCTGGGTTTACAGGTGTGAGCCACCGCGCCCGTCCAAGTGCTTTATTTTCTTGCTTATCTTTCTCTGGTTGTTGTATCTATGAATGAGAATGAGGTATTGAAGTCTCTGAGTATTGTTGTAGAATTGTCATTTCTCCTTTCAATTATATCAATATCTGCTTTGTATATGTTGATTATCTGTTATGAGCTGCCTAAATGTTTATAATAGTTATATGTTCTTGCTCTGTTGAACCTTTTATCAATATGTAATATTTTTCTTTGTTTCATAACCTTTTTAATTCAAAGTCTTATTTTCTTTGATATTAGTAGAGCCGCTCCTGCTGTCTTTGGGTTACTCTTTGCATGGAATACCTTTTTCCATCCTTTCCCTTTCAATCCACTTGTATCTTTGGGTTCAAAGCGAATCTATTGTAGATAGCATAGAATGGGATCATATCTTTTTGTTTATTCTACCAATCTGTGTCTTTGGATGGGAGGGTTTAATTAATATTCATCGAAAATAATGACCGATATGGAGGGATTTACTTCTGTCATTTTGTTATTTCTCATATGCCTTACAGCTTTTTTGTCTCATTTTCTGAATATTGTCTTCTTTGTGTTGAGTTGATTCTTTGCAGTGAAACATTTAAATTACCTTTTCATTTCCTTTTGTGTAGATGCTGTAGCTATTCTCCTTGTGCTTACAATGGACATCGCATTTAACATTCTAAAGTTTTAATACTCTAATTTTAATTTATACCAGCTTAACTTCAACAGCATACAAAACTATGTTCCTTTACAGCTCTGTTCCCACCCATTTCAGTTGTTGATGTCACAGAATAACACCTTTTTGATACATTGTGTGCCCCAAAACATAAACTAATACTTGTCTTTTTTTTTTTTTTTAAACACATTAGTGTGTTAACATAGAAAACAAAACATAGAGGCTGGGTGTGGTGGCTGACGCCTGTAATCCCAGCACTTTGGGAGGCCGAGGTGGGCAGATCATCTGAGGTCAGGAGTTCAAGACCAGCCTGGCTAAATGGCAAACCCCCATCTCTACTAAAAATACAAAAATTGTCCAGGCATTGTGGTGGGCGCCTGTAATCCCAGATACTCGGGAGGCTGAGGCACGAGAATTGCTTGAACCTGGGAGGTGGAAGTTGCAGTGAGCTGAGATCGCACCACTACACTCCAGTCTGGGCAACAGAGCGAGACTCCATCTCAAAAAAATAAAAAGAAAAGAAAAAAATATAGAGTTACAAAACAAAGCTGTAACAATCAATTTTATATTTGCCCATATATTTACCTTTACTATGATCTTTACTTCTTCATGCAGCTTCAAATTACTGTCTAGTGCCCTTTCATTTCAACCTGCAGGACTCCATTTAGCATTTCTTACAGGGAAGATCTAGTAGATTGATGAACTCCCTCAGCTTTTGTTTATTTGGAAATGTCTTATTTCCTTCCTCGTGTTTTGCCAGTATAGGATTCCTGGTTGACATTTTTTTTCTTTCAGCACTTTAAACATTATTAGCTTTCTGAGCTCCAAAATGTCTGATTAGAAATCTTCTATGACCTTATTAAGTATACCCTGTGTGTGTGACAAGTCACTGCTCTCTTGCTGCTTTCAAGATTCTCTGTCTTTGACTTTTGACAGTTTGATTATAATGTGTCTTGGTGTGTGTCTTTTTTAGTTCATTATCCTTGGAGTTCCTTGAACTTCTTCAATGTTTATATTTATGTCTTTCATTAAATTTAGGGAAAATTTTGACCATTATTTCTTCAAGCATTCTCTCTGTCGTCTTCTGTCTCTCTCCTTCTGAGATTGCCACGTGCAAATGTCAGTTCACTTGATGGTGTTCATGGTCCCTTAATCTCTGTTCGCTTTTTTTCTTTTTTTTTTTTTTTTTTTGCTATTCGGACGTGATCATTTCCATTGTCCTGTTTTCAGGTTCACTAATCCTTCTGCCTGTAGAAATATGCCTTTGAATTCTTCTAATGAATTTTTCATTTCAGTTATTACACTTTTTAGTTCCAGAATTTCTTTTTGGTTTCTTTTTAGGTTTTCTATGCCTATTGATATTTCTATTTTGTTCATATGTCCTTTTCTTGACTTTTCCCACATATTCCTGTAGTTTTTAGAGCATCTTTAAGATCGCTGTTTTAAAGTCTGTTTCTAGTGGATCTGCCATCTACCCTTTCTCAGGGTGAGTTTCTGTTGGATTTGTAGTTTTCTTTTGGATGGACCGTATATCACTGTTTCTTTGTGTGCCTTGTGATTTTCTTGTTGAAAACTGGACATTTGTATCTTATCATGTGGCCACTGTGTGAATCAGATTCTTTGCCTCTCAGTGTTTTCTGGAGTTTTGTTTTGTTTTGTTTGATTATTGAAGGCTGTCTCTGTGCCAAGGATCAGCCCGAGGTATGAACTTAAAGTCTTTTCAGTTCTCTTTGAAGACTGTACCTTTCCCTGGGCATCCATGGTAACTATAATTTCCCTATAAATATGTTTATTTTTTAATGTCTTAGTCTTTAATGTACACCTCCCAAAGGTGGGAAAGAGAAAAGTGAAAGAGTAGGGATGGGGGAAGCACTGGCCCTTGAAGTCCCCAGGGAGTCACTTAAGCTAGACAGGGAGGGGCTTGGCACCCTGACTGGCTGCCTCTATTCCACCCTTCCATGACAAGAACACAGATCCTTAATATTTTGAAGACAGTGTTCTTATTGCCTATCCTGGCTCTTAGAAGCTGCATGCAAGCTGCTCCCATAACATGTACACAGCTGCCTGCCATGGGGCTGAGTCATCGGGGACTGGTAGCGGCTTTGGAGCTAAGAGCAGAGATTGACTGAAAATAACTGCAATTTACTGTCAAGCCTTCCCCTGAATGTTACAAGCCTTCAATAGACTCCAGAGTTCCAAAATAGTTACATCAGACAAATTCTGCCAGTGTAATTTTTGTCTGGGTGGGGTAAAGTATTCCTAGTGCTTTCTACTCCAGCATCTTCCCAGAATCCTCTACCTGGATATTTTTAAAATTTATACTTAGTTGGATTCTGAAGTAAATTAACTTTGCTATTCTCCTTCAGCACAACACAAGGACTTTCCTGTGCTTTTTCCTACAAGTTTCCTTTTAAACAAGTTGATACTTGTTTGTTTGTTTATTTATTTTTGAGACAGAGTTTCGCTCTGGTTGCCCAGGCTGGAGTGCAATGGCACGATCTCAGCTCACTGCAACCTCCGCCTCCCGGGTTCAAGTGATTGTCCTGCCTCAGCCTCCCAAGTAGCCGAGATTACAGGTGTACACCACCACACGTGGCTAATTTTGTATTTTTAGTAGAGATGGGGTTTCACCATGTTGGTCAGGCCGGTCTTGAACTCCTGATCTCAAGTGATCCGCCTGCCTTGGCCTCCCAAAATGCTGGGATTACAGGCATGAGCCACCATGCCCGGCCAATACTTGTTTAGATGTGTCCTCGTACATACCACTTTCTCAGTTCACCTTTGTTTCTGGCACTCCCAGCTGTTCCTGCTGGCACAGTTTCCTTCTTACTGAACTCAGTGGTAAACTTAGCCTTCTTTTTTCTCCCCAAAACATCTTTATTTCACTTTCTTGAATAATAGATCATCAGAGTAGAAACTCTAAATCGAGGTATTTCCTATTAGCACTTTGAAGATATTCCTCTATTGCCTTCCAACATAATTATTTCATTATCTTCTAGTGTCTTTCATCACCACGAAGAAAATGTCTGGTGTCATTCCTTAGTTTCGGAGTCTGCTGATAAATTCAGCAACCAGTAACATTTATTAAGGTTACCGTGGTGAGCACTATACATGCCATAACTCATTTAATCCTTACAAAAGTCTATTGGATCATAGATACTATTTTTTCTCATATTCCAAAGGAGGAAACTGAGGCTTAAATGAGTACAAGTCTAGCTGGGTGCAGTGGCTCATGCCTGTAATCCCAGCACTTTGAGAGGCTGAGGCGGGTGGATCACCTGAGGTCAGGGGTTCAAGACCAGTCTGGCCAACATGGCAAAACCCCATCTTTACTGAAAATATAAAAATTAGGTGGGCATGGTGGCACTTGCCTGTAATCCTAGCTACTTGGGAGGCTGAGGCTGGAAAATCACTTGAACCCAGGAGGCAGAGGTTGCAGTGAGCCGAGATTGCACCACTGTACTCCAGCCTGGATGACAGAGCAAGACTCCGTCTCAAAAAAAAAAAAAAAAAAAAAAAAGTAGAAGTCTTGTCCAAGGGCAAGTAGGACACGACTAGAATTCAATCCCAAGTGTTTCCAAATACAAAGCCTACTTTGAACAAGTACGTTGCACAGACAAGGTAGGGAAGGTGAAATGTCCTTTGGAAACAGGAGACAGAGTCCCTGTCCCAGCACAGCCAACAGCAGTCTCCTTGATCTCCATGATCATTAGCTCTGAGAGTCTGGCCATAATTAAGATCCTGTAGATAATTAGGCACTGATCACAGGGACCTCCTTTTTGGAGATAATAAAACTTGTAGTCTGTGAAGGGAGGGGAAGAAGAGCTATCACCACCCCCACACCCTCCCATCTTGGAATAAGAAGGGACTTGTGTATCTCCATTTAGGTTTTGCCAGTGTTCTCTTAGCAAAACCTAGTGACTGTGGTACATGTGGAACTCACCCTCATCAGAGGCCTGATTGCTCCCAGCAGCAGTTGCTTTTAGAGAAATATCAGAGGAAATTGGCATTTTGGTAACACTGCTCAGAGGATTTAGCTCCACTGGAGATTAAGGTTGAAACTTCAGAAAATGAGTTTCCAGATAAACTTTTAGAGTTGCACTTGGCTATGTCAAGAATGTAATCTTATGGTTATAGTTTTGTCTGTGAAAATGGTTCCACGGGCAACTGTTACCATGTGAATCCTACTTATTACCAGTAAACTCAGAAGAAGGTGGCAACAGCTCTCAGCATTCCACTATTGCAGGCAATCACAAGTCTGCCCTTGTGATCTCTGCCTCTTCTTACCCAAAGAAGAAACTACACAGTTGTAGCTACAACCAGCAAGAACAAATTTTGGTAAATCTGGGAAGTTCACAAGATACCACTGTAATGAAACCACCATTGCAAAATTATGACTGAGACAATGAAAGAGATCTCACCTAACCGACTGCATCTTGCTTCTAACCTCCAAGCTGTCCTTCTTCATTCTTGGGTATAGACTGAACTAACTTTGGGAGGAATTTAGTTTATAGTTTATAATTTAAAACAAAGATGATAATAGCCCTTCCCTAAAACAAACCTCCTTCTTGCTAGGGACCCGATGGCCTTTGTAGGACTAAGAAATTAGCCAAACGATTAGAAATTAGTGTTTAGGAGTCATGCAGCTGGAGGCTACAAGATTCTGACCCTCCCTAAACTGCCCCTAGGATGAGTGCTTGAGAAATTTTGCAGACCTTGCACTTGATGGATCAGCTGGCACCACCCAGCTCGATAAACTGGCTCATCTGATCTTGTGGCCACCACCCAGGAACTGACTCAGCTCAAGAGGACATCTTCAGTTCCCAGTGATGTCATCTCTGACCAATCAGCACTCCTGGCTCACTGGCTTCCCCCAACCCACCAAGTTGTCCTTAAAAACTCTGCTGCTTGAATGTTCAGGGACACCGATTTGAGTAATCATAAAACTCCAGTCTCCCGCACAGCTGGCTCTGTGTGAATTACTCTTTCTCCATTACAGTTCCCCTGTCTTGATTAATTGGCTCTGTCTAGGCAGTGGGCAAGGTGAACCCACTGGGTGGTTTCAGTAATACTCTTTTTTGTAGTCTAAAAATCACCCCTCAGTATTCCAAAATCACTTCTCCCTCAGACGACCCCTGGACTTCCTCTACTCCCACACAGTTAACATTAATTTTGAGTTGTGAGAAGGTCCGGTAGCCTCTCTTCTTTCATCAATACTTCCCCTGCTGTGTGGCTTGTAAGTATGATTGTATGTTTGGAAGACCCATTTAGAAAATAATAATTGACACTAAGATCACATAAAAGCCCTTGAGTGTAGAAATGAAAATAATATGAATGATTCGTTTTGCATTAGTGTTCTTTTTTATTTTTGTTTTATTCCGTTTTGTCTATTATATATGGCCTTTGAAATGCTGATTGTGCAGATAGATGAATTTTACCCAAACAAAGGGCTGACCTTTGCCCTCAGCTTCTGGGAGGTGACCTCCAAGCCCTTGGAATGTCCTGCCTGATAAGAGTACCTTTGTTTATTTGTAGGCCTTAGGCCACACCAGATATTCTATTATTATTATTATTTTTTTGAGATGGGCGTCTCACTCTGTCGCCCATGCTGGAATGCAGTGGCACGATCTCTGCTCACAGCAACCTCCGCCTCCCAGGTTCAATTGATTCTCCTGCCTCAGCCTCCTACGTAGCTGGGATTACAGGCATGCACCACCACACCCGGCTAATTTTTGTATTTTTAGTAGAGACGGAGTTTCACCATGTTGGCCAGGCTGGTCTCAAACTCCTGACCTCAGGTGATCCTCCCACCTCAGCTGCCCAAAGTGCTGGGATTACAGGCGTGAGCCACCAAACCCGGCCCCCACACCAGATATTCTCTGCCAACCAAATGGTTTCATATAGTTGGGGCTTTGGGCCATGCAGTTATTGGCTCAACCTCTGGAGGGGCTGGAAATTAAGGTCAGACATGTAGCAGTCAACTGTGTCTAGGTGACTGAGCTGCAGTAAAATCTTTGGACACCAAGACTCAGGTGCATTTCCAAGGTTGGCAGCACTCTGTGCATATCATCACACATCCCTGCTGGGAGAAGTTAGCTCTGTCTATAACCCCTCTGCGATAGGACAACCGGAAGCTCCAGGCATGGAATTCTCCTAGACTCGGTCCCACGTGCCTGTTCCCTCGGTTAGCGTTAATGTGTGTCCTTATGCTATAATAAAACATACATGAATATAACAGCTTTCAGAGAGTTCTGTGGGTCCTTCTAGTGAACTGTTAAATCTGGAGGTGGTCTTGCGGGCCGCTGAACTTTGCACTGGTGAATGTGTTTTCTAATCCTCGTTTCACAGTTTCTCATTCTTAACTGCAATGTGGGAGTAGCTCTGTTTTCTGGGGTGATTGTGACGGCTAAATGAAGTGAAGTATAAAAAGCATCTAGAATTGTGCCTTGCCTATAGCAGTGTATTAGTCTTTTCTCACGCTGCTGATAAAGACATACCTGAGATTGGGTAATTTATAAGAAAAAAGAGGTTTAATGGACTCACAGTTCACGTGGCTGGGGTGGCATCACAATCGTGGCGGAAGGTGAAAGTCACGTCTCACATGGAGGCAGACAAGAGAAGAGAACTTGTGCAGGGAAACCCCCCTTCGTAAAACCATCAGATCTTGTGAGATTTATTCACTATCTCAAGAACAGCACAGGAAAGGCCCTCCTCCATGATTCAATTACCTCCTACCTGGTCCCTCCCACAACACATGGGAATTGTGGGAACTACAATTCAAGATGAGATTTGGGTGGAAACACAGCCAAACCATATCAAGCAGTTTCTTAATAAAGGCTTTTTCCTAAAGGTTCTGACCATTTGCTTTTTAAATAAAGAATGGTATAGTGTTACGTGGAGGAATAGTCATACAAACCACCTCCAATGTTGATGCTAATAAATAGCTTGTGGGGTACTCTTTTTTCAGCTCATATATAAGATTTCCTTCTTATTTCAACTCTTGAATGTGTAGAACTATGAGACCTTTGTATGATTAGAACTTTTTTCAGTGACTCTGCAGTATTTGTAACAAAAGCTGGAACAACTTTCAGCAGAACCTGGTTTGAGACAGTGGCTGGGGGCCAGCCGAATGATACAAGTTTTTTCTTTGTGACATTTTGAGTTTGAGATGACTGGATTTCCCGTATAGATGAGTCTCTGGAGAAGTTACAAGGGAAACCGATGGGAAGTCAGTTCTTCATCTGCAACCTCTTGCCTGTAACTGTTAGGAACTAGTTCATGTAATGGGAGGAGAATGTACTTCACTGTGCCAGTTTTATTTTTTTGGTTATTATTTTCTGAGAAGGGATGGAAGCTTGTAAATAAAATCAAAGAAATCAAAGGCAGAGTACACTGACTTTAGAGGTCTGCATAAAAAGCTTTCGGCTCCCCTCGTTTGCCTAAGGCCTCTTGTGCTGTACTTGAGTAGAGAAATAATTAACAGATAGTAGGCTTTTCAGTGCACTCATTGTTTAGACTGAATGCCAAGAGAAGTTGAAGTACCTTAAGAATTTAGAATATAGGCCGGGTGCGGTGGCTCATGCCTGTAATCCTAGCACTTTGGGAGGCTGAGGCGGGCGGATCACCTGAGGTCAGGAGTTTGAGACCAGCCAGGCCAACGTAGCGAAACCCCATTTCTACTAAAATTGCAAAAATTAGCTGGGCCGTGGTGGGGCATGCCTGTAATCCCAGCTACTCAGGAGGCTGAGACAGGAGAATCTCTTGAACCTGGGAGGCAGAGGTTTCAGTGAGCCGAGATTGTGCCACTGCACTCTAGCCTGGGCAACAGAGTGAGACTCCATCTCAAAAAAAAAAAAATTGGAATATACACTGTTTTCTGTAAGTTTTAGATAAGTTAAACAAAGGGAGTTAACTTAGGGATATTGCACACAAATAAGGGGTAAAACAAAATCAAACAAACAAAAAAAACAATGCTCTGGCCAGGTGAGGTGGCTCACACATGTATTCCCAGCATTTTAAGAGGCTGAAATGGGAGAATTGCTTGAGTCCTGGAATTCAAGACCATCCTGGGCTGCATAGCAAGACTGTCTCTCTACAAAACGTTAAAACATTAGCTGGATATGGTGGCATGCACTGTAGTCCCAGCTCTTCCAGAGACTGAGGAGGGAGGATCCTTGAGCCGAAGAAGTTGAGGCTTCAGTGAGCTATGATTGCACCACTGCACTCCAGTCTGGGTGACAGAGGAAGACCCTGTCTCTAAAACAAAACAAAACAAAAAGCCTCTCTTTGCAGTTTCCTTGAGAAATATTTGAAAGACATGACTGTTAGTTCTGTCATTTTCCAGTTTGAAAGCTACCAGTCACATGGGATCATGTAATGGCCACGGTCTCTTTAACACCCTCCAATTTGAATCTTGGCCCTCTACTTCCTTAGGATATGGCCTAAGCACATCTATCACTTAGCTTTTTTTGGACTTTTGCTCTCATTCAAAAGATAGGAATGTGACTACAACATGTTTATTATGTGGATTACACAAGATACAGAACCAAACATAGCACCTAGTACCCAGTAGGACACTTCACAAGGATTTGTCACTACTGTTTGCCTGCCAGTCCTCTCCTTTCCTCTGCCCTACATTTTTTGGCTGAGGTTGTTGATGTGCTTTTTCCTTTCTTGGATACAGTCACCACTATTTTAAACCTTATTTTTAGTTTTGTCAAAATTCTACATGGACAGTTAAAAAGTCCAAGTTTATTAAAAAACAAAACAAAACAAAAAAGCAGCAGTTCCTTGTACCCTCCTCAAACACAAACACACCTCCATTTCCCCCTCTCAAGCAACAACCACTTTCAGATTTTCTAGGTGATTCATTTGGTATTTATCTCCGTATCTCTAAATAGCATACTTATATTGCTGCTCGCCCCTGCACCCCCAACCCACCATTTTGCTTATTATCTCTTTTTTTTTTTTTTTTTTGAGGCGGAGTCTTGCTCTGTCCCCCAGGCTGGAGTGCAGTGGCGCGATCTCGGCTCACTGCAACCTCTACCTCCCGGGTTCAACCAATTCTCCTGCTTTAGCCTCCTGGGTAGCTGGGACTACAGGAGGCTGCCAGTTTTTGTATTTTTAGTAGAGGCGGGGTTTCACCTTGTTGGCCAGGCTGGTCTTGAACTCCTGACCTCAAATGATCCACCCACCTCGGCCTCCCAAAGTGCTGGGATTACAGGTGTGAGCCACCATGCCTGGCTGCTTATTATCTCTTTACTGTGTACCATGGAAGATGAGGCTTGAGCTTGCTTCTACCTTCTCCTGGAACATCCTTTCCCATTCCCCCACCCTCCTAACATACACATACCAGATTTTTATTTAGATGATTTTTTTTTGCATTATTATAACCACGTGAACACTGTTCATGGCCAAGCCATGCCATCTCCTGCAATTGCTATTTGTTTCCAGTGCCACCTTTGGTTAATTTTTATTATTTTCTTCATCTAGATTTCTGTGTTATTTCGCTAACAACTCTCAAACTCTCTGCCATCTCAAATATATTGCCTCGCAGACTTTCAGATGCATTGGATTTGCTATCAGGTTCATCTTTTTGAAGAAGTCTCTGCAGGACACTTACTTACCCACCTACCTTGGACAGTTCACTCTCTACCACCTAGTTCACAGCTGTTATCCTGGGATCACCAGCTCTGTCTTGAGTGAAATGTCTCTGGGATCCTGTGTTTCCTAAAGTTACTCCTTCATTCACAGGAAACACAACTTCTAGGAGATTCCTAAGAAACTGGCATGTAAAAAGTACAACTTTTTGAGACCTTTAATGTCCAAACGTGTTTTCATTCTCCCTACGCATTTGATTTGGATATAGAATTCTTGGCTGGAAACTATTCCCCCTTTGAGGTTGGACCTGCTGTCTTTCAGCTTTCCTTGCAGTAATTGAGAACTCAAAAGGCATTCAGATTCCTAATCCTCTGTGTATGACCATGTTTTTCTCATTCGATTTTCTCTTTGTCTCCATTGTTTTGAAATTTCGCTATAATGTGCCTCAGACGGTGTGTCTGGTTTTATCCATTGTAGACACCTTTAATGTGGAAACTCATGTCCTTCACTTCTTAACATTTCCAGAATTATTTCAATGAATATATCCTCTCTTCTATTTTTTTTTTCTCCTTTCTGTCTAGAACTACTAAAAAGAAAAGTTTTAAATTGGGTCTTATGGACTAGTTCTTTAATATTAAAAAAAAAATCTTTTTTGTCAGGTGCAGTAGCTCACGCCTGTTATCCCAGCACTTTGGGAGGCCTAGGCAGGTGAATCACCTGAGGTCAGGAGTTCAAGACCAGCCTGGCTAACATGGTGAAACCCCATCTCTACTAAAAATACAAAAAATTAGCCGGGCGTGGTGGCGTGTGCCTGTAGTCCCAGCTACCCTGGAGGCTGAGGCAGGAGAATCTCTTGTACCTGGGATGTAGAGGTTGCAGTGAGCTGAGATCATGCCATTGCACTCCAGCCTGGGTGACAGAGTGTCTGCGCCCAGCCACTGCCCCCAGCCTCTTTTTATTTTTATCCCTCTATCATGTTAGAAGTTTTTCTGAGGTGGCTGATGGTCATTGGTTATATGCTTGTATTTGAGAATGGGAGACTAAAGACCAGCCTGGCCAACATGGTGCAACCCCATCTCTTCAAAAAATACAAAAATTAGCTGGGTATGGTGGTGCACACCTGTAATCCCAGCTACTCGGGAGGCTGAGGCAGGAGAATCACTTGAACCCGAGAGGTGGAGGTTGCAATGAAGCCGAGATTGCGCCACTGCACTCCAGCCTGGGCAACAGAGCATGACTCCGTCTCAAAAATAAATAAATAAAAATAATAATAAAAAATAAAGAGCACCCTAATGGTTTGGGGTTGACTCTATCTTGGAGTGATCTGCTGGATCATTTCCTTAGGGAATCCCAACCTCAGTATCTTGTCATCTGTCTTCTTGGGCTGGTCAGTAGGGTCTTCTCATTTTCTGCAGCTTGCAATGGTCCCTGGTGGTCCAGAAACAGGAAAGGAAATAGTTTTATTATGGCAGCCCTGCTCTCAGCTATACCTGCTGTCCCACAGACCACAGATCCTTTCTGAATTGTCTTCTGAGAAGAAACCTCTAAGCATCTGTCGGGGCATGGAGTGGGCAGGTGCTCAGCTGTGAATATATGCAGGGGGCTCAGGAACTTGAGATTCTAATCGTGTCTTAAACAGAATATAAACCTGCCTTTGGGTTTTTGGTGGGGAGTGGGTTTGGTACCTCCTCAATCCATGCTTCCTGTCGGGGGAACTAGTGCAGCCAGTTTCTGAGCCTTTGAGGAATTCTAAAGCATAATTTGGGCTGAATCTTGGATTTCTCTATTTGCTGGCTTAGGATTCAGCTCTCTTGGGTCTGCTAAACCAGTTTGCTCACCCATCATCTGTTCAGCTTCTGAAAGTCCAATACTGTTTTCTCCTCTCCTGGTAGCTTTATTTTTATGTTATATATCTTTTTTAAATGTTCTTACTGTCATTTTAGTGGGGTTTCAAGAGGAAGTAATAGTAAATGCATGTGTTTAATCTACCATCTTTAATAGAATCTTTTTAAACATTTACACTAACAGAGAACCTATGCCATTATTATTGTTTAGCGAAATTCTCCCTGTGTGAAAGAGGAGAACATAAGGAGAACAAGGCCCTTTGTACAGCAGTTTGATTCTTGCAGAGAGTGGGAGCCTGCATTGCCTCATCTAGCCAGCAAGGCCACAGACCCTTAGCAGCCTGGCTTTTTTAAGTCAGGCTGTATCTTATTGCACTTGTGTGTTTTTAAGATCATTTATGACCTTTTGAGTTTATTTGTAATTCTGCATAGATTCCGTTCTTCCCTTACTGTTGGATTCGAGGGATTCTTTTAGCAGGGTGACCTCGTGTCTCAGGATACTTAACTTCAGATTTTACGATTTGGGGTCTCATGCCTCTGTTTATGCAGCTGTCTCTCAGCGCTGTTTGTGTGTCAGTCATACCAAATTTTGCTCTTTCAGCTTCTGCCTTTTACATGGAACACTTTGATTTTTTCTGAGCTGTGATTATTCAGTATGATTCGTCTCAGATTGCCCTGAGAGGCGGCACATGTGGTTCAGTTTTGTCTTTTGGGTCTAGTGGTTCTGTTCATTTCAGAATAACTTACTCTTAAGGACTGAATGTTTGTGGCCCCCCTCCCCTCCCAAGTTCATAGGTTGAGGTCCTAACTCCCAGCGTGGCTATATTTGGAGATGGGGTTTCAAAGGAAGCAACTGGGATTAAATGAGGTTATAAGGGTAAGCCCTGATCTAATAGGATCAGTGTCTTTATAAGAAGAGACATCAGGGCTGGGTGCGGTGGCTCATGCCTATGATCCTAGCATTTTGGGAGATCAAGGTGGGAGGATCACTTGAGGCCAGGAGTTCAAGAGCAGCCTGGGCAAAATAGCTAGACCCTTTCTCTACAGAAAATTTAAAAATTAGTTGGGCATGGTGACATGTACCTGTAATCTGAGCTACGCAGGAGGCTGAGGTGGGAGGATGGCTTGAGCCCACAAGATTGAGGCTGCAATGTGCAATAGTTGCACCACTGCACTCCAGCCTGGGTGACAGAGTGAGAACCTATCTCTTAAAAAAAAAAAAAAAAAAGGAAGAAGAGACATGAGAGGGCCCAAGTCACTTGCTCACTCACTTTCCGTGTACATGTACCAAGAAAAGGCCATGTGGGAAAGAGCAAGAAGGCAGCCGCCTTCAAGACAGGAAGAGAGCCCTCACCAGAAACTGAGCCAGAACCTTGGAATTCCAGCCTCCAGAACTGTGAGAAAAGAATTTTCTGTTGTTTCAGTCCCCCACACTATGGCATTTTGTTACGGCAGCCTGAGCTAATACTCCTACTTTGTCCTGCATTTACTTGGTCTTCCAGTTAGTTTTTTAGACTTTGGGAATCAGAGCAGTCAGTTGTCAGATTTTAGCTTACAGTTGTCCTACCTGTGCAACTGAAATTTCTTCCATTTTAAACCAGAGCAGAGTTTTAGAGTCAAAAGAAACCAGATCTTTTAGTGCAGAAGCTTTCACACTGTATTAGAAGTGAGGAAGTTGGTTTTGTGAGTTGCAGCCAGCAGTTCTCTTATGAAGTGCATTGCCTGCAGTTTTGTGAAAGTTGTATTCCCAGCTTGTGTGTGTATATTTGCGTGTACTAGATTGAGATATAAAGTATATTTTTGACTGTAGGTATGGTAAAAAAAAAAAAAAATTTAAGTCCATTGTATTGCTCAAACTAATCCTTTACTCTCTCTTAGAACACCCATGGTAAATGATCATGTTAGAGTTTGAGGGTGAAGGAGCATCAGGATTATGAACCAGAGGGGTCAGACTTCAGATCTAGAAATCAAAACACCAAAGGGACACAAATAGGGAAGAAGAGAGTATGGTCATCTCTTGTCTTTCAGCAAGCAACACTGGGATCCCCAAAGAGACTCCTCTACAGGGCCAAGCTTGTGTGATTTATCACACCTGTCCCTGTACTCCCCAAGTGCCTTGTACATAACCTCACCTGCTATACATGCTATGTTGTATTATAATTATTTTCTAAATGTATGTAACTGGGCCAAGTCCATAGTTGTCCCAATTGGCCCATGTTGATGGATGGATCATGATTTTTGGCCTCATTTGACTGTCATGCATGTTGAATTACATGTTAATGTCATGTCAGTCACCCCAGGCTCAGTCAAGGGTGAGTGTCATGCCTCTGTCATGAATACACAGTGAAGCAGTCCCTTTTATTCCATGGAGCCAGTAGCAGCAAAATCCCATCATGTCTCAAGATGTCAGTAGAACGGGTGGAATTTTGATTCTTTGTATGGTCTTCTAGATTTGTTAAGAGGTGAGGAAGGGCTGGGTGCAGTGGCTCACGCCTGTTATCCCAGCACTTTGGGAGGCCGAGATGGGCGGATCACAAGGTCAGGAGATCGAGACCATCCTGGCTAACTCGGTAAAACACTGTGTCTACTGAAAATACAAAAAAAAATTAGCCAGGTGTGGTGGCAGGTGCCAGTAGTCCCAGCTACTTGGGAGGCTGAGGCAGGAGAATGGCGAGAACCCGGGAGGCGGAGCTTGCAGTGAGCCGAGATAGCACCACTGCACTCCAGCCTGGGAGACAGAGCGAGACTCTGTCTCAAAAAAAAAAAAAAAAAGAAAAAGAGGTGAGGAAGAAAGACTGGGCCCTCGCATGTCCTGGGTGATGGCATATGTTGTTAAGTTCCTATATTCACAGAGCCAGCAGGCTTGGTGGGGTGGAATGCAGGAGGAAACTGCAGGGACCATTATAGTGTCTGCGGAAGTTCAAGACAGTGAGGTCCTGTGGCCAGGAAACTGACAGAAATTGTCTAACATGGGAACTCTCTCACTGCAACCGAACTAACAGGATTTAGGAAGACTTCCCAGAGCAAAGGATGAAGGACATGTGAGTTAGACAGAGGGAACAGCTTGGGCGTCACGTGAGAGGACCACAGCTCACCAAGAGATGCAGATTTGATACTCAGACTTTACATTCAGGATCATAGGAATCAATTCTGCTGTCGGCACAGTCTCAGGCCGTCTGTGGGAAGTTGAGAGAAGCCACAGCTGGAATCAGAAGGTCAATTGGCTGGAAGACAGTGGCTGTGGCCCAGAGGAAGGGCCTGCGTGACCAAGTCACGCCACTGGCAGCAGAAGTGCTGCCCAGGGAGAATCGATGGAGGTGGTGTGAGCGGCCAGGGAAAAGGAGGTCACCTTTGACTCTGCAGTTTCGAGGCTCAGTGCCTGGGAATGACAGTGATTGCCTCCACAACAGTAGACAACACTTCAGGGACAGTCTGTCTTGGGAGAGAAAATGATGGTGAGATATAAATTTTACATCTTGGGTTGTAGAGTTCACAGGGCCCTTGAGGCACCATTTCCATGAATGGTCTTATTACAAGAAAATTTCTTCTAATTCATAGAGTAATTAAACTTTTCCACATATTCAGCATTTTCCCCCTAGAAAGCTCTTAGCTAGTGGGTAAAAAATCAGATGTCATTTAAATTCAGCATATTTTAATATTCTAAATTCAGGAACCTATGTATTTTCTTTCTTTTTTTTGTGGCTAGAACAGGAAATTGTTCCTTAGTTCATTTAGTTCATTGGAGTTTTCTTATTTTTATTTTTGAGATGGAATTTCACTCACGTCACTGAGGCTAGAGTGCAGTGGCACTGTCTCAGCTCACTGCAACCTCCACCTCCCAGGTTCAAGCGATTCTCCTGCCTCAGCCTCCCGAGTAGCTGGGATTACATGCACACACCACCACGCCTGGCTAATTTTTGTATTTTTAGTAGAGATAGGGTTTTACCATGTTGGCCAAGCTAGTCTTGAACGCCTGACCTCAGGCGATCCACCTGCCTCGGCCTTTGAAAGCGCTGGGATGACAGGCGTGAGCCACCGTGCCTGGCCATTAGTCGAAGTTTTTTAAAAGACAGTGGCATGGGCCGGGCGTGGTGGCTCACGCCTGTAATCCCAGCACTTTGGGAGGCCAAGGCCGGTGGATCACGAGGTTAGGAGATCGAGACCATCCTGGCTAACACGGTGAAACCCCGTCTCTACTAAAAATACAAAAAATTAGCCAGGTGTGCTGGCAGGAGCCAGTAGTCCCAGCTACTCGGGAGGCTGAGGCAGGAGAATGGCATGAACGCAGGAGGCAGAGCTTGCAGTGAGCCGAGATCAGGCCACTACACTCCAGCCTGGGCTACAGAGTGAGACTCTGTCTCAAAAAAAAAAAAAAAAAAAGACAGTGGCATGACAAGTACTTGTCTGTTTATGAGTCAGGTATCAGCATATTAGTTAATACATTTACAGAAATGAATGCCAAACAATAGCTTTGAATTAAAAGCCTTCACAGTTCAATTAGTATTTCCTTCTGAGCCTCTTCAACTTTCTTTCTGTTTTCTTCATTCCAGGTCATTATTCCACCGTGACTTTTGAGAAGCAATTTTCTTAAGAGAGTACAAATTGGATTATCCCCTCTTACTGAATTGAAATTTTTCAGGCTTTCCACTAATGAGATATTGTATCCACGTTAGGCCAGAAAAGCTAGTTTGAGTCATTTAGTTAGCATGTTTGAATTAGAAGTTATTGATGAAACCTTCACTAATAACTCAAGCCAAGTTGAGTCTAAAAAGGATTCCACGAGGTGCTGTTAACACAGCCTTGAAAATTTGTAACCGATCAAAAGCAGCAACAGCAGGAATTAGAATGAGTTTGAATTAGTCACATGGTAACATGGAAACATTTAACCCTGTGTCAGCGGGACTGCTTGAGATAAACTTGACTTGTCTTCCGGGCCCAGCAAAACTGCAGGCCCAAGGGAAAGGAAGCTCTCCTGTGATTGTAGCGCATCTTGGTTTGATAGGAAGTCATGTCTGGAACATGGAAGAGGTTTTTTTGTGTTTGTTTTTGTTTTTGTTTTCTTGACGTGATAGGGAGAAAAGATCAGACTTGTTCATGATTTTAAAAACATTCATTTTTTTTTTCTAGGGATGTTTTTACTTCTGACTTGACACATTTTTTTCTTTCCAGTTTAAAATTGGTGGTGAATGGTGGACATGGATCGATTATAACCGCTTCCAGGAGCTCATCCAGGAATATGAAGATAGTGGTGGATCAAAAACGTTCAGCGCAAAGGATTATATGGCCAGAACTCCTCACTGGGCATTATTTGGTGCCAGTGAAAGAGGCTTTGATCCCAAGGACACAAGACATCAGAGAAAGAACAAATCAAAGGCTATTTCTGGATGTTGAGATTATCTGATTTCAAGGTACTGAAGGACAAAAACTTGGATGGCCTCAAAAGGTTCTTGAACACCACTGTGATTCTCCAAGGACGAATTACGTAAATTATACTTTCATACAAAGGAGACGATAAGGCAGTAAACATGGAGACACGGGGGACAGCGTCCACACTCAGAGGGCCTGGGCCACAGCCCCGATGTTTCTTTTCAGAACTCAGCCCCTTTCCTGATTTTACTTCTAAGAGGAAAATTATTTTGGGGAGGAACTACACAGTCGTGATTAGAATTTATCTGATGGTTTTGTATTATAACTTGTAAGACCTGCCAGAATGCTAGTCCCGAGAGTGTCAGACAAGGAAGAAGTCCCTGGGCCTCTTCCCCTTACCCGGCCCTTAGATTTCATGGAGCAGCCACTTAGCATTGAATTGCACTACCCTGAGCTAAACGTGTCTGTGCTTTCTAAGATAAGAGCTTGATCCCTTTCTTCTATCTTAAGACAGCACCTCCTGAAAAGAATCGAAGTTGTCACAACTCTCAATTATTTTTTAAATACTGCATAGATTGAGTTTTGGTTTATTACCAACCCTTCCCAGAATTGCGTTGGATCTAAAACTACTAGATCTCATCCCATTCCCATGTAAATTACCACAGACCGCAGTACCGGGGCTGGAGCGGAGTGAAGCTGTCTGCTGTAAGAGGAGTGGCCATGTGAGGGCATGGAGTCATTAGTCTCACAAACACACTTTGGACTGAAGAGGATCATTTCTTTTTGTTCGTGAGGTCACTGTCCAGGCCTCTCATATCATGACCAGACGGCGGGTCTCCATCTTCTTTCACTCCTGTGGCCCTGGCTGCTTTACACAATCTGTTCTATAAGGTTCAGGTGTTTTCAAGTTGGAAAGATCATAAATACTCAAAATTGTTTTCAAGTTAGCAAGTTCTTTTAACAGTCTTTTATGCAAAAATTGAATTAATAAAATAATCTTTTGTAAAGACTTGCAGCATGAGTTTTTTAAAATTTTCTAATTATTGTGGCTACATATTAGGTGTATATATGGGGTACATGGGATGTTTTCATACAAGCATGCATGCGTAATAATCACATCATGGAGAATGGGGTCTCCATCCCCACGAGCATTTATCCTTTGTGCTAAAACCAATCCAATTATACTCTTTTAGTTATTTTTTATTTTTATTTATTTATTTATTTTGAGACAGAGTCTTACTGTCACCCAGACTGGAGTGCAGTGGTGTAATCTTGGCTCACTGTCACTTCTGCCTCCCGGGTTCAATTGATTCTCCTGCCTCAGCCTCCCGAATAGCTGGGATTACAGGCATGCACCACCATGCCTGGCTAATTAATTTTTGCATTTTTAGTAGAGATGGGATTTCACCATGTTGGCCAGGCTGGTCTTGAACTCCTGACCTCAGGTGATCCTCCTGCCTCAGCTTCCCAAAGTGCTAGGATTACAGGCATGAGCCACCACGCCCGGCCAGTCCTGCAGTTCTAAACCCTGTTAGACCCACCTTTTGTAACTCTATCCTCTATTCTATGCTGAATTAAAATTCATAGATATATAATCTACCTACCCAGTTGAAAACTGGACACTTTTCTTTTTTTTTTTTTTTTTTTTTTTTGGCAACAGGGTCTTGCTCTGTTGCTGAAGCCGGAGTGCAGTAGCACAATCACGGCTCACTGCAGCCTCAAATCTCCTGGGCCCAAGCAGTCCTCCCACCTCAGCCTCCTGCGTAGCTGGGACTGCAGGCGTACACCACCAAGCTCAGCTAAATTTTTTTGATGTTTTTTGTAGACACAGGGTCTCACTATGTTGCCCAGGCTGGTCTTGAACTCCTGAACTTGAGAGATCCTCCTGCCTCAACCTCCCATAGTAGCTAGGATTACAGGCATGAGCCACCACACCTGGCCACCATACTTATTATTTCTCTTTCCTTTTTTTTCTTTTTTTTTTTTTTTTTGAGATGGAGTCTTGCTCTGTTGCCCAGGCTGGAGTGCAGTGGCGTGATCGCAGCTCACTGCAAGCTCCACCTCCTAAGTTCAAGCGATTCTCCTGCCTCAGCCTCCCGAGTAGCTGGGACTACAGGTACCCACCACCATGCCTGGCTAATTTTTGTATTTTTAGTAGAGCCGGGGTTTCACCATATTGGCCAGGCTGGTCTTGAACTCCTGACCTTGTGATCCGCCTGCCTCGGCCTCCCAAAGTGCTGGGATTACAGCCGGGAGCCACTGCACCCACCCCCACCATACTTATTTCTAAATGGTAGAATCAATCAAAATACTTTTCTGTATTGTTACATGGATCAGTGAATACAGGAAAGACCAATCGTTTTTCTCTCTGTACTCACACCACTCAATCCTTCACTTCTGACACCAAATTTGTGGGGCTTTTTGCTATACCAATCAATTCTCTGACACCAGCCGGGCATCCTACTGTTCAGTTCAATTCTGATGCTAATGAATTAACAAAGACTCCCTGAGTTAAGAGCTCAGTCCCAACGCCCGGCACCATGGCTCACGCCTGTAATCCCAGCACTTTGGGAGGCCCAGGCAGGCGGATTACCTGAGGTCAGGAGTTCAAGACCAGCCTGACCGACATGGTGAAACCCCGTCTCTACTAAAATTACCAAAATTAGCCGGATGTGGTGGTGTGCACCTGTAATCCCAGCTACTCAGGAGGCTGAGGCAGGAGAATGGCTTGAACCCAAGAGGCAGAGGTTGCAGTGAACTGAGATGGCACCACTGCACTCCAGCCTGGGTGACAGAGCAAGACTCTGTCTCAAAAAAAAAAAAAGCTCAGTCCCACAAGACTGTCCCTCACTTCAGACACTAGTTGCAGGTAGGAGGTCCCCAGGTTACCCACAGCTTCTGTTTGACATGGCCATAAATCAGAGGTTCTTCCTCTGTAAATCAGAGGAACCACATTCTTAGGTTCAATAATTTGCTAGAGTAGCCCACAGAACCCAAGAAAACAATTCACTTACTATTGCGGATTTATTAGGATTTTTTTTTTTTTGGAAACAGTCTTGCTGCATTGCCCATGCCGGAGTGCAGTGGTACAATCTCAGCTCAGTACAACCTCTGCCTCCTGGGTTCAAGCGATTCTTGTGCCTCAGCCTCCCAAGTAGCTGGGATTACAGGCATGAACCACCACACCTGGCTAATTTTTATATTTTTAGTACAGACAGGATTTCACCATGTTGGTCAGGCTGGTCTTGAACTCCTGACCTCAAGTGATCTACCTTTCTCAGCCTTCCAAAGTGCTGGGATTACAGGCTTGAGCCACCGCACCCAACTTATTAGGATATTTCAAAGGATGCAAATGAACAGGCAGATGAAAAGATACAGAGGGCAAGGTCTGGGAAGATCCTGGGCAGAGAAGCTTCTGTCCCTGGGGAGTTGAGCTGTGCCACCCTCCCAGCATGTTGATGTATTTAGCAGTCTGGAAGCTCCCTATGTGCCATAGTTAGTGGTTGTTACGGAAGCTTCATCATGTAGGCACCCCAGCAGATCGGGGGTGGGGCTGAAAGTTCCAATCTTCTAATCATGTCGGTCCTTCTGGTGGCCAGCCTCATCCAGGAGCCCACCAAAAGCAAGCCCACTTCATTAGAACAAAAGATGCTCCTGTAACCCAGGACATTCCAAGAGATTTGGAGCTCAATGGCAGGAGCTGGGTCAAAAAGCAAATATGAGGATAAAAGCTGCACCCGTGCTGGGTGCACTCAGGAGATTACAAGGGTTTCAAGAGCTCTGTTCCAGGTACCGAGGACAGAGACTAAATACCAAATATATATATAAAATTATGTCACAGATGGGATAGTGACAAAGTAGCACAGAAGTGTTATCTTTCTTGAAGTCACTGGGTCTTTTTTTTGAGATGGAGTTTCACTCTGTTGCCCAGGCTGGAGTGCAGTGGTGAGATCTTGGCTCACTGCAACCTCTGCCTTCAGGTTCAAGTGATTCTCCTGCCTCAGCCTCCTGAGTAGCTAGGACTATAGGCATGCGCCACGAACGCCTGGCTAATTTTTGTATTTTTAGTAGAGATGGGGTTTCACCATGTTGGCCAGGCTGGCCTCGAACTCCTGACCTCAAGTGATCCGCCTCGACCTCCCAGAGTGCTGGGATTACAGGTGTGAGCCACTGCGATTGGCCCAAGTCACCAGGTCTTTAAGAACGTTTTTTGTTTTTAAATTTTCTTTAACAGATGGGGTCTCACTCTGTCACCCAGGCTGGAGTGCAGCGGTGCAATCACTGCTCACTGCAGCCTCAAACTCCTGGGCTCAAGCAATCCTCCCACCTCAGTCTCTTAAGTAGCTGGGACCACCAGCACATGCCACCATGCCTAATTTTTCAATTTTTTGTAGAGATGGGGTCTTGCTGTGTTACCCAATCTGGTCTTGAACTCCTGGCCTCAAGCAATTCTACCATCTTAGACTCCCAAAGCACTGGGATTATAGGTGTGAACCACCATGCCTGGTCCCCGCCACATCTTTCAGCTTCTGTTCAGTCCCCTGTTCTGCTGACTGACTTAATGCAACAGACAGGGCCAGGTGGTCCAAGTCAGTGAAGCAGGGTCTTACTGAGACACAGATGTGTTAGTGGTCACTGAAGAGAGATGGAAAAAGTCTTTCAAGTAGGATGAAGTGTTAGAAAGTAAGAGCTTATGCTAAGGAGCCCACAGATGGGCTCTTATACAGGAGAGTTAACAAAGCATCCAGTTGTTGGAAAGCAACTCGGAGGCTGCCCTAAGGAGTGAGGAAGGAGGCAGAGCATGCAGGACTTTGTGCTACTCCTCAACCTCTTTTCAACCACACAGGTCTGCTTTTCTTTTTTATGAATTGAAGTCCTGCTTAATATATATATATATATATATTTTTTTTTTTTTTTTTTTTTTTTTGAGACAGTCTTGCTCTGCCACCCAGGCTGGAGTGCAGTGGTGTGATCTCAGCTCACTGCAACCTCTGCATCCCGGGTTCAAGTGATTCTCTGCCTCAGCCTCCTGATTAGCTGAGATTTCAGGCACAAATCACCATGCCTGGTGAATTTTTGTATTTTTGGTAGAGATGGCGGGGGGGGGGGTCTCACCATGTTGGCCAGGCTAGTCTCAAACTCCTGACCTCAAGTGATCCGCCCACCTCAGCCTCCCAAAGTGCTGTGATTATAAGTGTGAGCCACCATGAGTGGCCTCAAGATTTAAATTGAACAAAGATATTTTATTGTTTCAAAGAAAAAAAAAAAGCAAACCTCTTACCTACAGAATGAACCCTCCTGATTCCATTAACTTTTTTTTTTTTTTGAGACAGAGTCTCGCTCTGTCGCCCAGGCTGGAGTGCAATGGCACAATCTCAGCTCACTGCAAGCTCCGTCTCCCAGGTTCACGTCATTGTCCTGCCTCAGCCTCCCCAGTAGCTGGGACCACAGGCACCCGCCACCACGCCTGGCTAATTTTTTGTATTTTTAGTAGAGACGGGGTTTCACTGTGTTATCCAGGATGGTCTCAATCTCCTGACCTCGTGATCTCAATCTCCTGATTCTCATTGATAGATGAGTGTTTTTCTTTCATCCCAGAAAATATTGATGTATTGATTCATATTTAAAATAACAGCACTTTAAGCCCAGTTCACAGTCACAACAGAACATTTGAAATGTCTAAGGAAAATACAATGCAATCTACATGAAAACATTCATTAAGTTTGCTGAACAGTATAAAAGTGGGAGAGAATGGGAAACCTGAATGTTCTAAGAAGGTGATCTGTTGGCAAAATAACATCCCAAGTTCTATCAGAATTTCTTTTTGGAGCTTAAGAAAATGATTCTAACATTCAACTGAAAAATTAGCCAAACAGACAATAGTTAAGAAATTTTAGAAAAAATAACTATTAAGTGAAAGTTGGTTTATATTAAAATATGCTACCTAAATAATTAAAATGAAATGAGATCAGTTCCAAAACGGCAGAGTGGGGGCCTCAGTGAACTCTGTCTCCCTCTAAAACAATGAAAATATGCGCAATACATCTAAAATAAACCAATTTTAGAATTCTGATAATAAACTGGAATTTCACCACAAACTGAAAATCATCTATCGAATGAACTTCAGTAAAATTAGCTGTTGACTTCTCAGCAGAAAACATGGATGCCAGAAGAGAGGATGAAATAGATGGTTAGCCAAAAATGTTCTATCTAGTTAAACCCTTTTTCAGAATTAATGGAGAAATGAAGACATTGCCAGATAAACAAAGAATTTGTCATTAGCAAACCTTCCCAAAAGAAGTACTAAAGGGAGTTTTTTCAGGCTTTAATGAAAGGACACCAGATTTTTTTTTTTTTTTTTTGAGACAGAGTCTCACTCTGTCACCCAGGCTGCAGTGCAGTGGTGCGACCTCGGCTCACTACAACCTCTGCCTACCAGGTTCAAGCGATTCTCCTGCCTCAACCTCCTGAGTAGCTGAGATTACAGGCACACGCCACCACGCCCGGCTAATTTTTGTATTTTTAGTACAGACAGGGTTTCGGCATGTTGGCCAGGCTGGTCTCAAACTGCTGACCTCAGGTGATCCACCCGACTCGGCTTCCCAAAGTGCTGGGATTACAGGCATGAGCCACTGCGCCCGACCAGAACACCAGACATTAACTTGCATCCAGATGAAGAAATAAAGAGCAGAGGTAAGGGTAACTATGTAGGTATGGTGAAAGACAATATAAACAGTTTTGTTTGTAAATTTTCTGTTTTAAAGGACAGCTGCCTAAAGCAATAATTACAAAACTGTGTTGATGGGCTTATAATATATAGAGATGTAATTTGTATGATAATAATAGCACAAGGGAGTGAGGAGAGAATAAAGGTATATTGGAGTGACTCTTGACTGCCACTATTGAAATTAAGTGGATATGAATCCAAAAGAGATTGTTTTAAGATGTTAATTGTAATCCCCAGGCTAACCACTAAGAGAATACATTTAAAATACATATGGCAAAGGAAATAACAAAGGAATTTTAAAAGATACAATGGAAAATGTCTGTTGATTACAAAAGATGACAGTAATGGAGGAATAGAAGAGCATAATCATAAGACATTAAAAAAAGAAGTAGTAAAAATTGCAGACATTACTTCTACCTTATAGGTAACTATAGTATGTGGATGGATTAAACACCCCAATCAAAAGACAGAGATGGAAGAATGGATTAACTATGTTCATTGCAGCACTATTTGCCCTAGCAAACCACATGGAATTAGCCTAGATGCCCATCAACAGTGGACTGGATAAAGAAAATGTGGTGGCCACGCATGGTGGCTCATGTCTGTAATCCCAGCACTTTGGGAGGCTGAGGCAGGTGGATCACCTGAGGTCAGGAGTTCAAGACCACCTGGCCAACATGGTAAAACCGCATCTCTACTAAAAATACAAAAATTCACCAGGCGTGGTGGTAGGCACCTGTAATCCCAGCTACTCAGGAAGCTAAGGCGGAAAATCGCTTGAACCCGGGAGTGGGAGATTGCAGTGGGCTGAGATCATGCCACTGCACTGCAGCCTGGCTGACAAGAGCAAAAGTCAGTCTCAAAAAAAAAAAAAAAAAAAAAAAGAAAATGTGGCACATATATACCATGGAATACCCCATAGCCATAAAAAAAGAATGAAATCATGTCCTTTGCAACAACATGAATGAAGCTGGAGGCCATTACTCAGTGAACTGATGCAGAGACAGAAAACCAATAACTGCATTGTTTTCACCGGTACAAATGGACATAAATATGGGGACAATAGACCCTGGGGTCTACAAAACTGGGGAGGGAGGAAGGGAAGCAAGGGTTGAGAGAAACCTGTTGAGTGCTATGCTCACTACTTGGGTGATGGGTTTAATCATACCTCAAACCTGAGCATCATGCTGTATACCCCTGTAACAAACCTGCACATGTACCCACTGAATCTAAAATTTTAAAAAGACAATAAAATTGTTTAAAAATCCAACTATATGCTGTCTATAAGAGACATACTTTAGATTCAAAGGCAAATAGGTGGAAAGTTAAAGGAAGGAAAAAGATATCCCATGAAAGCAGTAACCAAAAGAGAGCTGGAGTGGCTACAGCAATATTAAAAATATGTAGAGACTTTTTTTTTTTGAGATGGAGTCTCATTCTGTCACCCAGGCTAGAGTGCAGTGGCACGATCTTGGCTCACTGCAAACACCACCTCCTGGGTCAAGCAATTCTCCTGCCTCAGCCTCCCAAGTAGCTGGGATTATAGGTGCACGCCACCACACCCAGCCAATTTTTGTATTTTTAGTAGAGACAGAGTTTCACCATCTTGGTCACCATCACTCCTGACCTTGTGATCTACCTGCCTTGGGCTCCCAAAGTGCTGGGATTACAGGCATGAAAAAAATATGTAGCGACTTTAAGATAAAATTGCTACTAAAAACAAAGAACATTTTAAAATGATAAGAGGACCAATTTACTAGAAAGATATAATGATTATAAACATACATGCACCTAACAATAGAGCCCCAAAATATATAAAGCGAAACCTGACAGAATGTATACGAGAAAGACCACAATAATAGAGACTTACATACCCCACTTCCAATAATAGATAGAAGGACTAGTCAGAAGACCAGCAAGAAATGGAAGATTTGGGTAACACTATAAACTAACTCCACCTAATAGACATGACAGAACACTCCATCTAGCAATACATTATTCTCAAGGGCACATGGAACATTCCAGGATAGACTATATGTTAGACCATAAAATAAGTCTCAGTAAATTAAAAAAGACTGAAAATATACAAGTTATGTTCTGCAACCAATGGGAGGAAATTAGAAACCAACCACAGAAAAAAATTTAAGAAATTCACAAATATGTAAACATTTTTAAAAATCCTAAAGAATCAACAGGTCAAAAAAAGAGATCATCCAGGGAAAGTAGGAAATACTTTGAGATGGATGAAAATAAAAACACCAAAATTTATGGAATACTACTAAACCAGTGCTTAGAGGGACATTTATAGTTAATGCTTACATTGAAAAGAAGATATATCTCAAATCAATAATCTAACATTCTACCTTAAGAAACTAGAAAAAGAAGAGCAAATGAAACTCAAAGCAAACAGAATGAAGAAAATAATAAACATTAGAGTGGAAATAAATGAAATACAGAAAAGGAAACAGTGGAGAAAAATCTGTGAAATAGTAAGTTAGTTCTTTGAAAAGATCAACAAAATTGGCAACCCTTTAGTTAGACTCACCAGGAACAAAAGAGAAGATGCAAATGACTAAAATCAGAATGTGGGAACACTGTGATGTTGGCACGAGTCTGAATATACTGAAAGTCCCCAAATTGTTGTGTACACTTTTTTTTTTTTTTTTTTTTGAGATGGAGTCTGGCTCTGTCACCCAGGCTGGAGTGCAGTGGTGAGATCTGGCTCACTACAACCTCCACCTCCCGGGTTCAAACGATTCTCATGACTCAGCCTCCTGAGTAGCTGGGACTATAGGCGTGTGCCACCACACCTGGCTAGTTTTTGTATTTTTGGTAGAGACAGGGTTTCACCATGTTGGCCAGACTGGTCTTGAACTCCTGAACTCAAGTGATCCACCCTCAGCCTCCCAAAGTGCTGGGATTCACAGGCATGAGCCACCATGCCTGGCTCCCCTTACTGTTGTATACTTTAAATGGGTGAATCTTATGGTATGCGAATTTTATCTCATAAAGCTGTTAAAAAAGAATGAAAGCACAGAGGCAAATCTGAATGTTTATAAAACTTAAGATAAAGGAAGCATCCTAAATCGGTGGGGGTTTGGGAGAAAAACATTTAGTGCTATTATATACCAAAAGGAATCAGGAGAAACAAAATGCTCAGAAGAAAGCTTACGTAAGGAAGCTGTTTCTTGACTAGTGGCTTCCACAACTTTCCTTTGCATCAGAAATCTCCTGGAGAACTTAATACAGATTACTGGGGTCAGCCCCAGAGTATCTGATATCCTGATATCATAGGTCTTCAGTGAGTAGAATTTGCATTTCTAAAAGGCTCCTAGTGTAACCGCCTAAGGGGTTCACCTTGCCCCCTGCCTAGACAGAGCCAATTCCTCAAGATGGGGGAATTGCAACAGAGAAAGAGTAATTCACACAGAGCCGGCTGTGCGGGAGACTGGAGTTTTATTATTAAATCAGTCTCCCAGAGCACTTGGGGAGCAGAGTTTTTTTTTTTTTTTTTTTTTTTTTTTGAGGCGGAGTTTCGCTCTGTCGCCCAGGCTGGAGTGCAGTGGCGCGATCTCGACTCACTGCAAGCTCCGCCTCCCGGGTTCACGCCATTCTCCTGCCTCAGCCTCCCGTGTAGCTGGGACTACAGGCGCGTGCCACCATGCCCGGCTAATTTTTGTATTTTTAGTAGAGACGGGGTTTCACCGTGTTAGCCAGGATGGTCTCGATCTCCTGACCTCGTGATCCGCCCGTCTCGGCCTCCCAAAGTGCTGGGATTACAGGCGTGAGCCACCGCGCCCGGCGCGGGGGAGCAGAGTTTTTAAGGACAACTTGATGGGTGGGGGGAAGCCAGTGAGCCAGGAATCCTGATTGGTCAGAGATGAAATCACAGGGAGTCGCAGCTGTCTTCTTGTGCTCAGTCAGTTCCTGGGTGGGAACCACAAGATCAGATGAGCCAGTTTATCAATCTGGGTGGCACCAGCTGATCCATCAAGTGCAGTGTCTGCAAAATATCTGGAGCACTGATCTTAGGAGCAATTTAGGGAGGGTCAGAATCTTGTAGCCTCCAGCAGCATGACTCCTAAACCATAATATCTAATGTTGTGGTTAATGTTAGTCCTACAAAGGCATTCTAGTCCCCAGGCAAGAAGAGTTTTGCTTTGGGAAAGGGCTGTTACCATCTTTGTTTAAGCTATAAACCAAGTTTCTCCCAAAGTTAGTTCAGCCTATGCCCAGGAATGAACAAGGACAGCAAGATGGAGTCAGTGAAGTTAGATCTCTTTCACTGTCTCAATCGTAATTTTGCAAAGGTGGTTTCATTAGATGCTGCTAATGCTGCTAGCCCAGAGACCACACTTTCAGAACCATTGTTGGTCTAAAGCCAGTGTAAGAACTCATAAAGGAAAGGTCGAAAAATCCTTGACTGTAGAATATGTTTAAGCGTCTGATATATCAAACATCACATAAACTCAAAAGGCAAAGATTGGGAGAAATAATTTGTATGAAGTGTGATAGACAAATCCTCAAAAACCTCATATAGTTGAATTTTAAAAATGTTAAGACTTGGCTGGCTGAATGAACAAAGGACATGGGACATAAAGTGTTATCAGTGAGGACATACAGATGGCTGCAAAATATGAACTGTTCACTTTCTCCAGGGAAATGCAAATTAAAAGAATATTTTATTCATCAAATTGAAACCACCTTTGCAAAAATTATATCAGCAAGAAAATTATGGCAGCAGGGGAGATCTGATCTAGCCAACCCCCCTCTTGACTTTAGCCTTAAAGCTGCCTTAATTATTCTTGGGATTAGACTGGGCCGACTTTGGGAGACATTTAGTTTATGGTTTAAATGGTAATAGCTCTTCCCCAAACTCAACTGCCTTCGTAAAGCTAATGAGAGACCATCAGGCGAGGAGGACAGAGAAGCCTGATTTCTACTATCTGTAAATATAAACAATTGCCAGCCATTATTCTGGAGGTCACAAGATATGCAATTTCTCCAATTACTCCTGCAGGTAACATCATTATCGTAGAACCTAAGATTGACCTTTTGAGATGTCTTTTCCACACCTGGCTCTGCCTGGACCTGCCAGCTGCTCCTGTGGCCACACCCAGAATTGACTCAGCACAAGAAGATAGCTTCAGCTCCCTAGGATTTTTTTTTTTTCTTCGAGACAGAGTTTTGCTCTGTCGCCCAGGCTACAGTGCAGTGGCACGATCTCCACTCACTGCAAGCTCTGCCTCCCGGGTTCATGCCATTCTCCTGACTCAGCCTCCTGAGTAGCTGGGACTACAGGCGCCCGCCACCATGCCCAGCTAATTTTTGTAGTTTTAGTAGAGGCAGGGTTTCACCGTGTTAGCCAGGATGGTCTCAATCTCCTGACCTCGTGATCCACCTGCCTCGGCCTCCCACAGTGCTGGGATTACAGATGTGAGCCACCACATCAGGCCAAGCTCCCTAGGATTTTCTCTCTCACCCACCAATTGGCAGCAAGCACCCACTGCCTAGCCACCCTTATCCCTAGCTCACCAAACCATTTTTTTTTTTTTTGAATTGCAGTCTCACTCTGTTGCCCAGGCTGGAGTGCAGTGGCATGATCTTGGCTCACTGCAACCTCCACCTCCTGGGTTTAAGCAATTCTCCTGCCTCAGCCTCCTAAGTAGCTGGGATTACAGGCTTGCACCACCACGCCCAGCTAATCTTTGTGTTTTTAGTAGAGACAGGGTTTCACCATGTTGGCCAGGCTAGTTTCAAACTCCTGGCCTCAAGTGATCTGCTTGCCTTGACTCCCAAAGTGCTGGGATTACAGGCGTGAGCCACTGCGCCCAGCCTCCACCAAACCATCCTTGAAAAATCCCTAACCTCTGAGCCTTCATGCAGACAGGTTTGAGTAGTAAATTTGTCTCCTACGTGATGTGGCTGGCGTGTCAGTTAAAGTTTTTCTTTATTGCAATGCCATGGTCTATTTTGTTTGTGCAGTGGGCAGAAAGAACCTATCAGGCAGTTATAAAATTAGCAAAAGTTTTAAAAAGTATTATATTACAATAAAATATAGACTTCTTTTTTGAGACATGGTCTCACTCTGTTGCCCAGGCTCCAGTACAGTGGCATGAGCATGGCTCACTGCAACCCTGACCTCCCAGGCTCAAGCTATGCTCCCACCTCAGCCTCTCAAGTAGCTGGGATTACAGGTGCACACCACCACACCTGGCTAATTTTTGTATTTTTTTTTGTAAAAACAGGGTTTCACTTTGTTGCTCAGGCTGGTCTCAAACTACTGGGCTCAAGCAATTCACCCACCTTGGCCTTCCAAATTGCTGGGATTACAGGTATGAGCCACTGCACTTGGCCAAATACAGATATTTCAAAAGCAGTTTGGCAATACATACCGAGAACTTTTATCTTTACCTTTGGGTTAAATGATTTAAAGAAAAAAAATTACACACACACACACACACACACACACACACACACACACACACACACATATATATATTTTGAGATGGAGTCTCGCTGTGTTGCCAGGCTGGAGTGCAGTGGTGTGATCTCAGCTCACTGCAACCTCCACCTCCCAGGTTCAAGCAATTCTCCTGCCTCAGCCTCCTGAGTAGCTGGAACTACAGGTGCACGCTACCACATCCAGCTAATTTTTGTATTTTTAGTAGAGATGAGGTTTCATCATGTAGGCCAGAATGGTCTTGATTTCTTGACCTCATGATCCGCCTGCCTCAGCCTTCCACAGTGCTGGGATTACAGGTATGAGCCACCATGCCTGGCCAAAAAAAAAAAAAAATATTTAAAGAAAGATATTTATGTTAGAAGTAAATGCTTGGTGCCACAAAGTGAAACCAGTACTCACTCAGGCAAAAGTTTTTTCTCAGCAAGGCAGTTTACTTCTGCAGAAGGGTGCTGCCTGCATCAATCACGATTGCAGGAGCACAGGGAACAAAGGAAAACAGGGGTTTTTGTTCTTAATGCAATCCCTAACTCTGTGTTACTCCCCCATGAGCTGGGGTTGGACTGCACAATCTAAACTGACCCAATTGGCTATTTGTGAATAGTTTTCCCAAATAAGGAAGGGGGAAGGGGGATGTGAGTTACAATGGTGGGATGTGTGGGAGGTGTGGTTTCAAAGGGTGGAATGGGTGCAGAGTGAGTAACCAAGGGAACAGATGTGAGTTCTTGATTAGAGCTGACAGAAAAGTTGTTTACAGTAACTAGGGGCAAGGAGGCATGGAGAACAAGAAAGTTAGGTTTGAGAACAAGGAAGTTAACAGGCTGAACTTTTGAAGAGAAATTCATTGTATCTTACAATTATTAAAGCATTTAATAATAGCAAAACCCAGGAAACTTTAACGTAAAATGCAGTAGTCCACTGGGCACGGTGGCTCATGCCTGTAATCCCAGCACTTTGGGAGGTCAAGGCGGGTGGATCACCTGAGGTCAGTAGTTCGAGATCAGCCTGGCCAAGATGGTGAAACCCTGTCTGTATTAAAAATACGAAAGTAACCAGATATGGTGGCACATGTCTGTAATCCCAGCTACTTGGGAGGCCAAGGCAGGAGAATCACTTTATCCTGGGACATGGAGGTTGCAGTGAGCCAAGATCACACCAGTGCACTCCAGCCTGGGCAACAAGAGCAAAACTCCATCTCAAATAAATAAATAAATAAATAAATAAAATAAAATACAGGAGGCATTTAATATTTCTTTTTTTTTTTTTTTTTTTTTGAGACGGAGTCTCGCTCTGTCGCCCAGGCCAGACTGCGGACTGCAGTGGCGCAATCTCGGCTCACTGCAAGCTCCGCTTCCCGGGTTCACGCCATTCTCCTGCCTCAGCCTCCCGAGTAGCTGGGACTACAGGTGCCTGCCACCGCGCCCGGCTAATTTTTTGTATTTTTAGTAGAGACAGGGTTTCACCTTGTTAGCCAGGATGGTCTCGATCTCCTGACCTCATGATCCACCTGCCTCGGCCTCCCAAAGTGCTGGGATTACAGGCGTGAGCCACCATGCCCGGCCGGCATTTAATATTTCTTGAAAGCATGGCAAAATCATTACAGTACACTCTATTGTCTAGATAATTCAAGTCATTCAACAGATGTTTACTGAATACCAATTTTGTTCTAGTTACAGGGGATTTATTGATAAGTAAAAGGAGGATAGGAAAAAGAAAGGATATTTCTTATCATTATGATGTGCCACATTCATCAAAGACAAAGATCCACAGAAATAAATATTATACATCAAATACAAGTGATGGTAAGAGCCACAGAAGAGAGAGACAGTCTCTGGGTGATTGTCATTGGAGAGATGGAGTCAGAGATGTGGGAGGAGGCGTGCACTGATTGTGCTGGTGCCTAAGAGAAGAATTCTTCCAATTCCTGGGGTAGGGGGCGGGGGCTGATAGGGTTTGGCTGTGTCCCCACCCAAATCTCATCTTGAATGATAGCTCCCATAATTCCCACGTTTAGGGAGGGACCTGGTGGGAGGTAATTGAATCATGGGGGCTCTTTCTCCCATACTGTCTTCATGGTAGTGAATAAGTCTCACGAGATCTGATGGTTTTAAAAGGGATTTCCCCTTTTGCTTGGCTCTCACTCTCTCTCTTGTCTGCCGCCATGTAAGACATGGCTTTTGCCTTCCACCACGATTGTGAGGCCTCTCCAGCCACATGGAACTGTGAGTCCATTAAACCTCTTTTTCTTTATAAATTACCCAGTCTCGGGCATGTCTTTATCAGCAGCGTGAAAATGGACAAATACTGGAGCGTGACACACCTGGGCAGCTGCAGGAAGGCCACAGTGGCTGGAGCTGAAGGACGATGTGGGAAGTGAAGGGAAGAGCCAGGCCACACGGGGACACCAGGGGCACATAATGGGTGATGACTCGGGGAGGCAGAGGCCGGGCCTCTCCCCAGGGCAGTTATGCAAAGGAACAACGGGATTAGATTTGCATTTTAATGAAATCGTTTTAGCTGTGGATTGGAATATGGCTTGGAGAGGCCAAAAGGGAAGGAGATGAGTTGGTATTTTCATGGAACAGGTGAGAGGTAATGGCTTGCGTGGTGACCTTTCTGCAGTATGCAACCATCTGTGCCAGCCCTGGTGACACTCTCCTGGATGGAGAACAGTGGATGGATTTGAGAGACCTAGAAGATAACACTTCATGCATTTGGCACCAAATTGATTATGTTACAGGAAAGGGGTCCCGATCCAGACCCCAAGAGAGGGTTCTTGGATCTTGCACAAGAGAGAATTCAGGGCGAGTCCATAGAGTAAAGTGAAAACAAGTTTATTAAGAGAGTAAAGGAACAAAAGAATGGCTACTCCATAGACAGAGCATCCCTGAGGGCTGCTGGTTGCCTATTTTTATGGTTATTTCTTGATGATATGCTAAACAAGGGGTAGATTATTCATGCCTCCCCTTTTTAGACCCTATAGGGTAACTTTCTGACATTGCCATGGCATTTGTAAACTGTCATGGTGCTGGTGGGAGGGTAGCAGTGAGGACGACCAGAGGTCACTCTCGTTGCCATCTTGGTTTTAGTGGGTTTTGGCTGGCTTCTTTACTGCCAACTGTTTTATCAGCAAGGTCTTTATGACCTGTGTCTTGTACCGACCGCCTATCTTATCCTGTGGCTAATGCCTTGGCTGTCTGGGAATGCAGCCCAGCAGGTCTCAGCCTCATTTTACCCATCCCCTACTCAAGATGGAGTTGCTGTGGTTCAGATGCCTCTGACAATTAGATGGGGCTAAGGTTGACTCCTGGGTGGCAGGCCTGAGAACAGGGTGGATGACAGTGCCATCTTCCAGGCTGGCTGATCCTGGAAGAGGACCAGGCTTCGGGGAGAGCTTGAGTTCATTTCTGGTCAGTAAGCTTGTAGCTGCCTCAAGACTCCAAAGGGAAAAGTCAACACAGCAGGCAGATGGACATGTCTGGAGGGGCCTGTGGTGGAAACTGAAATGTGTGAATCACAATCCTGTAAGTTATAATCGAAGCCTGGAGGAGGGCTGAGATCACCTAAGGAGAGAGAATAAAATGAGAACAGGAAAGACCCAGCCTTGATGAGCTCCAATAGAGGAGGTGAGTCTACAGCAGGTAGAGATGAGAGTGTAACCGTGTGCAATGAGTTCATTTTGCTGGCTGTCCAGAGAGAGCTGACTTACCAAGACAGGGCAATTGCAACAGAGAAAGAGCTTACTTCACATACAGCCAGCTGAATGAGAGACTGGAGTTTTATTATTACTCAACTTGATCTCCCTGAGAATTCAGAGGTAATGATAATTTGGTGGGCAGGGGGCTAGGGTAGGGGTGCTGCTAACTGGTTGGGGATGCAATCATAGGGGTGTGAAAAATGGTCCTTGTCTGCCGAGTTCACTTCTGGGTGGGGCCAGAGGGAGTTTGGCGGGTCCAGGTGGAGCCGTTGGTTGTCAGAAATGCACAAACCTGAAACCTTATCTCAAAAGGCCAATCTTAGTTTCTGTAATAATAGTGATGTTATCTGTAGGAGTTATTGGGGGGTTGCAAATCTTGTGACCTCTGGAATAATGGCTGGTAATCGTTTAGTCTACATCTCAGCAGAATTCAGGCTCTTCTCATCCTCCTCGCCTGGTGGTCTCTCATTAGCTTTACGAAGGCGGTTGAGTTTTGGAGAAGGGATATTATCATTTAAACTATAAACTAAATGTCTCCCAAAGTTTGCTTGGCCCAAGCCCAGATATGATTAAAGGCAGTTTGGATGTTGAAGGCAAGATGGGGATTGGTGAGACCCAATCTTTCACTGTCGTAATTTCCTTACTGTTATAATTTTTTGCAAAGACAGTTTTAGGAGAGACACCAGGCCGTGGAGTCACAGAAATCCAGTGGGAAGAGTGGATCAAGAAAAGACTAATCAGCCAGGCATGGTGGCTCATATCTGTTATCCCAGCACATTGAGAGGCCGAGGCAGGGAGATCACTTGAGGCCAGGAGTTTGAGCCTGGCCTAGCTAACATGGTGAAACCTTGTCTCTGCTGAGAATACAAAAAATTAGCTGGAGGTGGTGGCACACACCTCTAGTCCCAGCTACTTGGGAGGCTGAGGAAGGAGAATCGCTTAAGCCTGGGAGGTGGAGGTTGCAGTGAGGTGAGACCGCACCACTGCACTCCAAGCCTGGGTGACAGAGCAAGACTCCATCTCAAAAAAAAAAAAAAAAAAAAGACGAATTGACAGGACCAGATGCCAATGAGAAGTGAATTCTGGGAGGATGACAGAAAAATATCCTTTGATGGGGTCATTGATGACACTTTTAGTGGAACGCCAGCAGCCAGTGAAAGTTTTTGGAGAAGTTTTAGTCACAGAAGAGGTTTATGAAGTATAATTCTAAGTTTGAAACAGAATACAGAGCACAGAATAGCATCATCTTCATGATGTAAAAATCATTTGTAATATGAAGGAGCATATAGGAATGAATATGTATTATTTTAATCAAAAGAACATAATAAAAGTTATGAGGACATGTGTTTCTTAATTCTTTGTGGAGTACACTTCTAAGCTTTTCCTTAAATAATATCCTGAAGTTAAAATATACTCAAAATATTCAAAACAACATATTTTTCCCAGCTAAAAGATTATTTCATCTTTTTCGTTGTTCTTCCAGTATGCTGGATTCTTCTCTCACGTTTTGTTTCAGTACAAACTGATGGAACTCCTCTTGGTTACTATTGATTTCATGCAAGTTAGCAGTGACTAATCATGTTGGCCATTAGCCTCCTTAGTGCATTTGTCCTCTACTGATTTAATTTCATTTAATGTAATAAAGCATGTTACTTTCATGACTAGGTTTTGAAGATGTTTGGTACAATGTTTTAAATTCATTGCATTTTCTGGAGAACAAAAAGCCCACCTGTTTGTAAGGCATCCTGGTATGTTTAGAATTTCTCATTGATTTCAGGAACTCTGGCCTTGATGTTAAAGAAAGTGATCACAGACCTTTGTTTAAGGCAGGCAGGGATGCATCTGACTGTCAGGGAAACAACACATCTCTGGGGGAACAAAGACAGCGCATCTTTGTAAAAAAAAAAAATCACAGGCCAGGTGCGGTGGCTCATGCCTGTAATCCCAGCACTTTGGGTGGCCGAGGTGGGCGGATCACGAGGTCAGGAGATCGAGACCATCCTGGCTAACACAGTGAAACCCCGTCTCTACTAAAAATACAAAAAATTAGCTGGGCGTGGTGGCAGGCCCTGTAGTCCCAGCTACTCGGGAGGCTGAGGCAGGAGAATGGCGTGAACTTGGGAGGCGGAGCTTGCAGCTAGCTGAGATTGCACCACTGCACTCCAGCCTGGGCGACAGAGCGAGACTCTGAAAAAAAAAAAAAAAAAGAAAAAAAAAATCGCAGCAGGCAAACGTTCTGCAATTCTCTGGGCTTCTTCTACTTGCAAACACTTATCAAACACACTGAAGCCTCCGTTAATGTCTTTGCCTCCCCGCTTATTGAGGAAGCTAATTAACTAGGTAGCTAATTAATTGTCTCTTACTGAGAACTACTAGAAATTTATACTCTGATTATTGGCTTAGGAGAAGTTGGATGAAATAAATAACTTGGACTGTTGAAAAGTCAAAATAGTTTTTTCAATCAACTGGGGCCTCCACTCCCCTGCAAGATTTGTGTGCATGCTGATGGGAGAGAGAGGGTCCCTCTACGCACCTGCAGGGAGGAGCCTGCAGTTCCTTTGTGCTGTGACTCAGTAAATCAGAGGGCTTGGGCTGTCTGCCAACACATTAACCCTTGCTCAGGTAGTGTATTAGTCTGTTCTCACATGGCTATAAAGAAATACCTGAGATTGGGTAATTTTTAAAGGGAAGATATTTAATTGGCTTCTGGTTCTGCAGACTGTATAGGAAGCATGGCTGAGGAGGCCTTGGGAAACTTACAATTGTGGCAGAAGGTGAAGAGAAAGGAGAGGCACGTCTTACATGGCAGGAGCAGGAGGAAGAGAGACAGGGGAGGTGCCTCACACTTTTAAACAACCATGTCTTATGAGAACTAACTTACTGTATAGTACCAAGGCGGGGATGGTACTAAACCATGAGAAACTACCCCCATGGTCCAATCACCTCCCACCAGGACCCACCTTCAGCATCAGGGATTACATTTCAACATGAGATTTGGGTGGAGACACATATTCAAACCATATCAGGTGGGGATTAGGAAACGCCATTCTCACCACTACGAAGCATCTTCCTCCCTTAAGGAGGGGATAGAGACGAGGGCCCAGGAGTGTCAGCATAATCTAATTCACTCCAGAGCAGTAGAGCGGGAAAACATGAGCATAGGGGATAAGAGCCCTTCTATGGTTTGAAAGTATCCCCTAGGCCGGGCACGGCAGTTCATGCCTGGAATCCAAGCACTGTGGGAGGCTGAGGCAGGCGGATCACCTGAACTCAGGAGTTCGAGACCAGCCTGGCCAACATGGTGAAACCCCATCTCTATTAAAAATACAAAAATTAGCTGGGTTTGGTGGTGCATGTCTGTAGTTCCAGCTATTCAGGAGGCTGAGGCAGGAGAATCACTTGAAAACAGAAGGCAGAGTTTGCAGTGATCCGAGGTTGTGCCATTGCACTCCAGCCTGGATGTCACAGCAAGACTCCGTCTCAAAAAAAAAAAGTATCCCCCAAAGAGCATGTGATGGGAACTTAATCCCCAATGCAACAGTATTGGTAGGTGGGCCTAATGAGACATGATTATGAGATAGGAGTTCACCAGGACTGGTTTCACAAGACACAGATCACAAAGACTGCTGATAAAACAGGGTGCAGTAAAGAAGCTTGCCAAGACCAGGTACGGTGGCTCATGCCTGTAATCCCAGCACTTTGGGAGGCCAAACTTGGAGGATTGCTTGAGCTCAGAAGTTCAATCCCAGCCTGGGCAACATAGCAAGACCTCACCTCTACTAAAAATTCAAAAAATTAGCTAGGTGTGGTGGCATGTGCCTGTAGTCCCAGCTACTTGGGAGGCCGAGGCAGGAGGATTGCTTGAGCCCAGGTGGTCTAGGCTGCAGTGATCTATAGTTACGTCACTACACTCCAGCCTGGGCGACAGAGCAAGCAAGAGCTCGTCTCGAAAAAAAAAAAAAAAAGCCAACCAAAACCAAGATGGCGATGACAGCAACTTCTGGTCATCCTCGCTGCTCTTTACACCCTAATTATAATACATTAGCATACCAAAGGAAAGCCCCACCAGCGCCACGACAATTTACAAATGCCATGGGAGCATCCAAAAGTTATCTTATATGGTCTGAAAGTGAGAGGAACTCTCAGTTCTGGGAATTCCCTGCCTCTTTATAAGTCCACCCCTTGTTTAGCATATGATCAATAAATAACCATAAAAATAGCCAACCAGAAGCCCTCAGGGCTGCTCTGCCTATGGAGTAGCCACCCTTTTCTTCCTTTCTTTTCTTAATAAACTTGCTTTCACTTCACTCTGTCGGCTTGCTCTTGAATTCCTTCCTGCACAAAGCCAAAAATCCGTGTGGCCTTCCAAGATGAAGCCCAATTTTGGAGTCTGTCCTGTGACAATTAGGCCATGAGGGTGCAGTGAATGATTAATGTTGTTATCGCTAGAGTGGGTTTGTTATAAAAGGGCGAGTTCAGCTCTCTTTTACTTTCTCACCCTCTCTCCTTTTTTTTTTTTTTTTTGAGATGGGGTCACACTCTGTTGCCCAGGCTGGAGTGCAGTGGTGCAATGTTGACTCACTGCAGCCTCCTCCTCTTGGGCTCAAGTAATCCTCCCACCTCAGCCTCCTGAGTAGCTGGGACTACAGTTGCACGCCACCATGCCTGGCTAATTTTTTTTTGTATTTTTGGTGGAGACAGGGTTTCACCATATTGTCCAGGCTGGTCTTGAATTCCTGAGCTCAAGTAATCCACCCACCTTGGCCTCCCAAAGTGCTGGGATTACAGGCGTGAACCAAAGTGCTGGGATTACAGGCGTGAACCACCGTGCCCAGCTTCTCACTCTCTCCCTTCTACCTTCAGCCACGGATGTGGTGACACAGCAAGAAGGCCCTGGCAAAATGCCAGCACCTTGATCTTGGACTTCCCAGCCTGTAGAATGAGAAAATAAATTTCTGTTCATTATAAATCACTCAGTCTCAAGTATCCTGTTACAGCAGCATAAACAGACTAAGGCCCCTAGTGAAGCATGTGCTCGCTTAGACCTGTTACTAATGATTGCCTGGGCACCATGTTGAGGAGGACATTCAGGCACATCTGGTTTAGCAGGAAAGAGTGCAGTGATCGATTTGTGATGTCTGCAGGGGCACAAGATGGTCTGGGAACTCTCACCATTTGTTTGCCACACACAGAATGGTAATTCCTGGTGAAAGGCTCCCATGGCCCCTGAAACATTTCTTCCTAGGGACTTGGAATCCTGTGACTTATCTCTGACCTAGACCCTACCCAACGGAGAAGAAGACAGCACTTCCTCTATAACACAGCCAGCTTCTGACTGCCAGTGTTAGGATGGGGAGAGCTGGGGTTCAGTATGAGAAGTGAGGCCCTAGTGAATCAGGTAGAATGTGGAGTGGTGAAAGACAGGGGCCTACATGGAACATGAAGGTGCAGTTGAAAGGCTGCCATAGCAGGTCGTCAGCAAGTGTGTGTGGCATGTCACTGGGGTTGGTGGTGTTAGGTGTTGCTGATAGAAACAGTATCAGCCAGCGGCGCAGTGGCTCATGCCTGTAATCCCAGTACTTTGGGAGGCTGAGGTGGGTGGATTACTTGTCAGGAGTTCGAGACCAACTTGGCCAACATGGTGAAACCCTGTCTCTATAAAAATACAAAAAATTAACTGGGCATCGTGACAGGTGCCTGTAATCCCAGCTACTCAGGAGGCTGAGGCAGGAGAATCACTTGAACCCAGGAGGTGGAGGTTGCAGTATCAGCTGAGTTACTCCTCTAGCTGATATATTTTATCTAGCCATCATTCTGCAGATGGTGGTGGTGGACACATAATCATAGAAATAATAACGGTGGCTATTTATTGAGCCCTTCCTCCTTCCTATATGCCAGGCACTGTGAATGACCCACACCCTTTAGATTCAGGGTTTAAATGGCAGACACTGGCAAGAACTATTAACTTAGCCAGGCGCAGTGGCTCATGCCTGTAATCCAAGCACTTTGGGAGGCCAAGGCAGGAGGATTGCTAGAGGCCAGGAGTTTGAGACCACTCTGGGCAACATGGCAAAACCCTGTCTCTACAAAAAGTTAAAAAGTTAGCAAGGCATGGTGGCACATGCCTGCAGTCCTAGACACTCAGGAGGCAGAGGTGGGAGGATCACTTGAGCCCAGGAGTTTGAGGCTACAGTGAGCTGTGATTGTGTCACTGCACTCCAGCCTGGGTGACAGAGCAAGATCCTGTTTCAAAAAACACACAACAAAAAAATCCCAAAACAAATTATAACTCTATGACTAAACCCAAATTCCATTTCCCTCTTTTCTGTCCAGCCACCAGATAGCTTCCAGAGTAATGATCCTAGAATGCATAAATGTGTGTGTTGTTTTTGTTTTGTTTTGTTTTTTAAGAAACTGGGTCTGCCACCCAGTCTGGAGTTCAGAAGCATGATCATAGCTCACTGTAGCCTCAAACTCGTGACCTCAAGTGATCCTCCCACCTCAGCCTCCAGAATAACAAGGACTACAGGCACATGCCACCACGCTTGACTAATATTTTGTTTGTTTTGAGACGGAGTCTTGCTTTGTTGCCCAGGCTGGAGTGCAGTGGGGCGATCTCAGCTCACTGCAACCTCCACCTCCCAGGTTCAAGCAATTCTCCTGCCTCAGCCTCCCGAGTAGCTGGAATTACAGGCATGTGCCACCACGCCTGGCTAATTTTTGTATTTTTAGTAGAAACAGGGTTCACCATGTTGGTCAGGCTGGTCTCAAACTCCTGACTTCATGATCCACCCACCTTGGCCTCCCAAAGTGCTGGGATTAGAGACATGAGCCAAATTTTTTTGTAGAAATGGGGTCTCTCTGTGTTGTCCAGGCTGGTCTTGAAGTCCTGCCTCAAGCAGTCCTCCTGCCTTGGCCTCCCACAGTGCTAGTATTAAAGGTGTGCGCCACTGCACCTGGCTTTTAAAATGTGTACTTGACCATGTCTCTTCCACCTAAACCCTCCAATGTCTCCTTCAAGCCCATGGGCAAGTGCAAACTCCTCAGCATGTCAGCTGGCTCCACATGCTCCGACCTCTTGCTCTGACACATTTCACTCCTGAGTTCTGTGGAATAGCTTATCAGCCTGAGGACAGTTGGCTGTTCCCCACCGCTCACTGTTTCAGTCTATAATACCCATCCCTACCTCCATCCACCTGACCAGCTCCTGCTTAGCTTCTGAACTCAAACTTTTGAGTTGTGATTTGCAAGTAACATTCAGATTATTGCATTGGCTTGATGGTTAAAGTACATATTTGCCTGATTTTCTTTTTTTTCACCTAAGGCAACTCAGCACATAGCTTTTCAGCATATTTGCATAATTCATAGCCTTTGAGTAAATTACTGAGTGAACTATTACCCTTGTGGCACAGCATCCTTATTCATGGTGCCATCTTCAGGGTCAGAGGGTTGGGGAGGGACATGATGCTTCACAAACATGAGGGGAGGTTGTGTGGCTCATGCCTGTAATCCCAGCACTTTGGGAGGCCGAGGCGGGCGGATCGCTTGAGCTCAGGAGTTCAAGACCAGCCTGGCCAACATTGTGAAACCCCATCTCTACTAAAAATACAAAAATTAGCTAGGCATGGTGGCAGGCACCTGTAATCCCAGCTACTCGGGAGGCTGAGGCAGGAGAATCACTTGAACCTGGGAGGTGGAGGTCGCAGTGAGCTGAGATCATGCCACTGCACTCCAGCCTGGGCAACAGAGCGAGACCCCATCTCAAAAACAAAACAAAACAAAGCAAAACAAAAACATGAGGGGAAAGACTGAATAGATAGGTGACTTAGACATGCACTCAGGTGACCAACCAGGAGGTCCGATCTTTGAGTTTATGCTCAAGCCACAGAACATTATTATTCACTTAGTGTTTAACTTCAAATAAATTGATAGTTGGAAACAAAACAAGGACAATACCTTCATAATTTTAATTTTTTAAATTATTAAATATTTTTTGGTAGAGATAGGGTCTTATGTTGCCCAGGCTGGTCTCAAACTCCTAGCCTCAAGCAATCTTCCTGCCTTAACATCCAAAAGCATTGGGATTACAGGTATGAGCCATAATACATGACCCATAATTTTAATATATGTATATACGTTTTTTGAGACATGATCATAGCTCACTTTGTTGCCCAGGCTGGAGTGCAATGGTGTGATCTCAGCTCACTGCAATCTCCATCTCCTGGGTTCAAGGAATTCTTCTACCTCAACCTCCTGAGTAGCTGGGATTACAGACGTACACCACTGTGCCCGGCTAATTTTTGTATTTTTAGTAAAGACAAGGTTTCACCATGTTGGCCAGGCTGGTCTTGAACTCCTGATCAGAAGTTATCCACCTGACTCGGCCTCCCAAAGTACTGGGATTACAGGAATGAGCCACTGCTCGCGGCCATAATTTTAATTTTTGAGGTAGTTTTTGGCCCTCCTTTTTCTAAACTGGTGCTAGATGGGAAAAGATGTTTGTACTGTGGAGTCCCTAACTGCTGCCATGGGTGAGAAAGCATATGTCAGTGAGCATGCTCTCTGGTTCCAGTAATGGAATCGCTAACTAAAAATGCCTTTAAACAATAGAGGTTTCTGTTTTCTCTTTGAAGTGATATGGAAGTATGTTACCCACCTTGAATCTAAGGATGAATAATCAAAGACCCACTTCCAACATTTCTACTGCATCATTTTGAACATGTTGGCTTTTGTCTCCAGGCTGTTGCCTCATGGTCTCAAGATGGCTGCCACAGCTGTTGCCTCACGGTCTCAAGATGACCACCACAGCTATTGCCTCATCATCTCAAGATCACTGCTGCAGCTCCAGGCATCACAGTCTCTCACAGTTGTGTTCAGCGACAGGAAGGAAGAGGACAGGCAAGAGAGTTTCTCTCTTTTGAGGTGCTCTTTATATCAAGGAGGGGGAAAAGCCCCTTGGAGACTTCTTAAGTCTTATTCACCATAAATGAGTCCCTTGTCAACCTCCATTTGTAAGGGAGGCTGGGAGCAGAAGTTGGTGGAATTTACAGCCTCTATTATGGGAGGTGGGTTCTATTAGGAGAAAACCACGTGGTAAATAATACCATCTCTCACAGGAAATATACATCTTGCTGTGTAGTTTAACCACCCACCAAACTGGTCAGGAACACCTGCTGAGGGTTAGGTTTATGCTTGGGATGCTGGAAGAAAAACTTCACATAGTGAAGTACCCAGGAGAGAGGCAGTACCCATGAGCCAGAGATTAAAAACCAGTGAAGAGGCCAGGCATGGCGGCTCTGCCTGTAATCCCAGCACTCTGGGAGGCTGAGATGGGCAGATCACTTGAAGTCAGGTGTTCGAGACCAGCCTGGCCAACATGGCGAAACTCCATCTCTACTAAAAATACAAAAATTAGTCGGGTGTGGTGGTGTGTGCCTGTAACCCCAGCTACTCAGGAGGCTGAGGCATGAGGATTACTTGAATCCAGGAGGTGGAGGTTTCAGTGAGCTGAGATGGTGCCACTGCACTCCAGCCTCACTCACAGAGTGAGACCCTGTCTCAAACAAACAAACAAACAAAAAACAAACACCAGTGAAGTAAATGCAAACTACTCTTGGAATCTGGAGCAGCAATGAGATGCCAACTTTGTCTTGGAGAACCAAGGCAGGCTTCACGGAGGAGGCGATGGTTGAGCAATGTCTTTTTTTTTTTTTTTTTTTTTTTGAGATGGAGTCTTGCTCTATCACCCATGCTGGAGTGCAGTGGTGTGATCTTGGCTCACTGCAACCTTGACATTCCAGGCTCAAGTGATTCTCCTGCCTCAGCCTCCCGAGTAGCTGGGATTACAGGTGCCCACCACCACACCCAGCTAATTTTTGTATATTTTTAGTAGAGATGGGGTTTCACCATGTTGGCCAGGCTGGTCTTGAACTCCTGACCTCAGGTGATCTGCCCACCTTGGCATCCCAGAGTGCTGGGATTACAGGTGTGAGCCACTGCACCAGGACTTGAGCAGTGTCTTAACAGATGCATAGGAGATTCCCAGATGAAGAAGACAGGAAAGGCCATTTAAGGCCTAGGGGTAGAAAGAGCATATCCAGAGTTTTTAAAATGCCTTTTGTTTTTGACAATAACCACCACCCCCTTTTGAGTTTTCTCCCGTCTCCATCAGCACACCCACTCTGAATGAAAGCAACGCTTCCTGAAAGCTGAGCTTCACTGCCTATTTTGGCTGTTCTTAGAGTAGTGGAGATGTGCTCATTCCACTTGCGTATTCTTCATTTGGAGGGCAGTCATGTCCTTCAGAATTACAGTGGGAGGGATGGGGTGCTGTGCGGGGCATTTGTTTTGTTCAGCCTACAATGGCATCCCCTTTTGTGGGATACACTCACTCACTGAAGCTGGGGGGCTCAGCCTCCTTAACCTGTCATGGCCCTGAGACTGGCCACATCACTGTGACTTGGGTCAGCTGCTATAGCTGCCCCCTGGAGATGGCGATGGTCTGGATGTGTGCAGGACCCACGCTGCACCAACTGGAGGACCTACCTGGATTTCTGCAAATCACGCTGAAAAAAGGGGCTTTATTTCCTCTTTGGACACACAACGTAAGGATGAAAGGTCAGAACTGCCCATTCCCTTATCCCTGGTATAAACCAAAAATAAAATTCTAAGCCCCGCAACTGACTGATGGACCACCCTCCCCCACCAGCCCTTGGCAAAAGGCTTTCCAAAGTAAACCTGAAAATCTATTTCAGATCTTCATGGAAGTGGGCATACCTCATTATACTCTCAGCCCTTTGAAATTCCGACACAGCTGACCTGCATTAACCATTAAAACAGATCTTAAGACTGACAAAACAGACTTTTTGGAGCAGTAAGGTATCACATTCCAATGTGACTGTAGCATAGCGTCACATGACAGATAGCAGGCCCCAAAAGAAATTGAATTATTTTACCATAAAATATATTTCTTTGACATATTTTGAAACGGCCCTGCAAAGCTGTCTCTTGTGGGGAAAATCTACATTCTGTAGAGAATCCCCTTCCCCTTCCAGGTCTTTTCCCTGATCCAGGAGAGAATTAACTAAGAGTCTGGCACCATTTTTTTTTTTTTTTTTTTTTTTTTGAGATGGAGTCTGGCTCTGTCACCAGGCTGGAGTGCAGTGGTGCGATCTTGGCTCACTGCAACCTCCACCTCCTGGGTTCAAGTGATTCTCCTGCCTCAGCCTCCTGAGTAGCTGGGACTACAGGTGCGTGCCATCATGCCCAGCTCAGTTTTGTATTCTTAGTAGAGATAGGTTTTCACCATGTTGGCCAGGATGGCCTCGATCTCTTGACCTCGTGATCCGCCCGCCTCGTCCTCCCAAAGTGCTAGGATTACAGGCACAAGCCACTGCACCTGGCCTCTGGCACCTTATTAAGTCTGATAAGAAACAGTTACAATCCATCCTCTCTGAGGCCTGCTAGCGGGAGGCTTCATGTACAAATAAGATTCTTGGTCTCTACAGCCCCTTGTCTGGGTTCAATATTGGGAAAAATCAAAGATCTTCCTTCTATTGATTCCAGGTCTTTAGATAATAACTTCACTCTTTTTTTTTTTTTGAGATGGAGTCTCACTCTTTTGCCCAGGCTGGAGTGCAGTGGCACTATCTCGGCTCACTGCAAGCTCCGCCTGCCAGGCTCACGCCATTCTCCTGCCTCAGCCTCCCGAGTAGCTGGGACTACAGGCGCCTGCCACTACGCCCGGCTAATTTTTTGTATTTTTAGTAGAGACGGGGTTTCACCGTGTTAGCCAGGATGGTCTCGATCTCCTGACCTCATGATCCGCCCGCCTCGGCCTCCCAAAGTGCTGGGATTACAGGCGTGAGCCACCGTGCCCGGCCTGATAATAACTTAACTCTTTCAACCAATTGCCCATCAGAAAATCTCTGAATCCACCTATGACCTCAGATCACCCCAACCCCCCTCCCCGGCTTCGCCTGCTTCAGGCTGTCCCACGTTTCCAGGTTGAACCAATGTACACCTTGCATGTATTGACTGATGTCTCGTGTCTCCCTAACGTGTATAAAACCAAGCTGTTGCCTAACACCTTGAGCACTTGTCTCAGAATCTCCTGAGGCTGTATCATGGGCCATGGTCACTCATATTTGGCTCATAATAAATCTCCTCAAGTATTTTACAGTGTGACTCTTTCTGTCCACACTGACTGTGTGCAGAGGCTGATCTGGAGATGGAGCCCATATCCCGTCAGGTCTCAATCATTCCAGAGCACAGCTTTGCCCCTATACACCCCAGTCATGGGAAACACAAATCACCTTCTTTTTCACTTGGGTGTATTGGAAGTGGGTTTTATCACCTGCAATAAAGTCTTGACCAATGTAATAGCTCATCATCAGCAAAAGCTGTCTGCTGCCTGGCTGCCACGTCATCTGACTGTGTCCCTGTCTGCAGTGAGACTTTCCCTCCATCCTGCTGAGTCTGGAAGGAGGAAGAAAATAATTCCTTGCGAATTCTGCTTTAGTGAGTCTCTTCTCATCTCTCCAAAGACATCCCTCTGACTCCCTTTCACTTCAAGCCGTCACATGGCTCTTCTCGTCCCAGCAGCCTGGCTGTGAGTTTCCTGCCCACAGCTACATGGGGGTGTGAATGCCGCCCAGGCCATTACCCCTGGGAGCAGCGGGAGCCTGCAGCAGGTGACAAAACTCTCTCCACCTTTTCACTCTTTTGGGAGGGAGTGTTCACACCTTCCTGCTGTGCTCAGGGTCAGCTCCAGGGAGCTCATTAAGTAGCTGACTCAGAGCCAGAGCACCGAGGCCGGGCAAAATCAGCGCCTCTCCCACTTCTGTGGGATTGATGAGTTTCCTTCCCCAGGCAGCCAACCCCAGCTGGGGCTTTTCAGAGCTTTTAGCAGTGAAGGAAATGAACATATTTTACCCCAAAATATATATTTTTCACATATTTTGAAATGGCTGCTGTTTCACCAGTAAACAGAAGTAGCCTTGGGCTGGGCACAGTGGCTGTCAGTTGCAATCCCAGCACTTTGGGAGGCCAAGGTGGGAGGATCATTTGAGGCCAGGAGTTCAACACCAGCCTGGGCAAAAAGTGAGATCCTATCTCTATTAAAAAAGAAAATTAAAAAATTAGCTGGGTGTGGAATCACATGCCTGTGGTCCCAGCTACTTGGAAGGCTGAGGTGGGAGGATCGCTTGAGCCCGGGAGTTTGAGGCTGCAGCAAATGATCATCGTGCCACAGCACTGCAGCCTGGGCAACACAGCAAGACCCTGTCTCTAAAAAAGGTTGTCAGGGGGAGATGTGGGGACCCTGCAAAGTTGTCTTTTGGGGGAAATTTGCATGTGTATTTTTTTTTTTTGGAGATAGAATCTTGCTCTGTCGCCGAGGCTGGAGTGCAATGGTGCTATCTTGGCTCACTGCAACCTCTGCCTCCCGGGTTCAAGCAATTCTCCTGCCTCAGCCTCCGGAGTAGCTGGGATTACAGGCACCTGCTGGGATTACCACGCCCAGCTGATTTTTGTATTTTTAGTAGAGATGGGGTTTCACCATGTTGGCCAGGGTGGTCTTGAACTCTGGACCTCAGGTGATCCACCTGCCTTGGCCTCCCAAAGTGCTGGGATTACAGGCGTGAGCCACCGAGCCTGGCTGAGTCTGCATTTTCTACTGTGGCATCAGGATGGTATTTAAGTTTCTGTAACTCCTTGGGAGATTGGGTCTTCCTTTTGAAGGGTCCCCTGTATATACGTTAAATAAATTTGTGTGTCTTTTCTCCTGTTAATCAAACTGCCTCAAGTCAGTGATTTTTAGTGAAACTTTAGGAAGCCAAGAGTCTATGCCCCCCATAATAAGATTATCCTATTATCACTCTCGCCTGTAATCCCAGCACTTTGGGAGGCCGAGGCGGGTAGATCATGAGCTCAGGAGATCGAGACATCCTGTCCAACATGGTGAAACCTCATCTCTACTAAAATACAAAAAATTAGCCGGGTGTGGTGGCGTGCACCTATAGTCCCAGCTACTTGGGAGGCTGAGGCAGGGGAATCACTTGAATCTGGGAGGAAGAAGTTGCAGTGAGCCGAGATTGTGCCACTACACTCCAGCCTGGCAACAGAGCAAGACTCCATCTCAAAAATAAATAAATAAATAAATAAAAGATTATCCTAGTATTAGATAAATGATCATTGTGCTCCACATTTCTTTCTCCCTTCCTTCCTTCCCTCCCTCCCTCCCTTCCTTTTCTTCCTTCCTTCCTTTCTATCTTCTTCTTCTTTTTTTTTAATCGAGACAGGGTCTTGTTCCATTAGCCAGGCTGGAGTGCAGTGGCGCAATCATAGCTCACTGAAGCTTTGACCTCCTGGGCTCAAGCAATCCTCCTGCCTCAGCCTCCCAAGTATCTGGGACCACAGGCACAGGTCATCATGCCCAGCTAATTTTAATTGTTAAATTTTTTTCTACAGATGAGAAATCGCTGTGTTGCCAAGGCTGGTCTTAAACTCCTGGTCTCAAGTGATCCTCCTACCTCAGCCTTTCAAAGTGTTGGGATTACAGGCGTGTTTCTATCCTAGGGATTGGAAAATTATCACCTATGATTCAGATTCATCCTGCAACCTTTTTCCTTGTGACTGTGAGCTAAGAATTGCTTTTACATGTTTAAATGGTTGGAAAAAAATTAGAAACATAGTATTTCCTGACATGTGAAAATCACGTGAAATTGATTTCAGTGTCTGTAACTGAAGACTTGTTGTAACACTGCCACACTCATTTATTTGTGAATTGTCTGTGGTTGTTTTCATGCTGGGATGGCAGAGAGTGAATAGTGGGCCAGAGACCACACAACCCTTTCCAGAAAAGGTTTGGGGACCTTGCCCTATCTTTTCCCTTCAGCTTTCTGGTGACTTCTCTTCCACACAAATCTTCTAAGGGAACGGAACACTCATTATGCTGTTCCTTTGTGGGGACTTAGAGTTTAAAGGGGACACAGAAAGAGACCATTGTCTAAAATCAAATAATTTGTTAGTGCTGGAATTTCAGGTTAGGGACTCCCCCCCATTTTTTTTCCTTCTCCCTTCCCTCCCCTTCCTTCTCCATCCCCTCCCCTCCCCTCCCCGGGTTTTGGTCTGTCTCCTAGGCTGGAGAGCAGTGGTATGCGTGATCTTAAGTTATTGCAGCCTCAAACTCCTGGGCTCAAGCAATTCTCCCACCCTGGCCTCCTGAGTAGCTGAGACTACACGTGTGTGCTACCATGCCAGGCTAATTTTAAAACTTTTTCATAAAGATGAAGTCTTGCTATGCTGTCCAGGCTGGTCTTGATCTCCTGACCTCCAGCGATCCTCTTGCCTCAGCCTCCCAAAGTGTTGGGACTACAGGCATGAGCCACTGCACTGTCCTATGTGGGGCACTTCTTAGGGGTGGAGTGGGCTCCTGAGACCCTTCAAGTCACAACATGCATCACTGTGTGCCTCAGATACAGAGGCTGACCCCATGCCAGCCACGGGGCGGCTGCCACTTCCACAACATTCTTATCACCTGTGCACCTGCTGAGGGCTGCCTTGGGGGCTGTCCCATTGGTCCCTGGCTAGCTCCATAGAAAAGAGCCTGAGTTAGCCGGAAGTGGTGGCTCATGCCTGTAATCCCAGCACTTTGGGAGGCCAAGGCGGGCAGATCACAAGGCCAGGAGAGAGAGAACATCCTGGTTATGGTGAAACCCCATCTCTACTAAAAATACAAAAAATTACCCAGGCACGACAGCACGCGCCTGTAGTCCCAGCTACTCGGGAGGCTGAGGCAGGAGAATTGCTTGAACCTGGGAGGCAGAGGTTGCAGTGAGCCGAGATCACGCCATTGCACTCCAGCCTCGGCGACAGAGCGAGCCTCTATCTCAAAAGGAAAAAAAAAAAAAAAAGAAAAGGGCCTGAGTCTCCCCACTTCCACGGGTCAGCCGATGTTTCTACCTTGCTATGGGGATTCAGGAAACTAATTGAGACTTCGGGCCAGGATGTCTTTGGGCCACCGTGGCAACCTCTCACTAACGTTCTATTTGGAACCTGAAGTCCTAGGGTGCTGTCCCTGCCAGCAGACTCAGCTAGCCTTGCCACGATTTCCGGTTCCTCCCAGTGCCATTCCAGAGTCTGAGTCCTGTTGCAACTGAGCCTGTGTTATAAAAATCATAAGGTGGCCGGGCGCAGTGGCTCATGCCTCTAATCCCAGCACTTTGGGAGGCTGAGGCGGGCTGATCACCTGAGGCCACGAGTTCGAGACCAGCCTGGCCAACATGGTGAAACCCGGTCTCTACTAAAAATACAAAAATTAGCTGGGCCTGGTGGTGGATGCCTATAATCCCAGCTACTCAGGAGGCTGAGACAGGAGAATTGCTTGAACCCACGAGGCGGAGGTTGCAGTGACCCAAGATCATGCCATTGCATTCTAGCCTGGGCAACAAGAGAGAAACTCCGTGTCAAAAAAACAAAAACAAAAACATTGTTCAATTTCCACTTGGACACAGGGTGGGGAACCCCACACACCAGGGCCTGTCAGGGGGTGGGGGGAGCGGGGAGGGATAGCATTAGGAGATATACCTAATGTAAATGACGAGTTAACGGGTGCAGCACACCAACATGGCACATGTACATATATGTGACAAACCTGCATGTTGTGCACATGTACCCTAGAACTTAAAACCAACAAACAAACAAAAAATAAGGTGTTTGTTTCACTTATTTTCCTTTTTCTTTGTCCTTTTGTTTCTTTGTGCATGATTCATTTCATAGTCATTTCAGTAGGGGGGAGTCACTAATCATTGATAAATTTTATATCCTGACCCCCAGGGGCTGCATGCATGATTAATGAACTTGTCTTTCTTCTAAAGAACAACAATCTTTAGGTCATGCAGACCTCCCTGATGGCATCCAGAAGTTTCACCGAGGGGTGCAGACAGTGTTGATCATTGGGGATGTCACCTCCCGGATACCCACCTCACTCATGAAAGCCCCCAGTTATGTGAGAGTTCAAGTCAGTCGGTTGTGAGAGTTCAGGTCTCCCGCCTTCTTGCTTTGGCCAAATTGAATGTATCTTTCTCTGCTCCTAAGCGCTGATGTGTCAATGTTTGCCTTACTGTGAATCGGGTACACGGACCTAAATACTGGGGTTCTACAATGCTGAGACCTGCCGCCACCTGCTTCTTAAAGCAGGTTGATCCAGCACTGTATTAGGGGTTATGGCAACATTATTGAATTTTTTATGTACATAAAGCCATATGTTTAGGGTGGTTTCTGTCTTGTTTTTGACTTATATAACACTGTGAACTTCTAAAGAGAGAGAATAAAAGAAGCATGAATGAAAAGAATGGCACTTCAAAAAAGATGGTTCAGTGAAAAACTATAGCTAAAATATGTAAACCTTTCTAAGTAAACCGCTTGCCTTCATCTTGAGTTGGAATATATTTAAATAAATTGTGTTATCTCTTGGCAAAAAAAAAAAAAAAAAAAAAAAAGGAGGCTGATCCAGGAGGCATAGGTGGAACCGTCAGGCTGGGGACTCAGTGAGTGCACCCCCTCACTGACAAGTCGACACCGATGGAGACCACAAAGGTCTTGGCGTGTGCATTTGGCTACAAGTAACAACCCCATGTCAACAGTGGCTTAAGCACAAAAGACACTGAACCCTCTCACACGGTAACCAGTCTGAGGTGGTTGTTCTGCATTTGTTTCGCTGTTTAGAAATGTCAGCAATGGGCCGGGCGCGGTGGCTCACGCCTGTAATCCCAGCACTTTGGGAGGCCGAGGCCGGCGGATCATGAGGTCAGGAAATCAAGACCATCCTGGCCAACATGGTGAAACCCCGTCTCTACTAAAACACAAAAAATTAGCTGGGTGCGGTGGTGCGTGCCTGTAGTCCCAGATACTTGGGAGGCTGAGGCAGGGGAATCACTTGAACCTGGGAGGCAGAGATTGCAGTGAGCCGAGATCAGGCCACTGCACTCCAGCCTGGGAGACAGAGCAAGACTCCATCTCAAAATAAATAAGTAAATAAATAGATTATTCTGTTAACCTAGAATATTCTCTCCACAAATTCAGAAGACAAAGCAAACAATTTTATTATTGAATAAGCATTAAACCAGACTGTGATGCCCATCACAGATGATCCATTAATGAGATGCAAAGAAAAATAAACCCTCCTTTTTTTTTTTTTTTTTTTTTGAGACAAAATCTTGCTCTGTCGCCCAGGCTGGAGTGCAGTGGTGCGATCTCGGCTCACTGCAACCTCCGCCTCCCCAGTTTAAGCGATTCTCCTGCCTCAGCCTCCCAAGTAACTGAGACTACAGGTGCGTGCCACCACACCTGGCTAATTTTTTGTATTTTTAGTAGAGATGGGGTTTCGTTATGTTAGCTAGGATGGTCTCGAAATCCTGACCTCGTAATTCGCCCGCCTAGGCCTCCCAAAGTGCTGGGATTATAGGCGTGAGCTATGGCGCCCGGCCAAAGCGTCCTTTTTATATAGCCTGGCAGATACAATCCATTGCATACACGCTCTCAAGATAAATAGTAACTCATCCTCATGCAAAAGGACTTGCTATGCAGTTTTTTTTGTTTTGTTTTTTTTGAGACAGGGTCTCATTCTGTCATCCAGGCTGGAGTGTAGTGGTGTGATCTTCTTGGCTCACTGTAACCTCCACCTCCTGGGTTCAAGTGATTCTCGTGCCTAAGCCTCCCAAGTAGCTGGAATTACAGACGTGCCATCATGCCCAGCTAATATTTGTATTTTAGTAGAGACAGAGTTTCGCCATACTGGCCAGGCTGGACTCAAACTTCTTCTTTCGATTTCTGTGTGGCTTCAAGTGATCCGCCTGTCTCTGCCTCCCCCAGAGTGCTGGGATTACAGGTGTGAGCCACCAGGCCTGGCCTGCTATGCATTCTTAAACACTCATCCTAAATTCACCTGGAAATCAACGTGGCCATCCATGCTAGTTAATTACCTGTATCCAATGAAAAAATAAAACTTCTCACATCTCCTTGACAAGCAGGTAGTAACAGCTCAAGGTGCCTAGGCTAAATTCCCTAGGCAACAGGAAGATAGGGACACTATTTTCCTCCAGGTTTACATTTCAAAGACAAGACTCTTAGGCTCTTAAGAAAACAATTCCTGGATTGTGACCAGGCACGGTGGCTCACGCCCATAATCCCAGCACACTGGGAGGCCGAGGCTGGTGGATCACCTGAGGTCAGGAGTTCAAGACCAGCCAGACCAACAAGGTGAAACCCTGTCTCTACTAAAAATACAAAAATTAGCCAGGCGTGGTGGCAGACGCCTGTAGTCTCAGCTACTCAGGAGGTTGAGATGGGAGAATTGCTTGAACCTGGGAAGTGGAGGTTGCAGTGAGCCGAGATTATACCCCTGCACTCCAGCCTGGGTGACAGCGAGATTCTGTCTCAAAAAAAAAAAAAAAAAAAAAAAAAAAAAAAAAAAAAAAATCCTGGGTTGTAATGTTGGCAAGAAGTTCATTTACCTTTTTAAAAGATTTAGGTACATATCAAAGGCACAAAAGAAGTTATTTATATTACAAGGTTTATCAAGGAAATACTCTTTAAAAAGGAGAGGAGAGGAGTAACGTAAGTAAGACAAATGTAATCTTTTTTTTTTTTTAGAAAATCCATACAGTGAGGGCTGGGCACGGTGGCCCACATCTGTAGTCCCAGCACTTTGGGAGGCCAAGGCAGGTGGATTACTTGAGGCCAGGAGTTCGAGACCAGCCTGGGCAACATGGCAAAACCCCATCTCTACTACAAATACAAAAATTAGCTGGGTGTGGTGGTGTGTGCCTATTGTCCCAGCTACTCTGGAGGCGGAGGCACGAGAAGTGCTTGAACATGGGAGGCAGAGGTTGCAGTGAGCCGAGATTGAGCCATTACAATCCAGTCTGGGCAACAAGAGTGAAGCTCTGTCTCAAAAAATAAAAAAATAAAAAATAAAAAACAAAAACAAAGAGCCTCTTTTCCCTCTCCCTGCCACAGAGTTGTCTTCAGTAATTTCATTCCCTTTTTTCCTGAGGGTTCACTGGGTTTCTGGGTCCCAGAAGGGGAAGTTCTCTTCAAGGTACAGAAACCACAACTCCACAGAGAACCGCAGAGACGGCAGCATGACCAGACCCTGGCCAGGTTTGGGGAGGCTGCTGGGCTGAGACTTGGGCTGAACTTCCGCTGCAGGTCGACTTATTCCCATCAGCACCAAAGCTGCTGGAGGGGGTCATCCAAAAGCAAAGGAAGCAGGGGCGCAGCTTGGAGGCTGTTTCAGAAGGTCCCACTGAGCCAAGGACTCAAGGCCTGGCCACAGCCCTCCCAAGCGAGGCCCAGATCATATTTCACCATGCTCAGAAAACCTTGTCTGCTCATTTCAGTCCACAGTGATTTTGCTTTCTTTAGGATCTCTCTTGAACTGTCCAACCCAGAGAGTTTCAAATCGGAATGGATTCCAATGATGGAGCTAAATCAGGCCCCACCTCAGTTTTTGAATTACAATCAATAGGGCTGGGTCCCAGCATCTGTATCTTAATGTTCCTCCATGTGATCCTCATGCTGAAAGGCTGGTATTTGCAAATCCCTTTTTTTGGGGAGTGAAGGGTTTTTTTTTTTAGAGAGAGGCCTCACTCTGATGCCCAGCCTGGAATGCAGTGGTGGATCACAGCTCACTGCAGCCTTGAACCCCTGGCCGCAAGAAATCCTCCCACCTTAGCCAACCAAAGTGTTGGGATTGCAGGACTGACCACTGTGTCTGGCCAGGAAAGCCCTTCTGTTTCACTTGAATGATATTTCTGCAGCATACCTACAGCCATTGTTGTATTCAACTGCATCACTGCGGGAAAAGAAAAGGTGAGAGGTGACTGTTTTGCTTTTTTCTGAACATATCAGACCAAACCTGGGCTGTTTAGCCATTTTTTTTTTTTTTTTTTTTTTTGCGATGGTGTCTCGCTCTGTCACCCAGGCTGGAGTGCAGTGATGCAATCTCGGCTCACTGCAACCTCTGCCTTCCAGGTTCAAGCGATTCTCCTGCCTCAGCCTCCCAAGTAGCTGGGATTACAGATGTGCACCCCCATGCCCAGCTCATTTTTTCTGTATTTTTAGTAGAGACGGATTTAAACATGTTGGACAGGCTGGTCTCGAACTTCTGACCTCTGGTGATCTGTCTGCCTCTGCTTCTTAAAGTGGTAGGATTACAGGCATGAGCCACCGCGCCTGGTTTGCCAATTTTTTGACAACGTATCAACATCATTTACGATGGGCACGGCCTCAGTGTAGTGTGTCTAGACAAGATGGCCGGAAGAGAGAGGAATATGCAAACCAGGCTTGAAGATGGGTTAAATCAGAGCTTTTCATTCCACAAAAGAGAAATTTCAATGGGGTCAGAACATTGATCTTCTAATATTTGAAAGCCTGTTAACTAGGAAAGAGAGAGCAAACGATTTTGTTGTAGGAGGACCCACCCAGCTCTGACGGTTTAAAGCGTCATGAATGCGAATTTGAACTCCAGAAAAGCAGAGCTTCCTAACAATGGGACTTCCACAGCAATGGGATCGGCTTCCTCTTTCAGTGTGTGCCTTTTCTATGAGCGAGAGACTCCTAGGAAAGCAGCAGCCCATTAGGAAAACGTGTGGGAACTCACTCGCAGGTTCTTTATTTTTTTTGAGATGGAGTTTTGCTCTTGTTGCCCAGGCTGGAGCACAATGGTGCGATCTTGGCTCCCTGCAACCTGCGCACCATGAGTTCAAGTGATTCTCCAGCGCCCTCTCCTGAGTAGCTGCGATTACAGGCATCCACCATGCCTGGCTAATTTTTTGTATTTTTAGTAGAGATGGGGTTTCACCATGTTGTCCAGGCTGGTCTCAAACTCCTGACCTCAAGTGATCCACCCACTTTGGCCTCCCAAAGTGCTGGGATTACAGGCATGAGCCACTGAGCCCAGCCGGGAACCCACAGGTTTTTTGGATGGTCTCTGAATGTCATGTAACTCTTTCATTTTTTATCAAAAAAATTTTTTTTGACACAATATCTTGCTGTGTTGCCCAGACTGGAGTGCAGTGGCAAGATCATAGCTCACTGCAGCTTCTAACTCCTGGGCTCAAGTGATCTTCCTGTCACATGAGTCTCCCAAGTAGTTGGAACACAGGTGCCAGCCACCACACCTGGCTAATTTGGTTTGGTTTTGTTTTTTTAGAGATGGGCTCTTGCCATGTTGCCTATACTGGTCTTGAACTGCTGGCCTCAGGCAATCTTCCTCCCTTGGCCACCCAAAGTGCTGGGATTACAAGCATGAGCCACTGTGCACAGCTGAAATTTTTTGACTTAGTCTTTTTGTACATGTGATATTTTATTCATAGAATCCATAAATGGAAGGGAAATTTCTGAGTTCAGAGCAATACATATGATACAAAACTTGATATATAGACTAGAGTTTCTTAGCCGAACTGGAGGGGCTGGCTTAGGTAATCCATGGATTCCCTGAAATTGGGGACACCATTGGAAATATGTGTGAGCTCAGGGGCAGTTTCCTATGATTTTTAGGCCTCAAAATGTCTCTTGGACTCAAAATTGCCTTAGGGCAGAGGACGTGTGTACCCCCAGTATAGAATCTGGGACAGTGAATGTGAGTAAACATTCGGCAGAAAAGCTCTGCCAAACTGAGTGCTCTGATGTGACTTTTTCATCAAGTCAGTATTCCTGGGATCTCTTGTACATGATAATCTCACTCTTGCACATGATAATCTCACTCTTGTACATGATAATCTCACTCTTGCACATGATAATCTCACTCTTGTACATGATAATCTCACTCTTATAAGGTTTCATCGTTTCTGCTTACCCTAGTTTTCTTTCCCACTCTGTTCCCTCTCCCACCAGCCTGGACTCTGAAATGGGCATGTACAGAGACGAAGAGACCCCAACATGCTTCAGGCTTTGAGTGGAGAGGACACAGCCTCTGCTGGGACAGGGAACAGAGGGATGTGGAGTCCCTGAAGATGCTTTTGGACAATGGTCTGAGGTTGGGACAGTGGCAGGAGATACCATTCACCCAGGATCTCCAGGACAAGAGATCAGCCTGGCAGTTACATGTGTTTTTTTTTCAAACTGGTTGCCAGGTTGGCATGAACGATGACATCAGAGATTCCGACCTTCCTGATTGGAGGGACCGGACTCCGTGGTGCCTGGAGATCAGTTGGACAACAGTATCTTCTCAGAGCTGTTCTCCACTCCTGACTTCTCCTAGGCTTGAGAATTGATAACATACTCTTCTGGATCCTAGCAGTGTCCAGAAGAAGGCCATGGACAGAACGGAGACTAGGTTCCGTAAGAGGGGACAGATTACGGGAAAGATCACGACCAGCCGTCAACTGCACCCCCAGAATGAGCAGAGTCCCCAGCGGAGCACCTCGGGGTACCCCCTCCAGGAGGTGGTGGATGATGAAGTGTTGGGACCATCAGGTGAGGGGACTGGTGGAAGAAGAGGTGGGATAGGATTGACTAAGACGAAGGAAGGGGGCCGGGTGCGGTGGCTCACGCCTGTAACCCCAGCACTTTGGGAGGCCGAGGCGGGCGGATCACCTGAGGTCAGGAGTTCAAGGCCAGCCTGGCCAATATGGTGAAACCCCATCTCTACTAAAAGTATAAAAATTAGCCAAGTGGTAGTGGTGCACACCTGTAATCCCAGCTACTCAGGAGGCTGAGACAGGAGAATCACTTGAGACTGGGAGGAAGAGGTTGCAGTGAGCTGAGATCACGCTACTGCACTCCCAAAAAAAAAAAAAAGAAAAAAGAAAAGAAGGGTCAGCGGTCAGGAAGGAGAACCTGAGGAGGGTGTGTGGGAAGAATGGAGAAATTCAGGCTGGGTGCAGTGGCTCACACCTGTAATCCCAGAACTTTGGGAGGCCAAGGCAGGCGGATCACTTGAGGCCAGGAGTTTGAGACCAGCCTGGCCAACATGGTGAAACCCTGTCTCTACTAAAAGTACAAAATTGAGCTGGGCATTATGGCAGGCACCTGTAATCCCAGCTACCTGAGAGGCTGAGGCAGAAGAATAAATGGAATCCAGGAGATGGATGTTGCAGTGAGCTGAGATTGCACCACTACACTCCAGCCTGGGTGACAAAGCAAGATTCTGTGTCAAAACAAAACAAAAAAGGAGGGACTCAGAGAGCCAGGGACCAGGGAAGGACATGAAGCAGTGTTCGGAGGACAGAGAGAGAGAAGAATGGGGAGGGGAAGGAGCGGCACATGGGGTTGAGCAGAGGAGAAAATCAGACAGATGGCTTAGAGAAGCCAGCAGTCTGCGAGGCTGGGGAGGATGGAGAGTGGTTTGGGGTTTTGGGTCGGGGTCTAAGGTGATCAGATGCAGAAGCATTACACAGTGGCCTGGTTTCTTTACTCAGCCCCTGGGGTAGATCCCAGCCCCCCATGTAGGTCCCTTGGCTGGAAAAGGAAGAAGGAGTGGTCAGATGAATCTGAGGAGGAGCCGGAGAAGGAGCTCGCCCCTGAGCCTGAGGAGACCTGGGTAGTGGAGACGCTGTGTGGGCTTAAGATGAAGCTGAAGCAACAGCGAGTGTCACCCATCCTCCCTGAGCACCACAAGGACTTCAACAGTCAGCTTGGTAGGAGGACACCCCAGAGAGCACCTCCAATCCTGTTCTTTCTAAAAAGAGGAAACTTCCAATAACCACACTTTTCCAATGGGAAAGATACGCCCCCAGTGGGTGAGCTCTCCACGCAGGAGGACTCAGAAGTGATCACTCATGAGGGACACTTAGGAGACGATAGAGGACTAGGCTAGACTTGATAAAGGTTGGCGCTTGGGATGAGAAAGCTTGGTTTCGCACCAGGTGCAGTGGCTCACGCCTGAGATCCTAGCATGTTGGGAGGCTGAGGCAAGAGGATTGCTTGAACTCAGGACTTTGAGGCTGCAGTGAGCTATGACTGCACCACTGCACTCCAGCCTGGGTGACAGAGCAAAACCCTGTGTCAAAAGAAAAACGAAGGCTGGGTGTGGTAGCTCATGCCTGTAATCCCGTTACTTTGGGAGGCTGAGATGGGTGGATCACTTGAGGTCAGTTGTTCGAGACCAACCAGACCAATATAGCGAAACCTCATTTATACTAACAATACAAAAATTAGCCAGGCATGCCTGTTATCCCAGCTACTCGGGAGGCTGAGACAGGATAATCGCTTGAACCCAGGTGGAAGAGGTTGCTTTGAGCCAAGATAGCGCCACTGCATTCCATTCTGGGTGAGAGAGTGAGAAGCTGTCTCAAAAAAAAAAAAAAAAAAAAAAAAAAAAAAAAAAAAAAGAAGGAAGGAAGGGCCCAGAAGTCAGGAAGGAGCACGTGAGGAGGGTGTGTGGGAAGAATGGAGGTACTGAGGCAGGGTGCAGTGGCTCACACCTGTAATCCCAGCACTTTGGGAGGCCAGGCAGGCAGATCACTTGAGGCCAGGAGTTGGAGACCAGCCTGGCCAACATGGTGAAACCCTGTCTCTTCTAGAAGCACAAAAATGAGCTGGGCGTTCTGGTGGGCACCTGTAATCCCAGCTACTTGGGAGGCTTAGGCAGGAGAATCACTGGAACCCAGGAGGCGGAGGTTGCAGTGAGCCAAGATCGCACCACTACACTCCAGCCTAGGCCACAAAGCAAGACTGTTTCGCAACAACAACAACAACAACAAAAAAAAAAAAAAAAAAAAAAAAAGGGACTCAGAGAGCCAGGGACCAGGGAAGGATATGAGGAAGTGTTCTGAGGACAGAGAAACGGGAGAATGGGGAGGAGAAGGAGCGGCACATGGAGCTCAGCAGAGGAGACAGACAGAAGGAAAGATGGCTTGGAGAAGCCAGCAGTCTGCGAGGCTGGGGAGGATGGAGAGTGGTTTGGGGTTTTGGGTCGGGCTCTAGTGTGATCAACTGCAGAAGCATTACACCGTGGCCTGGTTTCTTTACTCAGCCCCTGGGGTAGATCCCAGCCCCCCGCATAGGTCCTTTTGCTGGAAAAGGAAGAGGGAGTGGTGGGACGAATCTGAGGAGTCGTTGGAGGAGGAGCCACGGAAGGTGCTCGCCCCTGAGCCTGAGGAGATCTGGGTGGCGGAGATGCTGTGTGGCCTCAAGATGAAGCTGAAGCGACGGCGAGTGTTGCTCGTGCTCCCTGAGCACCACGAGGCCTTCAACAGGCTGCTTGGTAGGAGGACACCCCAGAGAGCACCTCCAATCCTGTTCTTTCCAAAAACAGGAAACTTCCAATAACCACACTTTTCCAATGGGAAAAATATGCCCCAGTGGGTGAGCTCTCCATGTGGGAGGAATGTGAAGTGATCACTCATGAGGGACACTTAGGAGATGATAAAGGATTAGGTCAACTTGATAAAGGTCAGTGCTTGGGATAAGAAAGCTTGGTTTCGGGCCAGGCGCAGTGGCTCCCGCCTGAGATCCCAGCACGTTGGGAGGCTGAGGCAAGAGGATTGCTTGAACTCAGAACTTTGAGGCTGCAGTGAGCTGTGACTACACCACTGCACTCCAGCCTGGGTGACAGAGCAAAACCCTGTCTCAAAAGAAAAACCAAGGCTGGGCACAGTAGCTCATGCATGTAATCCCAGCTACTCGGGAGGCTGAGACAGGAGAATCGCTTAAACCCGGGAGGCAGAGGTTGCAGTGAGCCAAGATCAGGCAACTGCATTCCAGCCTGGCCCACAGAGCAAGACTCTGTCTCAAAATAAATTAATAAGTAAATAAAAATAAAAATCAAATAAAGAAAAACAAAATCAATAAACAAAGAAAGTGGTTTCAGCTGTGCCCTCTGAAACTTAATGTCTCTTACTGACTTTTCTAAACCTAAGTGTCTCCATCCATAGTGGGGGATCCCAAGGCCATGGTCACACCCTGATGTGACTGTCTCATGAGGAAATGATGGGAATTCCTTTATGACTCTGCAGTGGTCCCTCCGTGTCTGCTGGAGGGGGTCCTGGCTGATTCCCAGCTCTACATCCTGTAGATTCTCACACCCAGGGCCTCCTTCGGCCTCTTCTCAGGGGAGTCTCAGAGCAGGAGCCTCTCTCCCTTGCCCAGTGAAAGTCATTCTCCCCTCTCCCATCCACCTCACCCGCGGCCACAATCCTGAGACTTCCCCCCGGGAGGCACACTTCTCGCTGCCCTGCTGCTCCCACGGAAACCCTGTCCTGCTTCTCACACTGACATCTGCTCTCTAATCACAGAGGATCCTGTCATTAAAAGATTCCTGGCCTGGGACAAAGATCTGAGGGTGTCGGACAAGGTAAGGTTGTTCTCCATGTAACTGTTCCTGTTCCAACACATGGCTGGGGGGAGGGCGCAGCTTCCAAACCCACAGTTCTCCCTCCACCACCTCCCACCAGATGCTCCTACAGTCTTTTTTTTTTTTTTTGTGAGACAGAGTCTTGCTCTGTTGCCCAGGCTGGAGGGCAGTGTCTCGATCTTGACTCACTGCAGCCGATGCCTCCCGGGTTCAAGCGATTCTCCTGCCTCAGCCTCCAAGCAGCTGGGATTACAGACATGAACCACCACGCCTGGCTAATTTTTGTGTTTTTAGTAGAAATGGGGTTTTGCCATGTTGGCCAGGTTGGTCCTGAACACCTGACCTCAGGCGATCCACCCGCCTTGGCCTCCCAAAGTGCTGAGATTATAGATGTCAGCCACTGTGCCCGACCAGCTCCCATGGTCTTGAGTCTTGGCACCCACAAATTTTTTTTTTGTGAGACACAGTCTAGCTCTGCTCCCCAGGATGGAGTGCAGTGGCATGATCATAGCTCATTGCAGCCTCTAATTCCTGGGCTCAAGCAATCTTCTTTCCTCAGCCCCCTGAGGAGCTGGGACTAGGCACATGCCACCATGCTCAACTAATTTTTGAAATGTTTGTAGAAACAGGGTCTCACTATGTTGCCCAGGTTGTTCTCAAACTGTTGGGCTCACGTGATCCTCCTGACTCCACCTCTCAAAAAGTACTGGGATCACAGGCTTGAGCAGCCACTCCCGGCTATTCTTGGTCTTTTTATGATTTGTCAGCATCTCCCTCAGGATTCTGCTGGTCTCTTGCAGAGTGAATGAGTGGCCCCTGCCTCTCCTATGGGTCCTTTGGGATCTGAGCTCTGGGCCACAGTCTGGCCGCAGCCCTGAATCTCCTGGCCCCTCTACTCTCAGCTCTTCAGGACAGTTCTCTGCCTGGCACACAAAAGACCCTCCTGACACCAGCCGACCCAGACACACCCCCTCCAAAGATCCCATCGGAGCCCACCATCCTGGGAGCATCACCCAAAACCCTTCCTCTGGCTTCTCGGATTTGCATCCGACCTTCGAATACCCCTCCATCCCGCAATTTCCAAATGAGTACAGTCACCCCAACACTGAGGTCCCTTCTCTGATGGGCAGCCCCTCCCCAGACCCTCATTCCCCCTCTCCACAATCTTCCTCTTCCAAGATGTGACCTCTCCCTCTCTGTGTTCCTTTCTCTCCATCAGTATCTCCTGGCTATGGTCATAGTGTATTTCAGCCGGGCCGGCCTCCCCTCCTGGCAATACCAACGCATTCATTTCTTCCTGGCTCTGTGAGTGGTTTGCTGCCTCCTATCCGTCAATATCCAATGCCCTGGGACAGCGGGGGAAGTGGGATTCCAGCCTTTCATTTATTCTTTCACCTATTTGTCCTCTTTACTCTGTGTACAAAAAAGAGAGGATTATACTATCATAGACTGTTGTTTCTAAACAGAAACTCAGGCTGGGCACAGTGGCATACGCCTGTAATCCCAGCACTTTGGGAGGCCGAGGCAGGCAGATTACCTGAGGTCAGCAGTTCGAGACCAGCCTGGCCAACATGGCCAAACCCCGTCTCTACTAAAACTAGAAAAATTAGCTGGGCGTGGTGGTGTGCATCTGTAATCCCAGCTACTTGGGAGGCTGAGGCAAGAGAACCCTTTGAACCCAGGAGGTGGAGGTTGCAGTAAGCTAAGGTCGAGCCACTGCACTCCAGCCTGGGTGACAGAGTGAGACTTTTTCTCAAAAAAAAAAAAAAAAAAAGCCAAAAAAACAAACTCCAATGCCAGTGTACAAATAAAAGAATAAAACAAAAGGAACCATAAACCGCTCCTAAGGGGAAAAGAAAAGGAGTGGAGGAGCGGACATGCCGCTTCCTCCAGCAAGCAGACGTTTCTGGTTCTTCTCTCTCTCTCCTTCCCACATCAACCACAAACGCCATCGACCTCCTCTGGGTTCCCATGACAGAGGCCACAGTTCAGGTCCCCCTCGCATCACTCGAATCCACTGTCAAATGCTCCCTGCTGGGGTCTCCTGGAGTCTCTCCCCAAGCCAGGGGGCTTCCTAGTGCAGCCTGAACATCTTTCCAAAGCACAACAACCTCACTGCCCACCTGAACAACTTCCTTAGCTGATGCCTTTCTCTATCGAGGCCAGGGTCCACAGTGTCAATTCTACCCTCTCTACAATCTCTACAAGCACACTGGCTCACCATCTTGGTATTTCCTGGCTCGGCTTCACTGCTCCTTCCAAATGCCCTCCACTCGACTTTGTGTTTGTGTTTTCTGTCTGGGTGTCCCGCACACATGTGGCTCTGAAGGGAAGGACCCATTCCTTGAAGTCAGTTCACCCACAGCCTCTGTGATGCCTTCCCTCATCTTCCAACTTCTGCATGCCCGTAGCTCTCTAGTTACATCCTGGACACTGGGATTAGGTCATCTGCCTTGATTACTCCCAGTCCCATTAGACTAGATGCCTGTAGAAGGCAGGGTCCTGGCAAAATATCAATGTATTCAATTGCTTTTATTTTTTTGAGACAGACTTGCCCTGTCCCCCAAGCTAGAGTGCAGTGGTGAGATCATAGCTCACCACAGCCTCCATATCCTGGGCTCAAGCGATCCTCCCACCTCAGCTTCTTTATTAGCTCCGACTACAGGGCTGTGCCACCACACCTGGACAGTTTGTTTGTTTGTTTGTTTGTTTATTGAGACAGAGTCTTGCTCTGCCTCTCAGGCTGGAATGGAGTGGCCCAATCTCAACTCACTGCAGCCTCTGCCTCCTGGGTTCACACAATTCTTATGCTTCAGCCTCCTGAGTAGCTAGGCCTAACGGGTGTGCCACGGCACCAGGCTGATTTTTGTATTTTTAGTAGAGATGGGGTTTCTCCGTGTTGACCAGGCTGGTCTCCAACTCCTGGTCTCAAGCGATCCACCTGCTTCAGCCTTCTAAAGTGCTGGGATTACAGGCATGAGCCACTGCGTCTGGCATATTTCTTATATTTTTAATAGAGACGAGGGTCTTGCTATGTTGCCCAGGCCCGTCTCAAACTCCTGGCCTCAAGTGATCCTCCTGCTTTGGCCTCCCAATGTGCTGGGATTCCAGGCGTAAGCCACCACTCTCGGCCACCAGTTGGGTTTTTGTCTCCATCCTGAAGGAGTGGGAGACGCCCTTGATCAGGTCTCTGTCCAGCAGAGCCCTCCTGAGGAAGGCGTGGCTCTCTGCAGGGTGGGTGCCAGTCCTGAGCTAGGGACGGTCCCTTACCTTCCTCTCTGGGAAGCTGACCTCAGCCGGAGGCCTCTCCTGGTGGTGCCCCTGAGCAGCAACCTGATTTCTATCCTCAGCTACCTGGCCAATGACATGGAGGAGGACGACGAGGACTCCAAACAAAACATCTTCCACTTCCTGTATGGGAAGACCCGCTCTCGCATACCCTTGCTCCGTAAGCGTTGGTTCCAGTTAGGCCGTTCCATGAACCCGAGGGCCAGGAAGAACCGCTCTCGCATACCCTTGCTCCGTAAGCGTCGGTTCCAGTTAGGCCGTTCCATGAACCCGAGGGCCAGGAAGTACCGCTCTCGCATACCCTTGGTCCGTAAGCGTCGGTTCCAGTTACGCCGTTGCATGAACCCGAGGGCCAGGAAGAACCGCTCTCAGATAGTCCTGTTCCAGAAACTTCGGTTCCAGTTCTTCTGTTCCATGAGCGGCAGGGCTTGGGTTTCCCCGGAGGAGTTGGAGGAGGTGAGTGGGGCCTGGGGAGGTGGAGGAGGTGGGGAGGAATCGGGTGGGCTGGAGGCTGGATGAGGGGAGAGAGGGGTATCCTGGCGAGTCCCCGTCTTCTCAAAGGGCGTTTGTTTTTCCAGATCCAGGCTTATGACCCAGAGCACTGGGTGTGGGCACGAGATCGCGCTCACCTTTCCTAGAGCTCCAGGGACCGTGGAGGCCTGAGGTCATCGGCCTGAGAGAAGGTACATCTGCATCCTCCGGGGTAAAGGCAGAATATTGGGGTCTATTTCGGAAATCCGAAGAACCCAATTGCTTGATCCGGCTTCAAGCCTGGGCAACGTGGTGAGATCCCCTCTCCACAAAAATACAAAAATTAGCCAGGCGATGTGGGACGCATCTCTACTCCCAACTACTCAGGAGGCTGAGGCGGGAGGATTGCTGGAGCCTGGAAGGTTGGGGCTGCACGGAGCCCTGATCCTGCCACTGCACTCCAGTCTGGGCGACAGAGTGAGACCCTGCCTCAAAAATAATCATAAATACTGAGTTTGGGGAGGTTCATTATGATTGACGCACTTGAGTTACTGATTTGGGTCGAGGGTTCAGTGAAGCTTTGGTTTACATCTTGTGCAGCTAACCACGTTGAGCACAGAGCATGAGACTTCATCATGAGGAGGTAGGATTAAGGATTAGGCTTCTGGACTCGTGGTTCGTGATGTTGTCACATTAGAAACACATCTAGCATGGTTACAAGTTTAGATCTTAAGTGACACAAAAGGCCCCAGCTGTGATGAAGTCCAAAGCCACATTCTCTGAGGGTGCCCTACTCCCTGGGCAGACCCACCCAAAGTCCTTGCTATGAAGCAGATCACTGGGGCTGACCTTGGGTGTATTAAGTGAGTTTTGGAGTCGTGGTCACCAAAATGTGAGTTTCACAGTTGAACACGATGGTTCAGAAGCAGGGTATAGAATGAAAGGCAGCAGATAAAATTGTATTTCTCAATTGCTCTGAACTCTAGACTTGACATGGGACGTGAATAACCTTCCTGTCTAGAGAGCTGCCTCCTTGAAGTGTGACATTGTCTCTCTCACTTCCAGAACACCGGACCCAGGGGAGATGTGGATTTTCAGCAGGAACTTTATTCCAATGCTAATGGCAGACACCAGGAAGGAGAAGAGGAACCATTTGTGCAGATCATCTAGAAGAACCTGGACCATTCTTGATGGAGCTGAATACAGTGATCACGTGTCCTCCTGGGAGCAGGGGTTGGGGGAGGGGGGTGGGGTCCTTCTAGGAGTCCTTGGAGAAAAGTAAGAAACCAGGAGTGTTTCCAGTTCCACCCTTTCCTGCGGCACCACCACCCTTTTTATATTGCTGAATTCCAACCTCCCTGGGGCGGAACCTGGAGGTGCTGTTTCTTACGGACTTGGTTGCCACAGTCCAGGAGCATTTGAAGGCACAATGCAGGGGCTCAGATTGGCACAGAATTCTTTTGTGAAATATCAGTGCCACAGATTGTAACAGATAGCTTCATGCACACTCTGCATTTTATTGGTTTGTTTGGAAAATGTTGGCCATTGAATTATTCATAGATTTATTTCAAATAGTTTGGAAATTGTTGTACTTTTGAAAACATGCTGTTCCTGTAGTTTTTTGATGAGAGTTATAGTTGTTATATATACATAAAGATAATTTTCTTTTCATTTTTAAGAGACAATTCTTTTTATCCTAAATATTTTATTATCTTTAAATTTTTTTCTGTATTATTATATGTGCTCCTGAAGCGAGCACTCTTTTTATCTATGATACTTCCATAATAATCTCTTCTATTTATAGCTATTGGTAGTTCCCCACCAGAAAAAAACATAATTCTGGTGATAGAAATTTTTATTTGCTGTTTAGGTTTGTGACTGAATTGTGAGAATTCAGTTGTGATTTTTAACATGTCTCAGATATATATACTAACACGTCTAATATATACTATCTATTTTATTGGTTTATTTTGAAAAACATGGGTATAGAATTATTTAAATATTATTTTATTTATTTAAATATTTATTAAATATATTTATTTATTTAAATATTATTATTACTTTAAATATTATTTTAAATATTTTGGAAATACTGGTATTTTTGAATAGATGCTGTTTCTATAAAGCTGTGTGATGGGTATTATAACTGTTATATACACATACATATAATTTTGTTTTCCTTTTTAAGAGAGGATTCTTTTCATCCTAAATCTTTTACCTTTCAATCTTTGTATCTATTATTACACGTGCTGCTGAAGGGAGCATGTTTTTATCTATGATACTTAGTTAACATATATATTACATTTATAGCTATGTAGTAGTTCCCCTAAATTCTTGTAAAAATAAATTTTTATTTGATATTTCATATATATTTGAAATGTGAGAATTCAGATGTAATTTTTTACCTTGTTTTGGCATGTTTGTATATTACTTTAAAGAGGATGTGTGTTCTAAAGGAGGACATGAGCTGTGTGTTTTCAAGAGAACAATAGAGTGCGTCTCTTGGGGAAACATAATAAAAATGAACTTTTCTCACCTTCACAGCAATTGTGATCATATTGGTCTGGACTGATTATTTGCTGCCCAGTGATATTTTTCCTTAATGGGGTTGTGGTTATTTGAACATATTTATTAGCTCTGGAAGATAATCCTGTGCTGTTTTTTATGTAGAAAAAAACATAAGGCTGGGTGCAGTGCTCACACCTACAATCCCTGCAGTTTTGGAGGTCATGGCGGGAGGATCACCTGAGGCCAGGAGTTTGAGGCCAGCCTCAGCAACATAGCATCTACATCTATTTTTAATTTTTATTTTTTAAAGAAAAACAATAGAAGAGAAGGCTGATCCCAAGCTACAGGGTTTTTTTGTTTGTTTGTTTGTTTTGGAGACAGAGTCTTGCTCTGTCTCCCAGGCTGGAGTGCAGTGGCACAACCTCGGCTCCCTGCAACTTTCACCTCCGGGTTCAAACAAATTCTCCTGCCTCAGCCTCCCAAGTAGCTGGGACTACAGGCACCCGTCTGTACGTCCGACTAACTTTTGTAAAAATAGTAGAGACAAGGTTTCACCATGTTGGCCAGGCTGGTCTCGAACTCCTGACTTCAAGTGATCCACCCACCTCGGCCTCCCAAAGTGCTGGGATTACAGGCATGAGCTACTGCGCCCAGATGCCAAGCTAGAGTTTTAAGGCAGGAAATGAGAGAAAGATATTGAGAGAGGAAAACCAGGTGGTAAGAAAACTCTAAAGGTGGCCGGGCGTGGTGGCTCACGCCCATGATCCCAGCAGGAGTTTGAGACCAGCCTAGCCAACATGGTGAAACCCTGTCTCTACTAAAAATACAAAAATTAGGCAGGCGTGGTGGTGCACGCCTATAATCCCAGCTATTTGGGAGGCTGAGGCAAGAGAATCACTAGCAGAGATTGTGTCTCCTCACCCCCTCTCAAAAAAAAAAAAAAAGGAAGTTCCTGCAGCAGTTAAAGCTGTGAAAGACAGGCACTCTGCCATGCAATTCTTTGTGATTTTTCTTTTTTCTTTTTGGAGTTGGGGTCTTGCACTGTCACCCAGACTGGGGTGCAGTGGTGTGGTCATAGCTCACTGCGGCCTCAAACTCAAGCTCAAGCGATCCTCTTACCTTGCCTTTCAAATTGCTGGGATTATAAGCATGAGCCACTGCATCTGGCCTATGTGACACAATTCTGTTTTTTGTCTTTTTTTTTTGGGGGGGGGGGATGGAGTCTCGCTCTGTCACCCAGGCTGGAGTGCGGTGGCGTGATCTTGGCTCAATGCAAGCTCCGCCTCCTGGGTTCACGCCATTCTCCTGCCTCAGCCTCCCAAGTAGCTGGGACTACAGGCACCCGCCACCATGCCTGGCTAATTTTTTGTATTTTTAGTAGAGACGGGGTTTCACTGTGTTAGCCAGGATGGTCTCGATCTCCTGACCTCGTGATCTGCCCGCCTTGGCCTCCCAAAGTGCTAGGATTACAGGCGTGAGCCACCGCGCCCAGCCTATGTGATGCAATTCTGATGTCAACTCCCTGATGTTACCTCAAATGCCACAGGTTAAGGCCACCAGCCCCCACTAGGCTGCCCTCGCTTTAGACACACCTGCAGGCTTGGGTGTCCTCAGACCACATGTACTTCTCACCAACTGGCTGCAAATTTGGAGGTTCCCACCATGCCCTCAAGTTCGATAACTCACTAAAACAATTCACAGAATGCAGAAAAGCATGATACTTTCTTTCTCTTTTTTTTTTTTTTTTTTGAGACGGAGTCTTGCTCTGTCGCCCAGGCTGGAGTACAGTGGCCACCATGCTTGGCTAATTTTTGTATTTGTATTAGAGACGGGATTTCGCCATGTTGGCCAGGCTGGTCTTGAACTCCTGACCTCAGGTGATCCACCCGCCTTGGCATCCTAAAATGCTGGGATTATAGGCATAGCCACCATGCCCGGTCGACTTCTAGAGTTTCAATAACAGAGATGTGATTCAAGAAGGGACATGTTTTGTAGATGGCAGGAGCTTCATGAAAAGAAGCCAATGAAGGGCAGGACGTGTAGCTGTCTACCTACAGGAAACCAGCCAGGAGCCTCCCCACAGGGACTTCAGCACAGATGGCCGGGAAAATCTGCATTAACCTGAGCTCTGGACCTAAGAGAGGACAAGGCCTTGACTGTTTCTACAGACTCACAAGACGCAATCTCTGCAGTCCATGCCCATGGTGTGATCTGGGAAACGGGGGGCCTTCTAAATGCCAACAACAAGGAAATCAAATGTGCAACAAACAGAAATACCGGCATTGACACGGGCCATGGGGAGGCCTAAACAGATGACTGCAGTCCACTGCCAAGGTCATCAAAGGGGTGACTCTGAAATAATAAATTTCAGACGCCATGGCCCAAATAGCTGCATGAGGTGGGGAAGTCCTCCACAAGCCTCTGCTTCCTTCAGTACCTGTTTATGAAATAAGCTGAGGTACTTCCCTGGGGAATTTCCTTTCTCTTTCTTTCTTTCGAGATGGAGTCTTGCTCTGGCGCCCAGGCTAGAGTGCAGTGGTGCAATCTCGGCTCAATGTAACCTCTCCCTCCTGGGTTTTGGCAATTCTCCTGCATCAGACTTCTGAGTAGCTGAGATTACAGGTGCATGCCACCATGTCCAGCTAATATTTGCATTTTTAGTAGAGACAGGGTTTCACCATCTAGGCCAGGCTGGTCTTGAACTCCTGACCTCGTGATCCACCCGTCTTGGCCTCCCAAAGTGCTGGGATTACAGGTGTGAGCCATCACGCCTGGACTTTTTTTTTATTTTTTGAGACGACGTTTCACTCTTGTTGCCCACGCTGGAGTGCAATGGCACAATCTCAGCTCACTGCCACCTCCTCCTCCCAGGTTCAAGTGATTATCCTGCCTCAGCCTCTCGAGTAGCTGGGATTACAGGCACCCAACACCAAACCCAGCTAACTTATTGTATTTTTAGTAGAGATGGGATGTCACCATGTTGGCCAGGATGGTCTTGAACCCCTGACCTCTAATGATCCACCTGAATTGGTTTCCCAAAATGTTGGGATTACAGGCACAAGCCACTGCGCCCAGCCCCTCCCATACCTCTTTTGGTCAAGGCAGCACAATTCAGAAGAATCTTGCCAGGGAAGACTGGTAAATGGACATCAACGTGATGCCTATGGCTCCTGGTGGATTTAGATACCTCCTGGTGCTTACTGATATCTTTACCAGTTGCATGGGGGCTTTTCCATGCCAGACTGAAAACGCAGGAGATCACTGATCAACCTTCAACTATTTACTAGCAGAACACTGAGGGGACTGTGCGGTCACCAATACCTCCTATTGCACTTGGATAAACACCTCCCAGGAAATAGAGATGAATAGAAAGGACATAGTCAAACAAGCAGAATGGCTGCATTCCTTCAACCAGAAGGGCCATTAGTCTTGTTTTCACACTGCTATAAAGAACTATGAGAAACTGGGTAATTTATGAAGAAAAGAGGTTTAATTGACTCACAGTTCTGCAGGCTGTACAGGAAGCATGGCTGGGGAGGCCTCAGGAAACTGACAATCACGGCAGAAGGCGAAGGGGAAACAGGCACGTCTGGCCATGTTGGAGCAGGAGAGACAGAGAGAGTGAAGTGGGAGGGCTGCACGCTTTTAAACAACCAGATCCCACAAGCGCTCACTCAATATCACGAGAACAGCAAGGGGGAAGTCGGCCCCCATGAGCCAATCACCTCCCACCAGGTCCCTCCCACAACACTGGGAATTACAATTTGACATGAGATTTGGGTGTGGATACAGAGCTGAACCATGTCAAGGGTAGTTCAACCGCTGAGATTGATTGATTGATTGATTGACTGAGATGGAGTCCTGCTCTGTTACCTAGGCTGGAGTGCAGTGGCACAATCTCAGCTCACTGCAACCTCCGCCTCCCGGGTTCAAGTGATTCTCCTGCCTCAGCCTCCCGAGTAGCTGGGACTACAGCACATGCCACCATGCCTAGCTAATTTTTGTATTTTTAGTAGAGACAGGGCTTCACCATGTTTGCCAGGCTGGTCTTGAACTCCTGACCTCGTGATCACCCTGCCTCGGCTTTTCTTTTGCTGGAATTACAGGCGTGAGCCACTGCACCCGGCCAACAACGGAGATTTAGAAGGCAGTCGAGTCCACTATACCGCACCTCACCTGGTTTCTTCCTCTGTTGGGGCCCCTCGTGGCCACTGTTCTGTTACTTTTTGGTCCTATTTATTAAATGGATGGTGAGCTGTTTGTCCTCCAGGCTCCAACACTTCCACCTTCAGCTTGTATTACAACAATACCAGCCTTTCAAGCTACTCCAGGTGACCCCAGAACTCATTTGAACTCAGAAGCCCAAGAGTTTCATTCCTTTCACTTTAGGGGACTCAGTGCCCTGCTCAGCATGAAGTCAAAGCAGAAGCATGACCTCCATCCCTAATCCCTCAAGAATGAGGAGTGGAAGGTGTTGGCAGGAGGGTGGGGGTGAGGTTTGTAGATCTGTAACTGCATCAGACCAAATCTGGTTCAACTTTTTTTTTTTTTTTTTGACGGAGCTTCACTCTTGTCACCCAGGCTGGAGTGCAGTGGTATGAACTCAGCTCACTGCAACCTCCACCTCCTAGGTTCAAGTGATTCTGCTGCCTCAGCCTCCAGATAGCTGGGATTATAAGGGTGCACCACCACACCTGGCTAATATTTATATTTTTAGTAGAGACGGGGTTTTACCATTTTGGCCAGGCTGGTCTTGAAGTCCTGACCTCCACCTGCCTTGGCCTCCCAAAGTGCTGGGATTACAGGCGTGAGTCACTGCACCCGGCTCAGTTCAACTTTTATGTAATGAGGTTGTCAGTTGTTTTTCAATTGCCATGGACCCACAGGTTGAAGGGCATGTACCCTGTGCATGCCCAGGTTAACCAAGCATGCAACCATGGAGTGGAAACTAAAAGCTCGGCCTGAAGAGCTGAGACTGATTTAAGAACTGGACACTCCATGGCAGGAGCCAGGATCCAATCAGATTGAGTTTTGGTGTCACCCCATGGCAGGATCCAGTCAGATCACACCTCCCAGCATTACTTTATTGCAAGATCCAATCAAATCACAACTCATTACCCTATGCTTATAAAACCTGACATAGCCCCCAGCTGGGTAAGGGAGATTTGAGTATTTCTTTCTGTGTTCTTGCTAGCTGACTTACAAAAAAGCTTTAAAAAAAAGGCCATGCGTGGTGGCTCATGCCTGTAATCCCAGCACTTTGGGAGGCTGAGGCAGGCAGATCACTTGAGGTCAGGGGTGCAAGACCAGCCTGGCCAACATGGGGAAACCCTATCTCTACTAAAAATACAAAAATTAGCTGGTCATGGTGACACATACCTATAATCCCAGCTACTTGGGAGACTGAGGCAGGAGAATCACTTGAACCCAGGAGGTAGAGGTTGCAGTGAGCCAAGATCACACCACTGCACTCCAGCCTGGGCGACAGAGTGAGAAGACTCTGTCTAAAAAAAGAACAGTTAAAATTAGCACCAAATGCTTTACGAGTAAAAAAAGTTTTTAGCTGCATATGTTTAAGTAACTTTTTAGATTGTAAAAAATACACATACAAAATGGAAAGGCACAAAGAAGAGAGCAAAAAGTGCATGAGATCTCACATCCAAGGATAACCGCTGAGAACATGAAAGTGCTGACTCTTCCAGCCTTTATACTATACACATTTAGGCCGCTGTTTTGTTTTTATAAAACTGTAATCATATAATACAGATAGTTTTATAATCTGGTTTTTAAACACAACAATTACATAACATTTAGCTGTTTCTTTTGCATTCAGATTCATAAGGGTTCCAGTAACTCATTTATCAGAAAACCAAGAGAAATAGTCTCATTAAAATATAAGTACATAAGGCAGGCATGGTGGCTCACGCCTATAATCCCAGCACTTTGAGAGGCCGAGGTGGGTGGATCACCTGAGGTCAGGAATTCGAGACCAGCCTGGCCAGCCTGGACAACATGGTGAAACCCCGTCTCTGCTAAAAATACAAAAATGAGCCAGGTGTGGTGGTGCGCGCCTGTAATCCCAGCTATTCAGAAGGCTGAGGCAGGTGAATCGCTTAAACTCGGGAGGTGGAGGTTGCAGTGAATCGAGATCGTGCCACTGCACTCCAGCCAGGGCGCCAAAGTAAGACTCCATCTCAAAAAAAGATAAAAATAAAAAATAAAAATAAAATATATATATGTTTATATATTTTTCCAGACAGGGTCTTACTCTGTCTCCCAGTCTGAAATACAGTGGCACAATCATAGCTCACTGCAGCCTCAAGTTTCTGGGCTCAAGTGAATCTCCCACTTCAGCTTCCCAAGTAGCTGGAACTACAGGTGGATGCCACCATGCCCAGTCAATTTTTTTTTTAATTTTTCATAGAAACAGAGTCTCACTATGTTGCCCAGTCCTAATAAACACTATGTGATGAAAAGAAAAAAGTAAATCACCCTAAAGTTAAGTCTTTAATGTTAAGTCTTTAACGAGAAATGCAAATAAAGCATGTCTCAATAGATTATGGTAAGAGAATCAACTGAAGAATAAACATCTTTAGTAAATCTTTTGCTCATGTGCATTAACCAATACTCTTGAAAACCAGGATTAATTTACTGTACCTTCTTAATATTCCTTTGAAATTCCTTATGGTGCACAGGTAGTGTAGAAAATAACTGCTTCACGCTGACTGTGGTCCCTCTGGGGTGGGGGTAGGGGGTTTTCTGGATGATTTTCCCATCGTGATCAAACACCAGTCGAGTCCCAACCTTCGCCGATGCGTGGCAGGTAGAAATGGTGACATCGCTGTGAGAGAATACCAGGTGTGGTGTGTTCAGTGAGAGACCCGTGATGTTGAGCATTGACTATGTTTTTCTTCACTTGCTTTTCTCTCAAAACTTTCTTAAAAAGCTGATGATCCCTCTGAGATAACCAAGATCTAAACGGTTGAGGAGTCATCATAAAATCTAAGGTTTGGCATCTAAAGGACAGCGAGACAGAGAGCACTAAACATGCTTTGTTTTGATAAAAGCTTTGATTTCATTTTTCAGGTTGAATTGCAAAACCATAAATGATCTCAAGGTTTATTTATTCACAAATAGAGATTTGTTTTGTTATTACTCTTCAAATAAAATTGTTTTAAAGAATTAAAAAATTTTTTTAAAATTTTTAAAGAATCCAAAAGATATTATAATTAAAATGTATATGTAGGGCAGGGTGCGGTGGCTCATGCCTGTAATTCCAGCACTTTGGGAGGCCGAGGAGCACAGATCACTTGAGGCCTGGAGTTCCAGACCAGCCTGGGCAACACGGCAAAACCCCATCTCTACTAAAAATACAAAAATTAGCCAGGAGTGGTGGTGCACGCTATAGTCCCAGCTCTTCAGGAGGCTGAGGCACGAGAATCACTTGAACCTGGGAGGCAGAGATTGCAGCGAACTGAGACTGTGCCACTGCACTCCAGCCTGGGTGACAGAGTGAGACTCTGTCTTAAAAAAAAAAAAAAAAAAATACATATATATATATATACACACATATATACACACACACATATATATGTATATATATATTTAAATATAATTATAAAAATTTAGTATCTGTGCTATAATTAAATAGTGCTTTGGTGAAATGTTTCCCTAAAATTTGATGATGAAAAGCAATGGTAACTATCATTTATTACCTATATGTTATGTTAAAATTGAGAAGTTACTGTTCTAATAAGGGTAACCATTTTTTTTAACAATACTATTTGCTTCATTTCATTCATTTATTTCCCACATTTCAGAAGTATTAGGACTTAGATTGGCAGTGAGACAAAACAGAATTCAGAAGCTAGAAGCTGAGATACCGAGATAGAAAATTGTAAATAATAACGATTCCAATTAACTTTCTGAGAGGTTTTTCTAAGGGGTCAAGTGAATGGATAAAAACATTGTATCACCTCAGTGCACACAGTGAGCTCAGAGCTTCCCCCTGAAAGCCGAAAGTTTCAACCTCAGTTAGGTTGGCAAACTCTTGAATCTTACATGTGTGATGTTTCAGAGCTGAAAGAGACTGTAAAGTAAGGACTAAGATACCTCAAGTGCTAAAACAACGGATATACATGATATCTAGTAACTGGCTTAAAAAACTGTTTTTGCGTTTCCCAAGACAGTGTTACTCAAAATTCTGAGACATGTGGCCCAATTATTTTATAATAGGATTAGAAAAAGTCAACTTACTTAAGCCTTCAAAGTTTTCTTCTTCTACCCCACATCCATTGTCTGAAACTTCAATGAGATCCACTCCATAGTCCTTAAGCTTTAGATCTAGAAAGTTTAAATATTTATGTATTTATTAAAAATGGACCCATGCTAGAATGGCATGAACCCGGGGGGCGGAGCTTGCAGTGAGCCGAGATCGCACCACTGCACTCCAGCCTGGGAGACAGTGAGACTCCGTCTCAAAAAGAAAAAAAAAAAAAAAAATGGACCCATGCTATAAGCTTTTATATTGATATTATTTATAACATATGCAAATTGAAGAGTCATAACTATACCTTTAGTTAAACGTACGAGTATCATTTTGTATATTTCATTTTTATAAAGCCCTTTCTGGCCATTTACTAGCCCAGATTAAATAGTTTAGCTTTTTCTTTCCTCTTTTTTTTTTTTTGTCCATAGGCTAGTCAAATGAAGCAGTTGGAGTGGAGAAGGAACAAAAAAATCTGTAACTGGTTGTGATCAATTAGTGGTTAACACCGTTGCACTTTGACCAGCCTTTTCTTTTGAAAGAAATAATTTTAACATACCCAGTAAGGAGAAAGCGGGGGCAGGCACGGTTGTTCATGCCTGTAATCCCAGCACTTTGGGAGGCCAAAGTGAGCAGATCACCTGAGGTCAGGAGTTCCAGACTAGCCTGACCAACGTGGAGAAACCCTGTCTCTACTAAAAATACAAAATTAGCCAGGTGTGGTGGTGCATGCCTGTAATCCCAGCTGCTCGTAAGGCTGAGGCAGAATTGCTTGAACCCGGGAGGCGGAGGTTGCGGTGAGCCGAGATCATGCCATTGCACTATAGCCTGGGCAACAAGAGTGAAACTCCATCTCAAAAAAAAAAAAAAAAAAAGACAACTGGTTCTGGAATCAGACTTCCTGGATCCTATTTTATTAGCTTTATAATCTCAAAAAAAGGAAATTTCCTGTTCCTTAATTTCCTCATCTGTAAAATGAAGATAATAAGTTCTATCTCATAAAGTTACTCAGCTGATTAATAATTTTTTAGGTTTATTTTATTTTGTTATTTTCTTTTTTTTTCTTGTTTTTTTTTTGAGATGGAGTTTTGCTCTTGTCACCCAGGCTGGAATGGAGTGGCATGATCTGATCTTGGCTCACTGCAACCTCCACCTCCGAGGTTCAAGCAATTCTCCTCCCTCAGCCTCCCGAGGAGCTGAGATTACAGCCATGCACCATCACATCTGGCTAATTTTTGTATTTTTAGTAGAGACAGGGTTTTACCATGTTGGTTAGGCTGGTCTTGAACTCCTGACCTCAAATGATCAGCCCTGCTCTGCCTCCCAAAGTGCTGGGATTATAGATGTGAGCCACTACTCCACGCCTATTTTATTTTATTTTATTGAGACGGAGTCTTGCTCTGTCCCAGGCTGGTGTGCAGTGGCACGATCTCGGCTCACTGCAACCTCTGCCTCCCGGGTTCAAGCCATTCTCATGCCTCAGCCTCCCAAGTAGCTGGGATTACAGGCTTCTGCCACCAGGTCCGGCTAATTTTTATATTTTTAGTAGAGACAGAGTTTCACCATTTTGGACAGGCTGGTCTCAAACTGCTGACCTCAGGTATCCACCCGCCTTGGTCTCCCAAAGTGCTGGGATTACAGGTGTGAGCCACCACACCCAGCCTACTTTATTTTTTTAATAGAGACGAGGTCTCACCAATTGGCCAGGTTGGTCTTGAACTCTGGCCTCAAGCAATCCCCCCACCTCAGCCTCTCAAAGGGCTAGGATTACAGGCGTCAGACACCACGCCCAGCTATTCTGCAAATTAAATGAGATATTTCTGTGCAATTCTTAGCATAACACCTGCCTGGCACACCATAAGAACACAAGAAAAGCTGTCGTTATTATTATTACTACCTAGCTAAGTACTAGGCACATAATAGGTGCTAACTTTAACTTAAAAATAATAGTTTATTACTACATCAACACTTGATAGTCTTATTTCAATAACAAATGTTTCTTGACTACAACAACACACACTGATCATTTCTTGTGGCTTAAAACTCTCCCAAACTTACCAATATTGGTGGCACCAGCATCCAGACTGTTTTCTACTAACTCCTTCACCGCAGTGCTTAGACTCAGTACCACCGGCCCAGAGCAAATCTGATGGACTGACTTCCGATCGATAGGTTTGATGGCCTTAGCAGGTTCTGTACTAAAGAAATGTTACAAGAAACAAAGCAAGTATTCAGCTATATATTTTCATCCTGATTTTAACTGTGGGAAATGACTCAACACTGTAAATAGTTTATGGGTCTAATCTATTCATTTATTATATTAACAAATACATTTATTATATCCAGAAATAGAAACACTGTTTTACAATCCTTAAACATGTACCCAAGATACTTCTGGATAGATACTTCAAATTCAACAGATCCTTACTATCTAATTATACTAGGATCCACATGGAGAAAACATACATTCTATCTCTCAAATTACCAAAATCTTTGGCAACAATGGTGTCTTTCTTGAAAACTGAAAGCATGGCCTGGTGGGGTGGCTCATGCCTGTAATCCCAGCACTTTGGGAGGCAGAGGCAGGCGGATCACTTGAGGTCAGGAGTTGGAGACCATCCCGGCCAACATGGTGAAACCCTGTCTCTACTAAAAATACAAAAAATTAGGCAGGCATCACGGTGGGCGCCTATAAACCCAGCTACTCGGGAGGCTGAGGCAGGAGAATCACTTAAACCCAGAAGGCAGAGGTTGCAGTGAGCTGAGATTGCAGCATTGCACTCCAGCCTGGGTAAGGAGCAAAAATAAAAAAAAAAAGTGAAAGCAACATAATTTCCCACATAATTAGAAAAACCAACAGTATGCTGGAAAATACACAATGTTTAAGTTAAAATCATCTCAGAAATTGGGTACCAGTTACATAACTATTCCTTATACACAGTTGCCTTTGATACCCTACTCCAAACTGAAGCTGCCAGCTGCTGTCTTAGCAAAGACCCTCAAAGTTCTTGCTGTACTAACTTTAAGAGTTTTATAACAGTTTTATCTGCCCTTATTCCCTGCTCCAAGCCATCCTCCACTCTATCACCAGAGATATTTTTGAAATCACAGATCTGGTCAAATAATTTTTCTTCTTAAAAATTTACTAGTGCCCCACTTCCTACTACATGAAATTTAAGATCTAGTCATCACTGGGCCCAAAACTACCTTCTTTTCAGAATCTCTCTAATCCTTTCCCTTCATCAAGTCCCCTACATCATCACCATTATTATTATTTATTATTATTATTATTTGAGAGTGCTCACCCTGTCGCCCAGGCTAGAGTGCAATGGTATGATCTTAGCTCACTGCAGCCTCCGCCTCCCAGGTTCAAGCGATTCTCCTGTCTGAGCCTCCCAAGTAGCTGGGATTACAGGCACCCACCATCACACCCGGCTAATTTTTGTGTTTTTAGTAGAGATGGGGTTTCACCATGTTGGGCAGGCTTGTCTTGAACTCCTGACCTCAGGTGATCTGCCCTCCTTGGCCTCCCAAAGCGCTAGGATTACAGGTGTGAGCCACTGCAACCGGCCGTCCCCTATATTGTAGCGCAGTGAACAATTGTTTCCTGAACATCACAAGCTCTTTTAAACACTACAGTGTATAAGCAGGTCTCTCTCTAAACCACTCTCCTCTTCCTCCTCTGCCCAACCAATGTCTGCTCATCCAAAGAATGTATCCCGTGTGTTCATTAACTTAGCAATTTCCAGTAAACCGTTTAATTGATAACTTGTTAAGAGAAGGCAGGAAACCTCCATGAAAGAGAAATCATTGGGTATTTCCTACAGCATTTACCACATTGTAGGCCTTCAATAAACCCTTGTGAAATAAACAAACCTCTTTACTCTTCATTCCACCTTGCTAAGAATCTCACCTAAGTCTGTCTACCATGTGAAACTGCAGATGACCTCACAGAAAATTGAAAGAAGTATCTCTAAAAATAAATTTATTAGGCAACACACTATAGGCTACAGTCCACTTCTGATTTTTTTTTTTTTTTTTGAGGCGGAGTCTTGCTGTGTCACCCAGGCCGGACTGCAGTGGCTCGATCTCAGCTCACTGCAACCTCCGCCTCCTGGGTTCCAGCGATTCTCCTGCCTCAGCCTCCCAAGTAGCTGGGATTACAGGCGCCCGCCAACCATGCCCAGTTAATTTTTGTATTTTTAGTAGAAACTGGATTTCACCATGTTGGCCAGGCTAGGCATGAGCTCCTGACCTCATGATCCACCCGCCTTGGCCTCCCAGAGTGCTGGGATTATAGGTGTGAGCCACCGCGCCCGGCCCACTTCAGATATTTATTTTCAGGAGGGAGCGCATTTAGATACAGACCGAAAATGTATTTAAATGTGAATACATTTAAATGTAGTTACTTAAATCTATCTAATATATTTAAATGCAGAGAGCGAATTTGTGTTTACATATCTGACATGGAATGCAACTGTGCTAGCCAAGATTCGGTGTAGCTTACCAGCCAGAAATCACATATCCTAACAGGTAGAAATGCATTGCATTTTGTAAAACTGCGCAGCTATGCAAATTAGGATGTGTCTGGACGCTCTACCTTCCCCAAAATAACCTCAATTTTTTAAAAAGGCCAGGCAGCGTGCATCAGGCCTGTAATTCCAGCACCTTGGGGGGCCAAGGCGGGCGGATTGCTTGAGCTCAGGAGTTCGAGATCAGCCTCAGCAACATAGCGAAATCCCCGTCTCTACAAAAATAAAAAATTAAAAATTAAATAATATAAAAATAAAAATAAAAGGGGAGAGAGAACAGGTAGAAAGGAAATGCATTCAGTCTATGGGGATTTCACGCTAGGGCTTCAAGTTCACGGCCCTGTGATGGGATGTGGGCAGGGCCTGTCTGGGACAGGCCGAACCCAGCTCCTTACAGGGCCGAATCCTTTGCCCGCAGCCAAAGACCCCGAAGGAGCCTGCCTCGGCCTTAAGGCGCAACCAAGGAGCACTGGATGGCTGGGGCGCTGAGGACGCCGCTCCGGGGCCTCCACGCCTCGCCACGCCCCTCGGCCATGTTCCCCCCATTTCCAGGGAGGTTGGAACGCCGTGGTTCTCAAGGAGGACGCGCGAGAAGGGAGACCGCGAGCCCAGCTCACCTCTAGCTCTCAGCTCGCTCCATGGACTCAATACCCGATCCGCCTCGGGGCCTGGGAAAGTTCCCTCCACGACTCCCACAGGCGCCCCGCCTCCTGGGCTCCCATTGGCTGCTTTTGACGTTGTGCTCCACCCTTTCTGGGCGGGGCGGAAAAAATACTTCCCGTCTCTCCTTTTCGCCTATTAGCTCCGTCAAAGGTCGAGTCCGTGACGTCAAAGAGCATGGGCCAATCAGAGCACACCGGACTGCTTTTTTTTTTTTTCCCGAACGACCGCAGCAGGGTCACAAGGGAGATGTCCGCCCCCAGTCGTAGCCTCGGACGGTTTCTGAGCGTTGGTGTTTGGCACGCGCCACCCTCTCTTGCTTTGGTTCCGCCATGCCGATGTACCAGGTAAAACCTTATCACGGGCGCGGCGCGCCTCTCCGTGTGGAGCTTCCCACCTGCATGTACCGGCTCTCTAACGTGCAAGGCAGGAGCGGCGGCCCAGCGCCCGGCGTTGGCCACCTACAGGTAGGAGCGCGGGCCCCTCCTTCCCCCCCACCCCGCGCCAAGTGCGCACGCGCGGCGGCCGGCTGCTGGCCCGAGTCCCCCCGGGCCGGAACGAGTGTGTCCCACCCGGTTTGCGGTCCCACCCGGTTCGCGGTCCCACCCCGGCATTTGTGCCGGCCGGCCAGGGACTCACCCAAACCTTTATGTTTTAAAAGATTTATTCAGGCCGGGCGCCGTGGCTCACGCCTGTAATCCCAGCACTTTGGGAGGCCCAAGCAGGCAGGTCACCTGAGGTCAGGAGTTCGAGACCAACCTGACCAACACGTTGAAGCCTCGTCTCTACTAAAAATACAAAAATCAGCCGGGCGTGTGGCGGGCGCCTGTAATCCCAGCCACTCGGGAGGCTGAGGCAGGAGAATCGTTTGAACCCTGGAGGCGGAGTTTGCAGTGAGCTGAGATCGAGCCATTGCACTCGAGCCTGGGCGACAGAGCTAGACTCCGACTCAAAAAAAAAAAAAAAAAATAGAGACAAGGGTCTCACTATGTTGCTCACGCTGGTCTCAGACTCTCAGGGCTCAAGCAATCCTCTCGCCTCGGTCTCCCAAAGCGCTGAGATACCAGGCGTGAACCACCGCGCCCGACTAGGAAAAAAAAAATATATATATATATATATATATATATATATATATATGTACACGTGTATGTATATATACATATATATACACACGTATATGTATAGATATATACGTATGTGTATATATTTCTTTTATACGTATATATATAACATTTTTGTTTTTTTGAGACATTTTGAGAATAATTTTTTTTTTATATGGCTGCTTAAACATGTTAGTTCAGAGATTCTGCCCTGTGAAAAGTGAATAGCACATAAATGCTCATTTTGAGGAATTACAAAGCGAACTCCAGGGTCACCACCTCCCAGGTTGACACACATTGTCACCGCTCCATTCTTTCCACTTAAACCTTCCCCCCAACCCCCTCAAGGTCCTGATTTTTATGGTAATTATGTTCTATTTGTGTCTATTATTTTGTCACCTAAGTATCCCTAAACAATATAGTCTGGGTTTTTATTTGTTTTTTTTTTTGTTGTTTTTTTCAGACGGAGTTTCACTGTGTCACCCAGGCTGGAGTGCAGTGGTGTGAGCTCGGCTCACTGCAACCTCTGCCTCCCGGGTTCAAGCAGTTCTCCCATCTCAGCCTCCTGAGTAGCTTGGATTACAGGTGCACGCCACCACACCCAACTAATTTTTGTATTTTTAGCAGAGACGGGGTTTCACCATTTTGGCCAGGATGGTCTTGATCTCTTGACCTCATGATCCACCCGCCTCAGCCTTCCAAAGTGCTGGGATTACAGGTGCGAGCCACCATGCCTGGCCTTTTATTTCTTTTTTTGAGCCCATTCTCTCCCTGTTTTATTTTTAAAATTTTATTAAACATAGTCATTTTATAATCTATGATAGATGATTATCTAAAGTGTTTGTGAAATAATTTTGTCAGTGCCTTGTTTCTTTATATGTTTTACTAGGTTTATTGTGAGCCACTCATTTTCCCTGGAGTTCTTTGGGGCCTAGGTCAAAGGTGGGTTTTTTTTTTTTTGAGACCGAGTCTCGCTCTGTCACCCAGGCTGGAGTGCAGTGGTGTGATCTCTGCTCACTGCAAGCTCCGCCTCCCGGGTTCAGGCCATTCTCCTGCCTCAGCCTCCCGAATAGCTGGGACTACAGGCACCTGCAACCATGCTGGCTAAATTTTTGTATTTTTAGTAGAGATGGGGTTTCACCATGTTAGCCAGGATGGTCTCGATCTCCTGACCTCATGATCCGCCTGCCTCGGCCTCCCAAAGTGCTGGGATTACAGGTGTGAGCCACCGCGCCTGGCCCCAAAGGTGGGTTTTCAAGAGAGGAACGTGCTGTTGCTTTGACAGTTGCCTGGGGACACTCCAGAATCACTTTTCTTTTCTTTTTTTTTTTTTTTTGAGACAGGTTCTCATTCTTTCTAGGCTGGAGTGCAGTGGTGCTATCACGGCTCCCTGCTGATTTGACCTCCCTCAGTGGCAAGGTGGTGACCCTCCCACCTCAGCTTCTCGCATAGCTGGGACTATAGGCATGTGCCACCATGCCTGACTAATTATTCTGTTTTTGGTAGACCAGCCTGGGCAACATGAGTTTCACTTTACTTGGGTTACTGCTCCCAGCCTGAATCACTTTTAATTATCTGAATGATTATTCTGGGCTGGGTGTGGTGGCTCATGCCTATAATCCAAGCACTTTGGGAGGCTAAGGTGGGCCTCACTTGAGGTCAGGAGTTCGAGACCAGCCTGGCCAATATGGTGAAACCCTGTGTCTACTAAAAATACAAAAATTAGCCATTAGCCAGGCGTGGTGGCACATACCTGTAATCCCAGCTACTCGGGAGGCTGAAGCAGGAGAATGCTTGAACCTGGGAGGTGGAGGTTGTAGTGAGCTGAGATCTCGCCATTGCGCTCTAGCTTGGGCTACAGAGTGAGACTGTCTCAAAAAAAAAAAAAAACAAAAGGAAAAGATAAAAAAGATTATTCTGATCATGTATGTGGTATGAATCTTGACTGCAAATCCAGATCTGAGCGCTCACTATGGTTATGAATTCTCAAGGAGGAGTTATTTTTTTTCCCCTCCACTGCACCCTCAGGTCATAACAAGCTAGTTTTCTTGCTGTCGCCATCTGCCCTATAGGTTTAGTGTTCAATCTCACTTCCTTGAGGATGTGACTCTTTGCAGGACCCAGCTTTATTTAGGTGCCTCCTCTTGGACTACTCGTCTTGGAAGAAGCTTAGACTCTACCTCCTGTGCTCTGCACTCCATGCAGCCATCTGGATACAAAGTCAGGGTCCCCAGGGATTAATGAAACCTTTAGGGCAAAAGTCAGTTTGCTTACCTCCCAGGGTTGCTACTACACCTCATTTTTGGACTATATGAAATTTTACCTTTCATTCTAGTTCACCAGTACATTGTGAAAGATGTTTTAAATGTTTTACAGAAGTTTAGATGGTTCAACTGGGAAGATCATATAGGATTTCTGTTCTGTTATATTGCCAGAAGTAGAAGTCATCTGTATTTTTTTTTTACTAGTCTTTGGTAGATGAGTGGCTGGATAGCTACAAGCAAGACCAGGATGCAGGATTTCTGGAGCTTGTTAACTTTTTCATCTGATCTTGTGGATGTAAAGGTGAGGAAACTGCTCCCCCTTTCTAATTCCCAGCCTTTTGTTCCTATGTTATGAATTCTTTCTCCATTTAGATAAGTAGGATTAGATATTTCCTAAATAAAGGAAGATAGTAAAGCATTAGAAAAATTTTACTTATTTAGGCTGGGCACTGTGACTCACACCTGTAATCCCAGCACTTTGGGAAGCTGAGGCGGGTGGATCACTTGAGGTCAGGAGTTGAAGACCAGCCTGGGCAACATGGTGAAACCCCTACTAAAATACAAAAAATTATCTGGGTATGTGGCTCATGCCTGTAGAATTGCTTGAACCCAGGAGGTGGAGGTTATAGTGAGCCTGGATAGCGCCACTGCACTCCAACCTGGGCGACAGAGCCAGACTGTCTTCAAAAAAAAAAAAAAGAGAGAGAAAAGTTTCACTTCTTTAACTAAATTTTTTGTTGATAAATACGGGAAGTGATCCAGTAGGGAACCATGTTGGTTTAGAGACAAGAAACTTTGGGGAAAAAGAAGTAATCATGCTTATGTTATGGCACAAATTTGAGGACACCTTTTAGTCTTTCTAGATGCAATAATCTGTTATTTTCTTACTCTTTATTTCCCAGCTACTTTGCCCATATTTCTCCTCTGTAGCTGTGGTACCCCCAGAACTCTTACTGCCATGGCTTGATTTATTGGGACAGATGGTCTCAGTCAGGTTGTATTATATAAGAAATCAGCGTCTGGCTTAGTTTTATTACTCTCTTTTGTTTTGTTTTGTTTTGTTTTTGTTTTTGTTTTTGAGACAGAATCTCACTCGATTGTCCAGGCTGGAGTGCAGTGGCACGATCTGGGCTCACTGCAACCTCTACATCCTGGGTTTAAGTGATTCTCATGCCTCAGCCTCTCAAGTGGCTGGGATTACAAGCATGTGCCACCATATGTGGCTAATTTTTTTTTTTTTCTTTGAGACGGAGTCTGGCTCTGTCGCCCAGGCTGGAGTCCAGTGGCACAATCTCGGCTCACCGCAACCTCCGCATCCCAGGTTCAAGTGATTCTTCTGCCACAGCCTCCTGAGTAGCTGGGACTACAGGTGTGCACCACCATGCCTAGCTAATTTTTGTATTTTTAGTAGAGACAGGGTTTCACCATATTGGCCAGGCTGGTCTTGAACTCCTGACCTCGTGATCCGCCCATCTCACCCTCCCAAAGTGCTGGGATTACAGGCTTGAGCCACTGCGCCCGGCCTACGTGGCTAATTTTTGTATTTTTAGTAGAGATGGGGTTTCGCCAGGCTGGTCTTGTACTCCTGACCTCAGGTGATTCACCTGCCTCGGCCTCCCAAAGTGTTGGGATTACAGGCGTTAGCCATCGCGCCTGGCCTGTTTTGTTGTTGTTGTTGTTTTGTTGTTGTTTATTTTGGGGCACAGTTTTTCACTGCTTGATTCCTTTTTTTTTTTTAAACAAATCCTGCCTCAGGTTTATTTGTACAAATAGTGCAGGAGGACACCAGTCCTTCTGTCCTCACGTTGGCAGACAGAGATCTCTACTCTGAAGCCTTTGTACAGGCCTGGGCACCTTTGGGAGCCTGAGCTGGAACTGAAGCTGGAGCTGCAGCCTGGGCCTTCATTTGATCCTTGGCCTTTGGCTGGTACAGTCTGAGCCCCTTGGCATTGTGGGCACAAGCATGCTTCTCAAGCTTGGGGTGGGCAGTGTAGGCAAGTGGGCTTAACGTCCTTGGGCTTTACGAGGGGCTCGATAGCCTCGGCATGTACACCCATGACCCTGGCATTGTTGCCCTGCATCTTCTTTTTTTTTTTGTTTTGCTTTTTTTGTTTTGAGACAGAGTCTCACTTGTTGCCCAGGCTGGAGTGCAGTAGTGCGATCTCAGCTCACTGCAACCTCTGCCTCCCGGGTTGAAGCAATTCTCCTGCCTCAGCCTCCCGAGTAGCTGGGATTACAGGCACCCGCCACTACGCCCAGCTCATTTTTTCCATTTTTAGTAGAGAACTGGGTTTCATCATGTTGGCCAGGCTGGTCTAGAATTCCTGACCTTGTGATTCTCCTGCCTCGGCCTCCCAAAGTGCTGGGATTACAGGCTTGACCGACTGCGCCCGGCCAGCCTGCATCTTCTTTAGGCCCTTCTTGTTGTGCTTCTTGGCAAAGCACATATTCCTCAGGAACTTGGGGTCCATCCCCTTAAGAGAGTTGTATCTTTGTGATTGGGGTTTCTTGATGCCATTTCTGTGTAATTTTCAGCCTGGTTGTGTGAGGTGTGGTTTTTGGATTTGGCCGTGTCTACACCATAACCTATGGCTCCCTTCCTTTGGGTTTTTAGAGAGATTGCCTTATAGCAGATACACAGTTGGATGTTGGCAGACCGTTGACCAGGGGGTCTTTTGATTCCCCACCTAAGCTCTTTGCACAGTGTTTCCTTGCTCATATTCAGGTATATCTGTAAATGATCACAGCATCCTGTTATTTTCCTCGTAAGCACCTCATATCCTTCATTCTTTAGGCACTGTGAGCCCTGAGATGTTCAAGAAGATGTCCAACTCAGAGATCATCCAGCACCTAACAGAGCGTTTAATGAGGTGGAAGAAGATGACCAGGATCCTCTTACCCCTCTTATTTCAAAACACAATGCCTATTATCCCCTTCTTTTTGATTCTGTGAAATAGGGTAGCTTTTAGAAGGTGGAGTTCAGTCTCTTGGGGGTAAAAGAGATCTGAATATGCCTCTCAAACTGGGGAGACAGCTAGGAAATGAAGCATAACAGATATTTTTACTAGACTGTTGGGTTTTGACATCCAAGCCCCTATGACTTCATATACCTGGTCATAACTTTCCCATCCTTTTCATACATCCTTTTGTAGGACTCGGGGGACTATCCTCTGACAGCTCCAGGTCTATCCTGGAAGAAGTTCCAGGGCAGCTTCTGTGAGTTTGTGGGGACATTGGTCTGTCGGTGCCAGTACATCCTCCTCCATGATGACTTCCCTATGGACAACCTCATCTCCCTGCTCACTGGCTTCTCAGACTCACAAGTCTGCGCCTTCTGTCACACTAGCACCCTGGCTGGTGAGCATTCATTTTCATTCCGGACATTCTTCTGGGGATTTATAGGACTTTCCTCTGTTCTCTGATTCAGGGTCTTCTTTCCTACCTGTGTCTTGGCTCTTCACTTCAAGGCCATGCCTCTTTTATCCTAAACTTCAATCCAGTTTCTCACTGGTGGAGTTTTGAGAAGGGGTAGATCACAGCAACAATTTCCAGGCTTAGTATTTTTGTCAGAGCTCACCACTAGGGTATGCTGATGGTTAAAAGAAGACCACAAGGGTTAGAGGGAAACAGTCCACTCCAGGACAGGCAGTCAGGATTTTAGGGTCACCTACCTCTGGCTTCTCATTTTTATTGCCCTTCTTTCCTTCTATTTTTCCTTCTACTCATCCTCTCTCCTCTGACCTCAGTAATGATTTCTTTATCTCTTTTTCCTTACTCAAAGCTATGAAACTGATGACCTCCCTGGTAAGAGTTGCCCTCCAACTGAGTCTGCACGAAGATATCAATCAGCGTCAGTATGAGGCTGAAAGAAACAAGGGGCCAGGGCAGAGGGCACCTGAGCGGCTGGAGAGCCTGTTGGAGAAACACAAAGAGGTGAGGAGTGTTCCCTGCTTCTTCCTTCCCTTTTTCCCAACTTGCACCCACTTCTGCCACAGACCCCCTTATCAGGCCCTGGGCAGTCTTTCAAGATCATGAATAACGGAGTCTGGCAATAGTTTCATAGACCCATCCTGTAAGGGCTCATTGCAATGCTCACCTTTTTTCTGGGTTGTGGGCTCAACAAATAATGTGTAATTTAGAGTTCTCTCGAATTCCACTTTTGCTCAGTTTTTCTTTGTCAGCACTTATTGTCAGAAGAGTTTAAGTGCTGTACCTGCCTGTCATGCAAGGAATTAAGTTTTGACCTACTCGTCAAGTGTGCAGTGTGCAAGTGACCGCAGGAGTACTAAAAGCCAACCATTGACAAGGGAGGCCAAATTTTCAAGGAATGGAAAGAGCACAGGCCTTCCAGTGAACTCCTGGCTTTAAATTCTGTTCCATTTAGTCACTAGCTCCATAGCCTTATGTAACCTCTCTTCAGTTTTCTTTTCTTTAAAGAAAGGGATAATCTCACCTTTTTGTGAAGAATAAATGAGATGATGAGTAAATTGCCTCACTTGGCACATAGTAGTTTTGTTTCCTTTTAAACTTAAAGATGACCACTGGAGGGCATAAGCCATAGCAAAATCTTTGACACTGATGAAATCTTTAATCAGCTGGGTCTGTCATAAGAGTAACACTACTGTTTTTCTCCTTACTTTCTGTTAGTGTCTGAGACCCCTCCTATGAGGTTGGCAGGACTCACCATGTCTGACCATATCATTTGGCTATTTCTCTAGCCCTCACAAAAGGTCTCTTCCATTCTAAATCATTAGAGAAGGAAACTTTCTACTTCTCTCATTCTCTTTTGTTATTTTTAATTGTCAGTTTGATCTTAAAAGCTTATGTGTATTAATCTATCCTGGATTTTAAATTATGTACACTGTGAATCTTTCTTTTATTTTTCTTATTCTTTCTTTTTTTTTTGGCTTCTCTGGGCTCTTGCTTAGTCAATTATCATTGTAATTCCCCCATTTTATCCTTAATTTCTTCCTCCCCACTATTTTCTTCTCTCCACTTATAAATGTATATAGGCTCTTGAATCTTTATTTGACTCTGCTCCTCTGTGAATTACTCTTTTTTTCCATCCTTCCTTTTAGGGTAGTATTTCCTTACTTCCTTAATGTCCAACTAACTGAATCCTTTTTGCTACCTAGCTTATTTTCCCATTTTTCTTTGAAACTGTTCTTTCCAAACCAATGACTTCCTAATTCCTAAAGCCAGTAGCCTTTTCTCAGTCTCCCTTTCCCAAATATTTCACATATTTGCTTCACCTGTTTTTGCTATGTTACTGTAAAATATGGACATATAGGTACTTCAGCCGTAAAGACTTAAGTATGTCTTGTCGAAAATGATATGTTGTTCTTACATAATTGAAGAGGTGGGGTCTGTTGTCTTAAAGAATGTTCCCTTTCTCCTTATAATTCTGGTTCTTTGGTGTCTATTGTTCATGTGATCCAGGATTTTTCAACAATGGCACTACGGACATTGCGGGGCTGTCCTGCCGTGGTGGGATGTTTAGCAGCATCTCTGGCCTTTATCTACTAGATAGATACCAGTAGTACCCTGCTCCCCCACCAAGTTCAGGTAGCCAAAAAAATCTTTAGACACTGCTAAATCTCCCCTGGGGAACAGAATTAGCCTCAGTTGAGAACCACTGATCTAATTCCTTTCTTCTTATTTTTGCTGGTTCCACTACTATTAAACAAACTGCACTTACTAAAAATTTGTTTTCCAAATTGTTAGAAACATATACGGGCATCATACCTGGAAGATCTTGCAGGTTCAGTTCCAGATCACCACAATAAAGTGAATATTGAAGTACAGTGAGTCACACAGTCAAAAAATCAAAATTTTTATTTCTCAGTGCATATGAAAGTAATGTTTACACTGTAGTCTCTTAAGTGTGCAAGACTATTGTCTAAAAAACATGTATGTACCTTAATTTAAAAATATTTTATTGCTAAAAAATGCTAATGGCAATCTGAACCTTTAGCGAGTTACATCTTTTTGTTGGTAGAGGGTCTTGCTTCCATGTTGATGGCTGCTGACTAATCAGGGTAGTGGTTGCTGAAGGTTAGGGTGGCTGTAGCAATTTCTTAAAGTAAGACAACAGTGAAGTTTGCTGCATCTGTTGACTCTTCCTTTTACAAAAGATTTCTCTGTAACATGAAATGCTGTTTGATGACATTTTACCCACAATAGAAATTCTTTCAAAACAAGAGTCAATTCTCTCAAGCCCTGGTGCTGCTTTATCAGCTAAGTTTAGGTCATAGTCTGAATCATTTGTTGTCATTTCAACAATATTCACAACCTCTTCACCAGGAATAGATTCCATTTGAGGAAACCACTTTCCTTGCTCATCCGTAAGAAGCAATTCCTTATTTGTTCAAGGTCATGAAGTTGCAGCAATTCAGCCACATCTTCAGTTTCTACTTCTAGTTCTCTTGCTGTTTCCACTGCATCTGTAGTTACTTCCTCTACTGAAGTCTTAAACCTCTCAAAGTCATCCGTGAGGGTTAGAATCAACTTAAGTCTTGTTAATGTTGATATTTCGACCTCCTCCCATGAACCACAAATGTTCTTTATGGCATTTAAAATGGTGAATCCCAGCCAGGCACAGTGGCTCAAACCTGTAATCCCAGCACTTTGGGAGGCTGAGGTAGGTGGATCACGTGAGGTCAGGAGTTTGAGACCAGCCTGACCAACATGGCAAAAACCCATCTCTACTAAAAATACAAAAATTAGCCAGGTGTGGTGGTGCATGTTTGTAATCCCACCTACTTGGGAGGCTGAAGCAGGAGAATTGCTTGAACCCAGGAGGCAGAGGTTGCAGTGAGCCAAGATCACACCACTACACTCTAGCCTGCGCTACAGAGCAAGACTCCATCTCAAAAAGAAAAGAAGAGAAGAGAAAAGAAAAGAAAGGAAGAAATGAAATGAAATGGAATGATGAAATGAAATGAAATGAAATAAATAAATAAATGAAATGAAATGAAATGAAATAATGAAATGAGATGAAATGAAGAATCCTTCCCAGATGGGGGGTTGGCTTTTTCTGGTTTTTGTATTTTGTTTTGAAGACAGGGTCTCGCTCTCTTGCCTAGACCGGAATGCACTGGTGCAGTCATGGCTCACCGCAGCCTCAACCTCCTGTGCTTGAGTGATGTTCCTGCCTTATCCTCCCAAGTATCTGGGACTACAGATTGCATACCACACCTGGCTAGTTTTTGTTTTGTTTCTGTAGAGGCAGGGTCTCACTATGCTGCCCAGGCTAGTCTTGAACTCCTGGGCTTAATCAGTCCTCCCACCTCAGCCTCCCAAAAAGTTGGGATTGTAGGCATGAGCCACCATGCCTAACCCCAGGAGGTTTTAGATGGACTTTGCCCAAATCATCAGAGAAATCACTGTGGCAGCTATAGCCTTATGAAATATATTTCTGAAATAATAAGACTTGAAAGTTGAAATTACTCCTTGTTCCATGGGCTGCAAAATGGATGTTGTGTTAGTGGGCATGAAAAAAGCAACATGGATCTCCTTGTACATCCTCACCAGAGCTCGTGGGTGACCAGGTGCCTTATCACTGAGCAGTAATATTTTGAAAGGAATCTTGTTTTCTGAGCAGTAGGTCTCACCCATGTGCTTAAAATATTCAGGAAACCATGCTGTGAACAGATGTGATATCATTAAGCTTTGTTGTTTCATTTATAGAGCATAGGCAGAGTAGATTTAGCATAATTCTTAAGAGCCTTAGGATTTTTAAAATGGTAAATGAGTATTGGCTTCAACATAAAGTCACCAACTGCATTAGCCCCTAACAAGGAGTCAGGCTGTCCTTTGACGCTTTGAAGCCAGGCATTGACTTCTCCTCAATAGCTGTGAAAGTCCTAGGTGGCATTTTCCAATATAAGGCAGTTTAGTCCACACTGAAAATTCATTGTTTAGTGTAGCCACCTTCATCAATGATCTTAGCTAGATTTTCTTGATAACTTGTTGCTTCTCTATCAGTATTTGCTGCTTCACCTTGTACTTTTATGTTATGGAGAGGGCTTCTTTTCTTAAACCTCATGAACTAACTTCTAGCTTCAAACTTTTCTTCTGTGGCTTCCTTACTTTGCTCAGCCTTCATAGAATGGAAGACAGCTAGGATGTTGATCTGGATTGGGCTTTGGCCGAAGGGAATGTTGTGGCTGGTTTGATCTTCTGTTCCGACTACTAAAACTGTCTCTATATCAGCAATAAGACTGTTTAACTTTCTTACCCTTTGTGTGTTCACTGGAGTAGCGTTTTTAATTTCTTTCAAGAATTTTTCTTTTGCATTCACAACTTGGCTGTTTGGCACAAGAGGCCTAGCTATTGATTGGCCTGTCTTGGCTTTCAACTAAGCTTAATCATTTCTTTTTTTTTTTTTTTTTTTTTGTCTTTTTGAGATAGTGTCTCGCTTTGTTGCCCAGGCTAGAGTGCAATGGCGTGATCTCGGCTCACTGCAACCTCCGCCTCCCAGGTTCAAGCGATTCTCCTGCCTCAGCCTCCTGAGTAGCTGGGATTATAGGTGCCTGCCACCGTGCCCGGCTAATTTTCTGTTTTTAGTAAAGACAGGGTTTCGCCATGTTGGCCAGGCTGGTCTCAAACTGACCTCAAGTGATTTGCCACCTCGGCCACCTAAAGTGCTGAGAATATAGGTATGAGCCACCACGCCTGGCCTCTAAGCTTAATCATTTCTAGCTTTTGATTTAAAATGAGAAACATATGACTCTTCCTTTCATTTGGATACTTAAGAGGGTTATTAATTGACCTAATTACAATACTTTTATGTCTCAAGGAATGAATAGGGAGGCCTGAGGAGAGAGACAGAGACAGGGAAGCTTGTTGGTAGGGTAGTCAGAACACAGACAACATTTGTTAAGTTTGCCATCTTATATGGGCATGGTTCGTGGTACCCCAAAACAGTTATAGTAGTAACATCAGGCTGGGTGTGATGGCCCATGCCTGTAATCCCAGCATTTTGGGAGGCCAAGGCGGGTGGAGACCTTGAGGTCAGGACTTCAAGACCAGACTGGGCAACATGGCAAAACCCCTTCTCTACAAAAAAATACAAAAATTACTGGGGCATGGTGATGCATGCCTGTAGTTGCAGCTACTTGGGAGGCTGAGGTGGGGGGGATCACTTGAGCCCAGGAGGTTGAGGCTGCAGTAAGCCGTGTTTGCACCATTGCACTCCAGCCTGGGTGACAGAATGAGAACCTGCCTCTGACAAAAAAAAAAAAAAAAAAAAAAAGTTATTTTTCTCCACTAAGACTTGGAATGGTTTGCTGGGTAGCAATGGATATAGCTGACACATCCCCACATCCCTCACCTTCTCTCACTATGTGGGGTGTACCCAGTCTCTGGCTTCTAATGTCGAGGGCCTCCAACTTGACACTTCTAGCTCAGAGTATGTTCTTAAGGCCTTGCCTCACTTATAGAACTTCCTAGTGGTTAGCTATGATGCATGGCAAACACATCTGACAACAGTAACATCAGCATACCTTGAAAATGACCCCATGGTCTTAAGAAGAGTATGTGTTGAAAATTCTAAGCTAAGGAATCCAGGAGTGGCCAACCCAGAGATTCATTTCTTATCTGTGAGGAACATCTGAACCCCTGGACCATCTAGGGGATGGTGGCCTTTGTTTGGGGTTCAGTGAAGGTTTGCCAGAGGGAGGGTGCTAGGGGGAGGGTGCTAAGTGGAAATGCTCTATAAACTGCATGCTTTTTTTTTTTTTTTTTTTTTGAGACAGAGTCTTGCTCTGTCACCCAGGCTGGAGTGCAGTGGCACAATCTCGGCTCACTGCAAGCTCTGCCGCCTGGGTTCACACCATTCTCCTGCCTCAGCCTCCCGAGTAGCTGGGACTACAGGCACCTCCCACCACGCCTGGCTAATTTTTTGTATTTTTAGTAGAGATGACGGGGTTTCACCATGTTAGCCAGGATGGTCTCAATCTGACCTTGTGATCCGCCCACCTTGGCCTCCCAAAGTGCTGGGATTACAGGCGTGAGCCACCACGCCCGGCCCAACTGCATGCTTTTTGTAAGCAGGTGTGATTCTCCTGTTCCACCTGCCATGTCTGGACTACCCTGTAAGTCCCCTTAATAAACCCTATGTCTTGCCTGCTGGCCAGGCATGATGGCTCATGCCTGTAATCCAAGGACTTTGGGAGGCCAAGACAGGCAGATCACTTGAGGTCAGGAGCTTGAGACCAGCCTGGCCAACATGGTGAAAACTCCATCTCTACTAAAAATACAAAAAAAAAATTAGCTGGGTGTTGTGGCATGCACCAATAATCCCAGCTACTTAGGGGGCTGAGGTAGAAGAATCTCGAACCGGGGAAGCAGAGGTTGCAGTGAGCCGAGATCACGCCATTGCACTCCAGCCTGGGCAACTAGACTCTGTCTCAAAAGACAAACAAACAAACAAAAACAGACCAGGCACAGTGGCTCATGCCTGTAATTACAGCACTTAGGGAGGCAGAGGCAGGTGGATCGTCTGAGGTCAGAAATTTGAGACCAGCCTGGTCAACATCGTGAAACCCTGTCTGTACTAAAAATACAAAAATTAGCAGGGCATGGTAGTGAGCGACTGTAATCTCAGCTACTCGGGAGGCTGAGGCAGGAGAATTGCTTGAACCCGGGAGTTGGAGGTTGCAGTGAGCTGAGATTGAACCACTGACTCCAGCCTGGGCAGTAGAGTGAGACTCCATCTCGAAAAAACAAAACAAAACAAACACAACAGAAATGAGAAAACAAAACCCGGCCAGGTGCGGTGGCGCAACACCTGTAATCCCAGGACTTTGGAAGTCCGAGGCAGGTGGATCACGAGGTCAGGAGTTTGAGACCAGCCTGATCAACATGGTGAAACCCTAGCTCCACTAAAAATACAAAAAACAGCTGGGCATGGTGGCAGGCGCCTGTAATCCCAGCTACTCAGGAGGCTGAGGCAGGAGTATCGCTTGAACCTGGGAGGCAGAGGTTGCAGTGAGCTGAGATTGTACCACTGCACTCCAGCCTGGGTGACGGAGCAAGACTCCGTCTCAAAAAAAAAAAAAAAAAAGAAGAACAGAATGTTCTAGGCATTTTAAAAATACATTTTATTTATTTTAGTATGTATTCATTTATTTTTGAGATGAAGTCTGGCTCTCTTGCCCAGGTTGGAGTGCAGTGGCGAGATCTCGGCTCACTGCAACCTCTGCTTCCTGGGCTCAAAGCACCCTCCCACTTCAGCCTCCTGAGTAACTGGGACTACAGGTGCCTGCCACCATGCCTGGCTAACTTTTGTATTTTTTGTAGAGATGAGGTTTCGCAATGTTGCCTAGACTGGTCTCCAACTCCTGGGCTCAAGTGATTCTCCTGCCTTGGCCTCCCCAAATGCTGGGATTACCGGTGTACCCACCACACCTGGCCTCTGGGCAGATTTTTATGTTTTTATTTTTAATTTTTAATGGTTTTTTTTGGTATCTAAAATACCAAAATGCCATTCTGTCACCCAGGCTGGAGTGCAGTGGCATGATCTTGGCTCACTGCAACCTCCGCCTCTTCGTTTCAAGCAATTCTCCTGCCTCAGCCTCCTGACTACAGACACGTGCCACTGTACCTGGATAATTTTGTATTTTTAGGAGAGATGGAGTTTCACCATGTTGGCCAGGCTGGTCTCAAACTCTTGACTTCAAGTGATCTGCCTGCCTCGGCCTCCAAAACTGCAGGGTTTACAGGCCTGAGCCACTGTGCCCAGCCTAGGATTTCTTTGTCTTCTTCCAGTAAGTGTTAGTTCAAGCTCTCCTCTCCCCACTGTTGTTTCTTATCAAGGCCCTCAGCAATCTTCTAAAAACCATATTATAGATCTAAAATTGCTTTTCAATTCTGGAATTCAAAAAGGTCTGGAGGCTGGGCGAGGTGGCTCACTCTGGTAATCCCAGCAGTTTGGGAGGCTGAGGCAGGAGGAGGGCTGGAAGTCAGGTGTTCAAGACCAGCTTGAGCAACATAGCAAGATCCTTGTCTCTACATCTCTACAAACAAAAAATTAGCTGGGTGTGGTGGCATTCACATGTAGTTTCAGCTATTCAGGAGGCTGAGGCAGGAGGATTGTTTGAGCCCAGGAGTTCGAGGATGCAGTGAGTTATGATTGCACCACTGCACTCCAGCCTGGGTGACAGAGTGAGACTCTCTCTCTTAAAAAAAGAGGAGGCATGGGTGGGCATGGTGCTCACGCCTGTAATCCCAGCTCTTTGGGAGGCCGAGGTGGGCGGATCACTTGAGCTCAGGAGTCCAAGACCAGCCTGGCCAACATGGTAAAACCCCGTCTCTACTAAAAATACAAAAATTAGGCAGGCTTGGTGGTGGGCACCTGTAATCCCAGCTACTAGGGAGGCTGAGGCAGGGGGATAGCTTGAACCTGGGAGGTTGCAGTGAGCCGAGATGGTGCCTCTGCACTCCAGCCTGGGTGACAGAGTGAGACCCTGTCTCAAAATTAAATAAATAAATAAATGAAATAAAACTGTGGACCTCCGTACCATAGACTCTGCAGCCATGAAAAGTGAGGAAGCCTTCCTGCACCCACAGAGGCCAATCTCCAAGATATATCATTAGTGAGAAAAGTGAGGTGCTGAACAGTGTAAATGGCATACAGTTTGTGTAAAAATAATTATATGGCCAGGCACGGTGGCTCACCCCTGTAATCCCAGCACTCTGGGAGGCCGAGGTGGGCGGATCACGAGGTCAGGAGATCGAGACCATCCTGGCTAACACGGTGAAACCCCGTCTTTACTAAAAATACAAAAAATTAGCCGGGCGTGGTGGTGGGTGTCTGTAGTCCCAGCTACTCAGGAGGCTGAGGCAGGAGAATGGCGTGAACCCGGGAGGTGGAGCTTGCAGTGAGCCGAGATCATGCCACTGCACTCCAGCCTGGGTGACAGAGCGAGACTCCGTCTCAAAAAAAAAAAAAATTGTATACACCCAGATGTGAATGTATATGCATAACCGTTTCAGAGAATGCACACAAGAAATTGGAAACAGCTCTTCCCTCAGGAGAACAAACCAACGTGGCTGCGAGACAGGAGAGAAACATGAAATTCTAACAGCTTACTCTTTTGTACCTTTGGAATTTTGTATATGTGCATTCCTCATTTGAATAAATAGACATCTTTTTTTTTTTTTTTTTTTGAGACAGAGTTTCCCTTTTGTTGCCCAGGCTGGAGTACAGTGGTGTGATCTCAGCTCACTGCAACCTCCGCCTTCTGGGTTCAAGCGATTCTCCTGCCACAGCCTCCTGAGTACCTGGGATTACAGGTGCCTGCCACCATGCCTGGCTAATTTTTGCATTTTTAGTAGAGACAGGGTTTCCCCATGTTGGCCAGGCTGGTCTTGAACTCCTGACCTCAGGTGATCCACCCTCTTGGCCTCCCAAAGTGCTGGGATTACAGGCATGAGCCACTGCACCCAGCCAGTATTTTATATTTTTTTGAGACAGGGTCTTGCTCTGTCACCCAGGCTGAAGTGCAGTGGTGCAATCACAGCTCACTGCAACCTCCCCCTCCCGGGTTCAAGCGATTCTCCTGCCTCAGACTCCCAAGTAGCTGGGATTACAGGTGTGTGCCACCATGCCCAGCTGATTTTTGTATTTTTAGTAGAGATGGCGTTTCACCATGTTAGCCAGGCTGGTCTCAATCTCCTGACCTCAGGTGATCTACCTGCTGCCTTCGAAAGTGCTGGGATTATAGGCATGAGCCACTGGCTTCGGCCAGGAAATACTATTGGAACCCTGCTACTGAAAGTGTGGCCCATGGACCAGGAGCTTGGGCATTATCGGGAGCTTGTTAGAAATTCAGAACCTTGGGCCCTATAGCCCAGACTCCACCTTTTTTTTTTTTTTTTAAGAAGGAGTCCTACCCTGTAGCGCAGGCTTGAGTGCAGTGGCACAATCTCGGCTCACTGCAACCTCTGCCTCTTGGGTTCAAGTGATTCTCCTGTCTCAGCCTCCCAAGTAGCTGGGACTACAGGCATGAGCCACCGCGCCTGGCTAATTTTTGTATTTTTAGAAGAGACAAAGTCTCATGTTGGCCAGCTTGGTCTTGAACTCCTGACCTCAAGTGACCTGCCTGCCTCAGCCTCCCAAAGTGCTGGGATTACAGGTGTGAGCCATGGCGCCCAGCCCAGATGCCACAATTTAAAAGGGTTACTTTCCTGGGTCAAGCTGCCTTTTTTGGGGGTCATTAGGGAAGGAATGGATGTGTGCTCTACGGGTTCTTAGAATAGCAATGAACCTTCATAATCAGACTCATTCCTTAATTTTGCTTACTTTTTCATGCAGCTGCATTAATACTACATTGTCAAAGACAAAGACGAACATGAGACATGCGATATGAGTTTTAAAAGGAGAGAAGAGCAAAAAAACAATACAGCTATCCAAGGAGCAAGTGCTGAGCTTGTGAAAAAACAGCTTCTATTTTATTAAATAATAGTGTTCCTGCAGGGATGTCTGAAGTACTCTGCAAGGCTAATTAGGACAGATCAATGTACACTTACCTCTCCAGAAGGCTGAAAGGTGTGTAGTGACTATGTGTCATTAAAAATTTACTTGACCATGGGCAACAGATGTCCATGAAAGAATGACCCTGGTGAGTGCTCTAAGTTTTCATTTTACTCATGTCATCCTCAATGCATCATAAATGCCATAGACACCATTACTATCACGTAGGCTCATAGCAGCTGATGTGCTGTATATGCTTGAGAGGGTGGTATCAATTAACTATATTATCTATAAAGCCATACTTGCAATTACTACCACTTCACAATTTATCATTAACGCATTTGGCAGATTTTTTTTTCTCCAAAGTAACATTTATTTAAAGGTTTATCAAAATTCTTAGAACAGCATTTATTATAATGTGATTTTTGATAATTGACTAAATCAGTGGCTCTTAAAAACACCCTCATCTCAGTCCCGCTCAGTATACACCACAGTGCCATTTGGGGAAAAGAAATACATATTAGAAATGTTCATTTCAGACCTCGTCATGGAAGATCATATATTAATGTAATCAGGTGGTACGTTTACATGCTCATTAGTAATCCATCATTAGTCCAAATGCTCACTATTAGGAATAAATGTACAACGAGTTATTCAGAATACCCAGAAAGAGTATTTCTTATTTAAACATTCAGGACAAGCTGACTGAAATAAGTGCACACCTTGAATTTGAACTTTCAAGGCACATCACTAAAGTCAATCAGTTATGTCAGGACACTCTTCTATAATAATCTCAATTATAAAATTCCTGCCTCTCCCTAACACAGGAGTTGGAGGGAGTTCCAATATCTGAATCTTTCTAATTCACTGTAACTGCAAAAAAATCTTGATGAAGTGTGTATTTAAATTTCATGCCTTAATACATAGCATGCCACTAAAACCACATTAGTTATGCTTTATGCTGCTTAATCATACGTCAAAATCTGTAAAATCTGCTCTTGCATGCTAAGGTAATTTAACTGCAATTAATCAATTAAGAAAAATAAAATGTAATAAATGCCAAATAATGTAACTTCTTTTAAACAGACCACTATCTACACATTTATTCCCCAAATACTTATTAGCTGACACCATATAAGGAAAACATAATAAAAAGTAGACTTCACTGAGCCTTTCTCCCATTAGTAGCTTGCTCTAAACTTACAAATGTTTTAGAGAATTCTTTGGCATGATCTGACTTTCCAACTAAAATGTGAGCAACTTGAGGGTCAAACTTATCTTTTTTTATCCCCTGTGCCCAACACAATGTGTTAATCATAATAGGTGGTCAGTTTGTTGAATGAAAGAATTGAATGATTCAAATATCATGAACTAAATTATTTTATCATAATGTTTATGAACTACAACAATACTTATGTTTTTTCTTCTGACAACTATATATTATACTTCATTGGCATTTAACTAAAAGTAGTAGTACACTCTTAGTTAACTTTTTCGTTTTTTTCATAGAGTCAGTTAGGTTTCATAGAACCATCAAGGTAGGTTGGTAGATATATTTGTTTGTATTTGTTCCTCTAAATGAAAATGGTGATTTTTTTTCAAATATGTAATTTAACAACTTGATGAACATAGTTGCGGACTAAGACTTGGGAGGCTACTTATAAGTTATGAGTCCAGCTGGCAAGAATTTATTAAGCACCAACTGAATAAACCAAACTATGCTAGCAGCTAAAAATATATGAAAGGATATATTAAAAAAGAAAACCATGTCCTGCCTTCCAGACCTTAAATCAGAGAAGGTACATACATGTGCATTCAACAAACGTTACTGACTACACTTTACACCATGCAAGGCACTAAAAGGGAGGAGGACAGCCAACAAGTCTCAGTTCTCAACAAGAAGCTAAAAAAGAAATTAACAAGTAACTGCATGCCAAGCACAAAGTCATGAATATCACTGAAAAATTACAAACTGATTCCCTTTGAAGCCTCGGGAAAGAAAGCAGGTGAAATCATGGAAGTCTTAAGGAAGTAGGTGCCATTAAAAATAGTTCAAGAGAATTTCCCTGATTACATAAATTAGTGAATTCACTAGTGATGAAGGCATTGAAAGTAAAGGTCCAGAGGTTTTCAGAGTAAGTTACTCACTTTCTTAAAAACAGCAATCTGTTTGTTCATCTCATCAAGTTAGTTTGGTGACATAAAAAAATTATAACTTCTGAATTAATGGCCATTCAGTATGAAGAACACTGAAGAAATTTCCTTTCATGGTTCCTGATGGTAATTGTAGCTGAGGAATCTCAAGACTGCAAGTATCACAAGAATATTTTAACAATCAGGAGGTGCCCTCCTACCGTTGCACCACTTGCCGCATTGTGGAAGGCCACACTGCAATACAGTAGCCCCTGACCACATGTGGCTATTGAGTACTTGAAATGTAACTTTCTCAAACTGAGTTGTGCCATTGGTGTAAAATACACACTGCACTTCAAAGATTTATTTTATTTTTATTGAGACGGAGTCTCGCTCTGTTGCCCAGGCTGGAGTGCAGTAGCACAATCTCGGCTCACTGCAACCTCCGCCTCCCAGGTTCAGGTGATTCCCCTGCCTCAGCCTCCTGACTAGCTGGGACTACAGGCACGTGCCACCACGCCTGGCTAATTTTTTTTTTTTTTTTGTATTTTTAGTAGAGACGGGGTTTCACTGTGTTAGCCAGGATGGTCTTGATCTCCTGACCTCGTGATCCTCCCGCCTTGGCCTCCCAAAGTGCTAAGATTACAGGTGTGAGCCACCGTGCCCAGCCCGAAGATTTATTTTTTAAATAATATAAAATACGTCCATAGTTTTATATCGATCACCTGTTGATATAATAAGATTTGGGGGTATATTGACTAGAATGCATATATCATTAAATTATTTTCACATATATCTTTTTACTTTTTACTGTGGATACTAGGAAATTTAAAATCATATATGTGGCTCACATATTTCTCTTGGATTAGTGCATGTCTAAAGGCATTGTGAAGAATAATTTTTTGAAGTATATCATGCTAGAAAGGAAGGATGCACTGGCATTTTAATATGATTATTTGATATAAAAATAATAAGCTACTCAACACATGCTTCCCCATAGCTAGGAAAAACATAAACATTTCTCCTGACGAACTGGAATCTCCTGCCCTACTCTGATCTGATAGTAGGTGGCATCATTTCTATGCCTCTCTTTTTCTCCAACTGGCAGAAAGGTGAGCCTAAAATTCAAGTTATTCAACTGCAGGATCTTTGAGGGAGGTCCTGGTTTTCTGGTTTAGTTTTATCCTACGCCCTTTTATTACGTGCCTTTGTTTTAATCCTTATTTTAATGGTTTTATTATCATAAGTTACCAAGATAGCGTTTTGGAACCAAGAAGAGCTATGGAGAAACAGAGTGAATGAGACTCATACTATGGTGCAATCAGTGAGATGCCACCCTTCAGAGCTTGGAAAGACTCATTATGTCTGAGGCCCATCTCTCTGATACAGGTGTGAAGCACAAGGGATGTTTAGCAATACCAGCCAGGACACACATTTGGGATCACAAATATACAGCAGAAACTATTCACAACTGACAACCACAGATCCATAAGACAGAAAGGCACCATATTCAAAGGGCAGAAAGAGCACTGAAGTCATGCAAGCAGCTGTAAGTAATAGGGTATCATATCAGGCAGAAGTAGCAGAGACTATCAGGAATACTTAGAAATCAGGCAGATGGTGGCCATCATCAGATCTGATTCTATTTCATGAAACACCACAGAGTGGAATTAGGGCATAGTGACAGCATCTAAAGATCCAAGGAAACTTAGCAGAGGCCTAGTACCGTGTAGACAGAAGGGGACAATTTCCATATCTATAGAGCCACACTGGCCCCTAGGATATAATTCGGAATCATGGCCTCCCAGATCTAGTGAACTGCAGAGATTCCAGCTCAGAATGAGCAATAATACGGGAGCCCAGCAGTAGTAGCAGGGCCACTATATGTACCCAATGAGGAAAAGAGAGTCAAAGGCTCCAAATATGCTTCCTATTGTTGAGTTTGGTCCAGGGACTGATAGGTTTGCTGCAGGTGGGAGTAGATTCTGCACACTTTTGTTCAGGCAGAAGCAGAGGAGGGAAGGAAGATGTGGCAAATGACTTCTCTTTATAAACTGGAGGGATTATAGTGGTGCCTATGCAACTCTTGTTCCAAAATCAACGCTTTAAGAATATTTAGGCAACTTTAAAAGAAATACTTGGCCGGGCGCGGTGGCTCACGCCTGTAATCCCAGCACTTTGGGAGGCCGAGGCGGGTGGATCATGAGGTCAGGAGATCGAGACCATCCTGGCTAACAAGGTGAAACCCCGTCTCTACTAAAAATACAAAAAATTAGCCGGGCGCGGTGGCGGGCGCCTGTAGTCCCAGCTACTCGGGAGGCTGAGGCAGGAGAATGGCGTGAACCCGGGAAGCGGAGCTTGCAGTGAGCCGAGATTGCGCCACTGCAGTCCGCAGTCCGGCCTGGGCAACAGAGCGAGACTCCGTCTCAAAAAAAATAAAAAATAAAAAATAAAAATAAAAATAAAATAAATACTTCTTCTGAGCCTGGCCAACATAGTGAAACCCCGTCTCTACTAAAAATACAAAAACAAAATTAGCTGGGCATGGTAGCGGGCGCCTGTAATCCCAGCTACTAGGGAGGCTGAGGCAAGGAGAATTGCTTGAACCTGGGAGGCGGAGGTTGCAGTGAGCCAAGATGACGCCATTGCACTCCAGCCCGGGCGACAGTGCGAGACTCTGTCCAAAAAAAAAAAAAAAAAAAAAATTCCTCTTCGGTGGCTTTCCAAATCTATGGAAAGCGTACTGCTTCCTGTTAATTCCTATTCCTCTCCAAAAATGCTTGTAATATTTTTAATAGTATGGTTGTGTATATCCATTTTAGCACTGGTGCAATCTTAATTAAGGTTGTAGAAAAAGTATAGAATTTGTGGAACGTTGTGTAACTTTGAGAATCCTTATGACTGCATTTTAAAGAATTAACAACAAGGAATAACTAGTAATTTTTTCAGCTATAGAGAGAGATATGAGAAGACGAGGACACAGGAAAGATCATGGCCATATAAAAATCAGGACCACAGAGTCACCACAAATTATCAGAAATATTCTAAGTCAAGTATACATAAACTTGACTATTTTCTTAGAATGATTTTAAAAGATTTAGCACAAAAATGGGTTTCATTTCAGAGAATCAAAATCAATAAACATTTTAAGTGAAAAGTAGTACACAATTGACTACAACAAAAAATGAGGAAAAGTCTTGGGATTGAATCAACCATAAATGACCTGTTAAATGTAAAGTACATTATGACTATATAAGCAAAATTAAAAAAAAAAAAAGGCCCAAGACCCAATGAATTCATCAATTTTTTAAAAAGAAGCATGAGATCAAAGGTAGAACTAAGTGGTGAATTTCACAAAGTAGACCTAGGCAATTTCAAATTGGCTGCTATACTTTTCAAGGTAAAGGACACAAACCAAAGGTACCTATATATTCTTTTCATGATATTTATTTCAAGGAGACAGATCAAATTAAAAACTTCAAGAATGTTTTCTGCCTGGTAAATAAATATTCCAGCAACCCACATAGGCACAGACTCAGACACTTAGTCCAATAGAACTCCAAAGAGGTTTTCCTGACACTGAGAAGAGGGGGTGAGTTTTGGGGGAAAAATTTTTAAAAATAAAGTACTTCCAGTCTATATATTGTAAACTCACCTATTCATGGATTTGTGAAATTTAGAAACAGCCTAATAAAAATTCTAGGACAACTGAGTTGTCACAACGTCACAAGAGCACAAATTCATATTGAGTGACTTTTCTAGTAATATGAACAAAACCAACATAAATTTCCCTCAACATATCAGAAATAATATATATTCTATTTAGTTCCAAGAAAGAAAAAAAACTTTTATAACTTGAGAAAACTCAAAATATATGACAATCTGTCACTAAATTAAAATAAGCTATAGTAATAAGTGACTATGTAAAAAACCCACTACAACTATGCGTTCATCTTCACGTACAAAGGCTATTTCTAAATGGGTCAGAGTAAAGCTTTGGCTGATACATGCTGATGGCAGAATAGGGCCAGAAATGAGCCAAAGCTGTGTGTATTCCAAAACTCATTGATATTTAAATCTGGAGTGGGTCTTTGTGCTTACATTTGAACATGTTGTGAGAACATGAGCCTCCTGTTGCTTTGTAGTAATACATGCTCATTCTTACAAAATGTTTGCCTTGTATGGTTAAGGTATTTTACTGAGGCTATAAAAGGAGGGCACATTACTTTGGTGGGGGTAGAGGAGAATCAACACAACTATTTTGCTAGTGCACTACTGCTAATACATGTCCTGCAAATAGAAGCATGACCTGATGGGGAAGCTTTAAGAGACAAGAGTAGTAGAGACATTGTCTTATGACTTGGGAGTGGGAATAAGGTATTCCCCCATATGTATGTATTACTTCCCCTTTGCTGAAATAAGCGCAAGAAATAACTAATGGTTTTCTCCGCTATAGAGACAGAGATAGGAAAGGATACAAAAAAGACCATGGCCATAATAAAAATCAGGACTACACAGTCACCACAAATTACCAGAAGATGAGAGAGAAATACTCTGTCAACTATACTACTGACATACACTGGAATGTCTTCTTAGAAGAAATTTTAAAGGATTTAGTGAACAACCAGTTATTATTTCAGAAAATAAAAATTAATAAAAATTTTCAGTGAAAGGTAGTATACAATTGGCTATTATAATTGGCTGTTTAGTTCTTTGTACCCTCCACAAAATTGCAAGATATTTTTTAACTTTTTATTTTAAAGTAATTAAAATTTCACAAAAAACATGCAAAGAAATGGACGGGAAGGTCATGTGCACCCTTCATCCAGTCCTCATTCTCAGTGTTAACATCTTGCAAAACTGCAATATTAAAACCAGGAAACTGACAATAGTACAATCCATGGAGCTTTTCATAGAATCCATAGATATTTCACCAGCTATACATACAGTTATTTTTGTTTGTATGTGTGTATAGCTCTATGTCATTGTATCACATGTGTAGCTTCGAGTAACCACTAGCACAATCAAGACACTTAACTGTACCATCACCATAAGACTCCCTAGTGCTACCACTTTATGCACACCCCACCCTCTCCCCTTCCCCTCCCTAACCCCTGGCTACCACTAATCTTTCTCCATAATGATCTTATTTCATGAAGGTTGTATAAATGAAATCATTCAGTAATGTATCTTTTTAAGACAGGTTTTTTTTTTTCACTCAGCACAATTTCCTTGAGGTTCATCCAGGTTGTTACCCATAATAACAGTTTGTTAGTCTTTATTGCTGTAGTCTATAGCATGCTTATATCACAGTCTGTCCAACCATTCACCCATTGATGGGCATATGGGCATTTCCAGTTTGGTGCTATTACAAATAAAGTTGCTGTGAACATTCATGTTCAAATTTCTGTGTGAAAATTAAATTGCAACATTTTTAAGGGAATGAGTGGTGTTTTATTCACCATTGTATTCTCAACACTTCATATGACACATAATAGGTAATCAAAAATGTCTGTTAAAGAAATGAATGAGTGAACCCAAAAATTGCCTCTAAGTGGCAGAAAATAAAAAAGGACTCATCTGTTGGGGGAAACCTAGTTGGGAGGAAATAGGCCAAGAAGAGGTCTTGAAGTGGAACTGGTAGCTTTAAGACTACAGCAGTGTTTCAGAAAGATTTCCGACACACGAACAAACACACATCAATCAGAATATTTTTAAATTTAATTTAAATATTGAGCTTCATATTAAGAAACTGTTTGGATTAATAAGCTATAGCTGACCTTTTTAAGAAACAACTGGGGAGACTTCCATTTCTAGCCAAGATGGACTGAAAGGGACTGGATGTGCCCTGCTTCCTGAAACAACCAAAAATAAACCCCGACAAAATATATGAAACAATGGTTGTCAAGACATGAGCTATCAGACCACAAAGGACGTTGATCCCTGAGGGAGGTGAATCCTATGAAGGCTCTGGCTTAAGCCCGTGAAGGTTTCTTAGCAGTGGCACAGGAAGGGCAACTAACTCAAGGGAGGCAAACTCCATGAATTGAGGAAACAGAGCTAAAGATATGGGATAATAAAGTAGCTAGAGCTTACAGGACAGAGTTCAGGAGAGAGCAGATGCACAGACAACAATCTCTTGAAATCTGCAGAGAGTCTCAGAGATCTGGATATGTGCATGAGGAAGCTACCCAAGGCTGAGGAAAGAAGCATCGGAAATAATTATACGGGGAACAGTACCTGGCACCTTCCTAGGGCTGGAAATAGGCCTTTTCTCACCAGTCACAATGGAAAATCTCTTAATTCATATGCAATTAGGTAGAACCTCAGTAGTGAGAAATGAGGTAGACTATGCACTGCTCTGGTCTCTCCTAGCTAACATTTTAATCCCAAAAAATTGAAAGCAAAAAGAGCCAAGTGAATCTATCTATATCTAGCTGGTGGCATAATCACACCAAAAGAAACAATTTTACATGACTTAAAACCTCAGTAATACATACATCTTTAAAGAGAAGGGGGCTGTACACAGGGTGTACACAGGATGTGTACATCACTACTGATGGTAGTAGTCTTGGTATTATTATTCTGAGCCTGTTATAAGTGTATTTGTAGCATAAGCAAATAAGTACGCTACTATCATTAAGAATTAAGATTGTAGGATGGTCAGCTGGGAAGAAAGGACATTGATATGATACAAGATTTATGTGACTAAATTAAAATCCTGTTGGGTTGTATATTAATAGGAAGTATTAGTGTGAGCTCCTGATGTATTTAGTCTTAAAATTAAACATACACACGCACACTCTCACACACACACATACACACACTTTTTCTAGCTCTTTCCTTTGAAAGGGCCTAGATTAAGGACAAAGTCAGTAGCAATGAGCTCACTAATTTTAAGATTACGGTTTTCAAGTACTAGTTCCAAGACAAAAAAAAAAAAAGAAAGAACTAAAATTTCTTGGATAATTGCCTGATTCCAGGTTTGGAAAGGAAATATTAAAGATGAGCCTGTTATATTTTGTCACACCAATTATCCTGGAAGCTCTCAAAAACTTGAGGTTCTTTCAAAAACACAGAGGAACCAACTGAGATAAACTTTGAGTAATCAGAGATGTGGCAAACTGGGCATTCATAAGTATGATAACTGCAATAGCTTGAAGCGCATTAATGTTCACAATGAAATTTTTTAAACCATTGGTAAACTTTAGAGGATGTTAAGGAACCACACATTATATTAAGAACTGATAAAGGGAGAGAATAAAGCATCCATCCTGATTTTCTTATATAAATTGAAACTCTAACAAACTAGTTTATCTTTATAGAACTATTCCACGCAATAAATAAACCAGAAATGACAATTATATTGCCATTTTTCAAGCTCTAAGGAATAAATAGATGTAGGCAATGATCAACAACACCTGCTAACGTCACAAAAAGAGAAAGAGCCAGTAGTCTTGCCCCCCATCCCCTAAATGAATTTCATCAAGTTTCTAGAGTCTTCACTACCCATTAACAGGTAAGAAACAGGGCTGAGGAGCTCATTAAATGACTCTGCAGGAAAGCATCAGCAAATGCAGACTATGGAAAGCTCTACAGCACAAACAATCCAGTTTCTTAAGAAACAAGGAAAAATAAACATAAACCTATAGATTAAAAGAGGAGACATATTAACCAATTACAATGTATGGACCTTATTTGTATCCTGCTTCAAACAGTAAAGAATACAAAACTTTAGGAGACAACCAGAAAATTTTGAATATTGGTTTTGTATATTTGAGAATAGTAAGAAAATGTTGACTTTTTAAGTGTGGTTAATTTTCTAGATGTGGTTCATTTTTAAGTTAAAAAAATCTTATCTTTTAAAGATACAGACTGAAATGTTACCAGATAAAATGATGTCATGTCTGGGATTCGCTTCAAAATAATTTGAGGTGGAAGTGGAAAGTGGAAACAACAATTATGAAACAACCTGGCCCATGAGATGATAGCTGTGGAAGGTAGGTATGGTTATACAAAATTTCATTACACTTTTCCCTCTACTTTTCTAATATATTCTGAATTTTCATAACAAAAAGTTAAATACACTTAAAAGTAGACAAATACTAATTTGAGGTGGTGGTTAAGGACTCAGAAGTTACAGTCCATGTGTCTGAATGAAAGTACTTTCTCAAACATGCAGATATCAGAGATTTGTAGGATTCCTTCAATGGAGACCCATGTTTTCTCCACACAGAACACTGGTTTCTGAGCAAAAGTAGGCCCTCTTTCTGAAAACAGATCTGACAATATGAAAGTGGTTGGCTACTTAACTGAAGATACCAAAAGGAAAAAAAAAAAGGACACCAAAAAACTGGGTCTACAAATGTGGTTGTTGGTTCTCCTTGTTTTTTTTTTCAAATAAGGCTCGGTTTAGGAGCAGTCTAATAGAGCATGTGACTGCTATACTTCCAACAGTATCTTTGCAAATAAATACAACCCATACAATTTAATTGTCCATCCCACTTTTCCTGTTTGTTTATTACTCTTCAACAGCAGTTTCACCTCATGCTTTTTAATTTTTTCATCCTGAGGCAAGGAAGAAGGATCTTTAGAGTTGTTAAAAAAGTTTCCTGAAGTCAAGTAATTCATTAGAAAGTATGTTTTATCCAGAATCCTATTGTTTCACTGCAGAAGGAACACTCAGTAGCTTGTCCAAGGTTATGCCAAAGGAAGTCTCCTCTCTCTCGCTTATCTGAATCCTATCCTTCCAAAAGAACATGCCCAGGTCCAATAAATGGAGTTCCTAAAAGGACGGATGTCTCCCATTTAAAAAAATATTTCCCAGAGTCTCTAGGTTCAATGTCCTACAAATAATCAGCATTCAAGATATGAATTTACTAACTTTTAAAATCTATACAAATTTAAAATTTTCAATATTATTTTATACGCAATTATCCTATCTATAATATTACTGTCTAGCATTATTATAAAAGTATCATCACAAATCCTAATGATCATTTCCACTAAACGCCTGAAAAGGTCATGGGAGATTTAAACTCTGATGTGTGCTTTGGAAGTAGAATCAGCTTTTGGAGAAACAAGGCTAGGGAGCACTTTTTGAGGCCGATTACATTTTTGGAATTATTTGCCAAGTTGTATTGCCAAGTTGCATTGCAGAACTTGTAAGAAAACTTTTTCCTTTTTTTATTTTTATTTTATTTATTTATTTATTTATTTATTTTTTGAGATGGAGTTTCACTCTTGTTGCCCAGGCTGGAGTGCAATGGTGTGGTCTCAGCTCACTGGAACCTCCACCTCCCGGGTTCAAGTGATTCTCTTGCCTCAGCCTCCCAAGTAGCTAGGATTACAGGCGCCTGCCACCACGCCCGGCTAATTTTGTATTTTTAGTAGAGACAGGGTTTCACCATGTTGGTCAGGCTGGTCTTGAATCCTGACCTCAGATGATCCACTCACCTTGGCCTCCCAAAGTTCTGGGATTACAGTCATGAGCCACGACACCCAGCCAATTATAACTAAACTTTTAAAAATATTTGTCCCCATAGTTAGAATTTTCATTAGTGTATTTATCTTTTTCATGTAGTCTTGTTTACAAAGGCCATTTTAAAAGTTGCTGTCCCAGGCTTATAAAGTAATTTTATAATGTCTTCCTATCGACCATATGAAAAGCATTCATCTCTGAGAAAGTATCATAAAGAAATTCTACTGTAATAATTCAAATATTAAAGTAAACATAAAAAATTATATTGTATGACAGAATACCAAAAGAAATAGAAAATCTCCGCAAGAGGGTATTTAATTTCTGATGAAAACAAAATAGTACTCTTTACAATTTGGCCTATCACATGACAGTATTTCTCAAAATCCTGCTAAATTAATGTTGGAGCACACTTCTTCAGGCATTAATGATTTCAGTAATGGTCAATGGTAGTTGATACAGATAAGAAATAACTGATAGTGATATCAAATCTATACATATTTGACTCTCCCCACATTTCTAAGTGATCTAGACCAGAGCTAGGTTGTTTATATGGTAGCCACTAGTTACATGTGGGCTATTTATATTTAAATTAATTAAATGTAAATAAAATTCAAAATTAAGTTTCTCTGTTGCACTAGCCATGTTTCAAGTACTCAATAGCCACATATGGCTAGTGAGTACCATATTGGATGGTGCAGCTATGGAACATGTCCATTATCACAGAAAGTTCTACTAAACAAGGTTGGTCTACATTAGAGAGGTTACTACTGATGAATGGAAAATCTCAAATATATACATAAATGTGTGTGTGTGTGTATATATATATATATATATATACATTTATTTCTATAGCAATTTTCCTTTTGTTATAGGAGGTTTCATTAAATATGTCAAATTTAAATTTTTTTTCTGGAAAAATTTATATTTTAATGTAAACAGTTAAAATTGTGCCATGAGCATTGTACTATAGATTTTCATTTCCCTTGTATTACAAGGAGAATGAATTCAAAAGATTCCATTTTCTCAAAATAGTGAATTATAACATTACCTGGTCTTCCCCTTCAATTAGGATTTTCTTTCTTTATAAACATCTATTCTAAGCCCTCTCTGCTTCCAATTTTACTCAGCCAAAGCCCACTTTTATTATGCAGCAAGGAAATCCCACTTCTGGCCTCAAACTTCACTTTCAGTGGAGTTTGGTAGCACTTCCGGTCTCAGACTCCACACTTGTGAAGTTTGCGAGTTACATAAAAAATTAAATTCCTGGCCGGGCGCGGTGGCTCACGCCTGTAATCCCAGCACTTTGGGAGGCCGAGGCGGGTGGATCAGGAGGTCAGGAGATCGAGACCATCCTGGCTAACAAGGTGAAACCCCGTCTCTACTAAAAATACAAAAAATTAGCCGGGCGCGGTGGCGGGCGCCTGTAGTCCCAGCTACTCGGGAGGCTGAGGCAGGAGAATGGCGTGAACCCGGGAAGCGGAGCTTGCAGTGAGCCGAGATTGCGCCACTGCAGTCCGCAGTCCGGCCTGGGCGACAGAGCGAGACTCCGTCTCAAAAAAAAAAAAAAAAAAAAAAAAAAAAATTAAATTCCTAGCCAGGTCTTCCTATTGGGTGAGGAGGCCCTTCCAAAGTTCCAGCGAATTCCTTAGTCTGACAACTTTTCTCAATTCAGAAAGATGTGTTTGGTAACATATATTAAAAGGCAGAAATATGCAAATGCATAAACAATAGAATTTGACATAATTATGTGATAAAGTGAAATGCTCCTGCAGTTAGTTATTGAACATGAAGGACCTCTCTAATTCTTCAGAGAAACTGTGAGATAATCTCTACCATTTATGCTTAGCAAGGAGCCATGCTGCAGAGGAAAAGTAGAAATACACACGAGTGACAAAAGCAAAAAAATATATATATGAAAAACTCTGAAACCACCCTCAATGAAAAGTAATATGTCTGTATTTAAAGAGTAGGTAAATCATATAGTGAATTTAGAAGGTAAAAAACGAGGTCTATAATTACATGAGTATATAGAAAATGTTAAGTGTTTTCGTGAAAAGGTATATAAACAATAATGAATAATCATTTCACATTGAAAATAATTTAATTTTAAAAGGAGATAGTACAAATAACAAAAAAAAAAGTCGAAGTACGGTAATAGTAGAAATTTCAAATATTTTAGGAATGTCTTTCTCCAGAGTAGCATGTTGTTTAGAAACTAAATTTCCACAGTAGATTTCATAGCTCCTGAACATGAATTAAAACTTTGATATTAGCTGCAGAAATGTACATTAGTTTGTGGGGAGGGGATAAAGAAAATAATGTGCCAACCTTCCAACAATTTCCCCAAACAGATTTTTGCATCTTGGTCATTACACTTACTTTCAAGATTCTTTTCTTGGTTTAAACATGTAATCTTGTCTCTTTGCTCACCTGCTCACTCTTCAAGCAAGCCTACAGCCAAATAAATTGCCATACTTGTTTACCAATAAACCATTATTTTCCAAGGAATTTTTTCTTAATTTTTAAAATTTAACAAGTTTAACTACAATTAATAAAGTACTCCCGGCACAAGGACTCTGAAACATTGTTTGGGTCTTGGAAAAGTTTGAAACTTCCAATTCATTAGGACTTTGAGTAACTATTTTGTACCTAAGAATGAGAATTGATGGAGAGAGTGGTACTAAGCACATAATTTTATGAAATATGATGAAAACATGAGAGTTTTGTTATGACGCACATAACAATAAAGAACCTGTTTCTTTTTAGCAGGCTCCTAAAAAGTACTTCCCTTATAATTATTAAATAAAAACACTCACTTATTCAGTACTCAGCTAGCTTTTAAGATCTGAATAACAGAAGTACACAGTGAGAGAGGTACTTACATGGTTTCCTTGGATACTGGATGATGCCATTCAGGTCTATGTTTTTATCTGAAAATGGTGCCCTGTGGAGAAACGAGGCTTGGTGAGTGGCTGTTTATACATAGTAAGTAAATAGGAACTTTGTTTATTTTACAAAGCATTTTTTATTTTGACCCAGCTTTCCTTTTCTCATCACACCCAACTCCTGTAAACAGCAATAATATGGTAGAACAGGTACTCTGTACAACTCTTTTTAACTCCACTTAAGAAATCATAATTATTAAGGCAGAAGCTCAGAATGCTTTGGCTAAGGATGTTACTCCTTGGGCTGCTTTATATATCTTGACTATTTTATTTATGTCAGACATATTAATGAATATTGCCTGCCTCTCTATTTTCCTCAAAAGGAATATTGCTCAAACCACTAATAAAGAAATTAGTCTAAAACATTCACATAAATGATAAATGTCCTTACCTTAACCAAAAGATAAGAGAACTCAAGCTTTAGCCAGTTTCTAAACATGAAGGGTTTCCATAGACCTTAGCTGCCATTTTACATGTTCCAGTGTCATCCTAGATTCCCAATAGTTTTAGTGCTATGAGCATACAATTTTGACATTCAGTCCCTCAGAACTACACACATTCTAATTTTGGTAGTATGAATAATCTCTCCTATGTGATAAGTTATTTAACCTTCTAATATTTCTTAGAATCGAAAAGAACAAATGAGCTGCAGCAAAGAATGGCAAATAACTTTTATGCTTAACACAATTTAATAACCTGAAATGAAGTAAGTATGTGCTATGTTTCCATTAAAAAGTTTCCAGCCACAATTAATTGAACGAAAACTTGTCTTGTTCCAAGATTATTCTTGGAAATGTAATTTTAAAATCTGCTTGAAATGAGGAAACTTACTTTTTTATACCATATGAAAGCAATTTCATTTTTTAGGAATGATTTTTGGATAGACTTCCGATTGGATATTTTCCATTGGAACTAGCAGCATAGGGGGTCGGGAGGGGGGAGGGGAGGGAAGCAATTCTGTGTTCTTTTGCCAGCACTGACAAAGGTCTGGTTGTCAGTGATACCTTTACAGCTAAATTTACTCCAGAGTGACAGAAACAGGTGCACCTCGGCCTGCCAGACACTTGTGCAGAGAGATCACGCATCTCACGGCTTGACGATCAAGGGGGCAAAGCCTCGGTCTTCATAGAAAAGGAGAGGAGGCAAACGCAGCCCAAACTGGGGGGTTTCTCTTCAAAGCCAGCTGGTCTGGCTTTATTCTACAGGAATTTTTTTACCTGTCAGGGTTTGGACAACAAAGCCCTCAGCAGGTGCTGACGGGTACAACTTCCTGGAGAAGCAGAAAGGCACTGGTGAGTTTCAATTGCCAAAATATATTTTTTAATCTCTAAAAGTTAATTTTGTTGTCTTGAAAGAGGCACCACTGAGGTACCTGTGTTCACAAAGTTGATGAGACCATTGGAATCAGAGCCAACTCACTCAACAGTGGGTTTGCCTTATGTGAAAGTAAAGCTGTTACCATATAACAATTTTTTAGTTTTTTTTTTAGGTTTAAAAAAAGATTCTATTTTTAAATATTGGTCTCTTTCATTACTGTTTTCAATATTTGGAAGATGAAGAGTTAATTACATTTATAATATTACATGATTTAACACACATTTTAGTCTCCTTTTTATCTAATTCTGTCATAATCTTTTCTGAATAAAAAGTTATTTTCTAATAAATCTCCCAAATAAAAAGGTGTAATGGTACATACTATTTTCAAAAATTACATGTACTGGGTTTTTTAAAATGTGTGCATGCTACAAGAACATGATTAGAGAGAACATGCAATTAACTTTATTTTAATACATTTTTAAAATATACGTTGCATATATAATTAAATAATTTAAAATATATTGCATGTTTAATAATTAAAAGTAAATTGTATTGTAGTAAATATTATTTAATAATTAAAAGTGGCAATATTTTCTCATTACTTTACAAAGAGTGTCTTTTGAGAAAAATCTTTGAAATTAACAACCAAGACGGTATTAAAGCATGTTTTTACATCACTGATTTCCAAAATTCGTATATTTGTATATTTTTTATTTTTATTTTGTTAATTCAAAAGTTTAGGCAAAAATATTTTTTTCAGAATAGGACTTTAATTAATGCAAAACATGAAAAAATGAGACCACATGTTAGGGCATATTTTTAAAAAGTGATTCTATTTCAGGGATTCATTCTTTTAACTATGCTTCACAGCATTTCTCTACAAATTGTTGTATTATAGTAAATTGAAAACATTTATTTAAGCAAGTAAGCAGCTCAAAGCTAGAGCCTATACATAGTAAACATATGAAACCATTTTAATAACCAAATTCCATATTCACAAGCAACATGGGCTAATGAATTTAAAAGAAACAACAGTATACATTGATGAAGAATGCTATAAATTATTATGGATAAAATCAATTTTCTGGGCTGTGGGGGGTAGAATTGGTGCTTAAGAAAGAAAAGACTCCTACCAATATAAATTACTAATACTATGAGGCAGTTGTTTTATTCTGATGATCCCATAAATAACTTTAAATCTACATCCTTAACACATGATTTTATAGTGGAAAAAAAATAAGGTCTGACTTTTTTAATGACCACTGTACCTGAAATGATTTTTAAATCAGTGACGACATGGATATGCCACAAATGTATAACTAACATACTCTTTTAAACTGTTGTAATTACTGTTGAAAATTATGAAACATTTGTGGTTTAAAAAATTATCAGAAATACTCCACCCAAACAAAATAGCTAATATTTTAAAAACATAACGTTACCCACAAACATTTTAATGAACCCCTATTTTAAAACATTAAAATCCAAATATACTTTTTATTATAAATTGTTACATATATATTTCAAATGATTAAAACATTTAAAAATATATATGTATTTATTGCGATTTCAAGCTGCTACTTTCATATATATTTTGTCATGCTTCATTATGTTTCATTATATTGATTCAGACACCTGAGTAACTATAGTCGCTAAATTTTTAGAATAACTTCATTAGTCTCTTAAAGAATTAGTATGTATTTCATGCACTTGAAAATTTTACTTATATTTTTCTAGTCTGTTAAATACTATATTCCTAAACAATCACAATATTTACTTTTAAAGATGATAGTTACTGCAAAACTGAACAACATGTGTTCTTATGTCAACTTCAGAATTGTATTTGTTAAGTTTTCACATGCATTACCATTGGCTATAATTATTACATTGTCATTAAGTATAAGCAAACCAAAAGCTTCTGCCAAACTATTGTTTATGACTCTGTCAATTATTTAAGTATAAATGAAGCTATTGGAAATAATATTAAATATAGCTCAAATATTTCAAAATAACTAAAATTTATCATTTTAGCTGTGCCTGAGTTGTAGACTTAGTCTAAAATCCCATTTTTTAAAATTTTCATTATGAGAAGCTGTAAATTCTTGTCTACCATGCAGCTATGTTTGTCCTTTCTAATAAATCTTCAACATTGTGTCACAAAAAAACCTATGCCAACTCCCTCAATGTATGGGAATGGTTTATTTTAATAAAATATTGGAGTTTAAAGTAGCATTGGTTTACACCTGCTCTAAATATTTAACATTAAAACATATGCATTTTAAACATTATTTGCAAGTTATCTTCCTATCTTACAGATAGCTTATTTACAGTGGAGAAAAATTGTTTTCCTGTTTCAGAAAGACACTTGGAAAAACATGTTATTTAACCTTATATATTAATAGGGAAAATCTTGATTCTCCCAGTAGTTAACTTCAATTAATTATATTTTAAATATCAGCCTATTTAATTTCAGTGCAACAAAATTTCCAGCTAAAATGGTTTACTTGTAAGTATTTAAAGCAACAAAAATATTTTGGCAGCTTTATATGTATCTCCTCATTGACCAGCCACCTGACTGACAGCTGTCAACTGTCCATGTGCCAAATGTAACCCAGTAAAGATAAAAATTACATATTACTCATCCCTGTTGATAATACCTGGTGCCAGTAGGTTTTCAAATAGGAATAACTAGACTATAGATAAAAAACAAGTAAGTGGGGAATCATTTCTACTACCTACCATTCCTCCTTTGTCATTAACTCATTTCCCTTTCTTTTTCTTATTGATCCCTTTTCCCTTGCTGTCCATATCTACAGAGTTATTTTCCTTAAAGGAACTTTCAGAATATGTTACAAGTCTGTGTCCATGAAAATACTGGGCAGCCAGGTATTGATGACCACACATTTCTTTTAGTCATATTTTCTTTTGAGCTCATAAACTATTTCGGAGTTATGGGAAGAAAGCTTTAAAGCTTTCAGCTTCTCATTCTCAAAGAAAATGAAATCAAAGAACAAAAATGAAATTTACCAAAGGTCACCAAGGTGGTGACCTTTATGTAGATACAGACTTGGGTCTGTTTCCCAACTTAATATCCAGGGATTTTTTTTCTAATTAGACTTTAAGCATGTTGACTAGTAAACTATAAGTAACAATGATCACGTGGAAGTTGTTTAATGAGTTGTTTCCAGGGAAGGCACTAGTGGCTCATTTTTTCAGTCTACCCGAGGTCCCTGTACTTGAATGTTTGAGAAGCACTTTGTTTCTTTTAAAGATTTATTTTACTTGGATTTTAATTTTTATCTTTATTTTTAGAGAAAACATCTTGCTCTGTTGCTCAGGCTGGAGCGCAATGGTGCCATCGTAGCTTACTGTAACCTTGAACGTCTGTGCTCAAGCAATCTTCCTGCCTCAGCCTCCTGAGTAGCTGGGACTACAGGTATGCATCACAATGCCCAGCGAATTAAAAACAACCTTTTTTTTTTTTTTTTTAAGAGATGGGGTCTCACTCTGTCACCTAAATTGGAGAGCAGTGGCACTGTCATAGCTCACTGTGGCCTTGAAGTTCTGGGCTGAAGCAATCCTTCTGCCTCAGCTTCCTGAGTGGCTGGGACTACAGGCATGAACCACTACATTCGGCTAATTTTAATTTTTTTTTGTAGAGACAGGGTCTTGTTCTATTGTCCAAGCTGGTCTTGAATTCCTGACCTCAAGCAATCCTCCTGCCTCTGCCTCCCAAAGCACTGGGATTATTACAGGTATGAGCCACCGCACTGGGCCGTCATGCTTACTCTTCGGAGAGAGAAGTGAAGTATCTGAACGCCTCAGCCTGAGAATGGGTCATTTGCAAAGTAAATAAAGGCAATGCCAAACGTCAGTACAACAAGCAATTGAACAGAATGATTGCAAACTGCTAATGAAGGAGAAGGCAAGGTGCGGTTAGGATGAACTGTAGAAGGACCCGTCCCCTAGAGCTCATTGAGCATCCACCCTGCTGTCCGGCTGTCCTCTCCATAGGGGGCTCGATGGTCTTTGCCGACTTGAGGAAATAGGTCACTGTATTGCAGCAGATCCTTGGTCGTGGGGCTGGGTTGGTCATTGCCACTATTTTATGGGATGGGGAATTTGGAAGATTATGAAGTGTCAGCTGGTTGCCCTTGGACATGCAGTGAGAGGGAGGATTCTGTTTTGCTGGAATTTATAGTTTTTCTTTCTTTCTTTTTTTTTTTTTTTGAGACAGAGTCTCGCTCTGTCGCCCAGGCTGGAGTGTGCAGTGGCTCGATCTCGGCTCACTTCAAGCTCCGCCTCCCGGGTTCACGCCTTTCTCCTGCCTCAGCCTCCTGAGTAGCTGGGACTACAGGTGCCCGCCACGACGCCCGGCTAATTTTTTTGTATTTTTAGTAGAGACGGGGTTTCATCGTGTTAGCCAGGATGGTCTCGATCTCCTGACCTCGTGATCCGCCCCCCTCGGCCTCCCAAAGTGCTGGGATTACATAAGAGACCATGAGGCAGGGGCGCAGTGGCTCATACCTGTAATCCCAGCGCTTTCGGAGGCTGAGTAGGAAGGATCACTTGATGCCAGGAGTTCGAGACCAGCCTGGGTAACATAGTGAGACCCTCATTTCTACAAAATATAAAAATATTAGCCAGGCATGGTGGTGCATGCCTATAATTTCAGCACTTTGGGAGGCTGAGGCAGGAGGATCGCTTGACCCCAGGAGTTGGAGGATGCAGTGAGCTATGATTGCTTCACTGTACCACAGTCTGGGTGACAGAGAATGACTATATCAAAAAAAAAAAAAAAAAGATCTGGTGGTACAGTTGCCCACCCCACCTCATATCACTGGAGTTTCTTGCTTGGCCCCACATTCTCTCCATAGTCTGACAAGAGAAGAGCCTTTGGGGTATTTTTTTTTTTTTTTTAAGATGGAGTCTCACTCTGTCACCCAGGATGGAGTGGAGTGGGATCTTGGCTCACTGCAACCTCTGCCTCCTGGGTTCAAGTGATCCTCCCACCTCAGCCTCCTGAGTAGCTGGGACTATAGGCGTGTGCCACGACACCTGGCTAATTTTTGTATTTCACTATGTTGGCCAGGCTGGTCTTGAACTCCTGACCACACGTGATCCTCCTGCTTTGGCCTCCCAAAATCCTGGAATCACAGGCATAAGCCACCGTGCCTGGCCTGGGGTGTCTTTATCCTAGACTTTCCCACTTTCTTGTATCCTTGTTGCCTATCCACGTGAGTCTCCTTGGCTCTGGCGTCTGCTTAGTCCTGCCACTTCTAATACCTGATGTGTTCCTCCCTGGAGGTAGCATGACTTAGCAGAAAGAGCACAGCCTTTAGAGCGAGGCACACTAGGTTTGAAACCTAGCTCCCCATTTACCAGCTGTGTGACCCTGGGAAAGTCACTTAACCTCTCTGAGCTTCCAGTCCTCATTTGTAAAATTGGGAACAAGAGTACATAGGGGCTGGGCGCGGTGGCTCATGCCTGTAATCGTAGCACTTTGGGAGGCTGAGGTGGGCAGATCACCTGAGGTCAGGAGTTTGAGACCAGCCTGGCCAACATGACAAAACCCCTCTTTAGTAAAAATACAATAATTAGCTGGGTGTGTTGGCAGGAGCCTGTAATCCCAGCTACTTGGGGGACTGAGGCAGGAGAATTGCCTGAATGTGGGAGGCAGAAGTTGCAGTGAGCCGAGATCACAGCACGACACTCCAGCCTGGGCGACAGAGTGAGACTCTGTCTCAAAAAAAAAAAAAGGGGTGCATTGGGATTGTTGTGAGGATTCAATGGGACAGTGTATGCAAACCACCTAATACAAGGCACATAGTAGGAGCTTATTATGGTGATGGGGTGGCATTGGCCACAGGGCCTTGGGCTCAGCCTGTCCCTCTGTCCCTCTGATCTGGATGGGTGGGTATCCAGGGAAGTACCCCTACTTGATAGGCCTCAAGCCCTCCCTCCTTGTGTCCAGATCCTTTCAGCACCTGCCTCCACGTCCTGCCCCTCTGCCCTCTCTCCCTGGCATGATCCTGGCCTTCCAGTCACATCCCAAAATCACTTTGCCTGGTTTCCTTTGGGAAGCAAAGCCTGTCTGGGGCCCTCCATAGACAGAGAAGCTGTGAAGGAGATAAATGCTGAAGAAGGGGTGAGGAGACAGACTCAGGGGCCAATCAAAGTCAGGAAACAGGCTGGGTGTGGTGGCTCATGCCTGTAATCCCAGCACTTTGGGAGGCTGAGCCGCGGATGACCTGAGTTCAGGAGTTCGAGACCAGCCTGGCCAACATGGGGAAACCTCATCTCCACTAAAAATACAAAAATTAACCGAGCATGGTGGTGCATGCCTGTAATCCCAGCTACTCGGAAGGCTGAGACAGGAGAATCACTTGAACCCAGTGAGCCGAGATCGCTTCACTGCAGTCCAGCCTGGGTGACAGAGCGAGACTCCATCTCAAAAAAAAAAAAAAAAAAAAAAAAAAGGCTGGGTGTGGTGGCTCACGCCTGTAATCTCAGCACTTTGGGAAGCTGAGGTGGGTGGAACGCTTAATGTCAGAAGTTCAAGACCAACCTGGCCAACATGATGAAACCCCGTCTCTACTAGAAATACAAAAATTAGCCAGGCGTGGTGATGCACAACTGTAGTCCCAGCTACTCGGGAGGCTGAGGCACGAGAATCGCTTGAACCCAGGAGGAGGAATTTGCAGTGAGCTGAGATCATGCCACTACACTCCAGCCTGGGTGATAGAACGAGACTCTGCCCACCAAAAAATAAAAAGCCAGGAAACACACATACTCACACCCCTGCATCCAGACTCACACCAGAGTCACCCACACCCACATCCAGGCACACACTCACACAAGAACACACACCCGAAGAGACAGAGAGGCGCTCATTCTTGACAAACTTATACAGGATTTTGCAATCTGAAAATTCAGAATAAGGCTATTTGAATTCCAGTATCAATATCAGTTTTGTGTCATTCTGCAAAATACTGTTTTGTTGTGAATTGAACAGTGAGGGGCTGGGACAGTGACTGGGGGCATCACCATAGTCAATGCTTAGAGCCTCAAAAGGTTGTAATCTGGCTCTGGGGAGGAGTGAGGCTGAGCTGAGTCTCCCACGGTCTTTAGAATGTGTCCTGGCAGGAGGACTGAGAACAGGCTGGTCAGGACTGGAGTCAGCTAATGGACAGACAGGGACCAGAGACTGTTGCTGGGGGAAATGCGGCTTTATGCAAGTATCTCGGGCTGGGCAGGGGAATCACCCAGACTGCTTACCCCTCACTCCTCATGCTCAGCATGTCAAGGGCCCAAGTCTTCCTTTTCTGTCACTCTCTCTGTCATTCCTGAATAGATATCACCCTATAGATGTCTGATGTGAAATTGCATTGGCAGTAATAGGACATGGGTCTGTCCTGGGTGCAGGATGAAGGCAGGAAGGCTGATAGAACAGATTTTTATGATCATACATCCCACTGGGGTGAATGCAACATCATCCCATGTTATATTGGGGACTAATTCAGTCCAGCCATTTCCAGGACCTTTGCTGGGAGGTTGAAGCCTCAGGGCTCAGTGCCAGCTGGCTGGGGTGAGATTGGGAGCAGTCCATTAGCCATGAGTTGCCGATCTGCATCTGCACCTGCTCCAGCTGGGCTTTGGCAGCCGTGATTCCTGAACTGATGCATGGCTCTGCTTGCATGGACCAAGCTTGCAACATCTTTCCACAATAAAACCGTGATGGGAGTTAATAGTGTGAATCGCTGTTCAATTGAACAGGGTCCATAAAATGTTTATGAGGCATAACCAAGGGGGCTGAATGGGTGGCCAGCGCTTGGCTTTTGGCCAGGGGTAACACCTGGGGTGTCCCTAGCCAGGGCGATATCTTAAGAATTTCTGATGTTGTGCACTCAGATCGACTTCTTTTAGAACTGTTCCAAGGTGTTTAGGAGGTAGACTTATTCACTTGGGAAGTCTTTCTTTGTTTTTTGTTTTTTTAGAGACAGAATCTTGCTCTGTCACTCAGATTGGAGCACAGTGGTGCAATCATAGCTCACTGCAGCCTCAAACTCCTGGGCTGACATGATCCTCCCACCTCAGCCTTCAGATTAGCTGGGACTACAGGTGTGGCTGATTAAAAATTTTCTTTTTTTGTAGAGACAGGGTTTCACTATATTGCTCAGCCTGGTCTTAAACTTCTGGGCTCAAGTGATCTTTCCATCTCGGCCTCCCAAAGCACTGGGATTACAGATGTGAGCCACCAGCACACCCGGCCATCATTTGGGAATTCTTGCTGGTGGTTATTAAATCTGCTAATGTCCTTAGTTTCTTCTACTAACATTCAGAGCATTCTAGTTTCTGGGAGAGTAAGTAGAAACCACCGGATATACAATTGCATTAGTCAGGATTACTGTTACTAGTTGCTGCAACTAAATAGCCTTAAATCACCACTGGTTTACACAACACAGGCTTATTCCTTGCTCATGCTGCATCTCCAGTGAGAGCCAACAGGAGTGTCTCTCTGCTCCATATAGTCACTCAGGGCCCCAGGCTAGAGGAGACATTACAGAAGACATGTTGTCTTTGAGATCTCTATGGAAGGAAGAGAGGAATGGATGAGGCATGCTGGCCTTAACTGCCTTGACCTGGAGGTAACACATGTCATTTTTGTCACAGTCTCTGAGAGAGGAGAAAGAAACCGGACAGGCAGGCAGTTAGAGTGGGTCCTCAGTTGAATTCTTTCAAACAAAAGAACAGCCTGAAAAATCAAGCTGCAGGCACAAATAAGGGAACTTGCACAGGGGGGCTTGCCTGAGACATGCGCACAGCTCCACAGATAAAAAAGCCTACACAGGTGACTTGCCTAGACATGCCCACAATGGAAAAGTACATCTCCTGACAAATGTGCAGTAAGGGGAACAAAGCAATATAGAGAACTCAAGCTAAGGGGCTGCATGTGCATTAGGAGAATGGGGTGGGGAGCTACCAGAAGTTTGTGCCTTTATGCAAATGAGATACCCAGCCCTCATCAGTTTCTTATAAAAGCCTTTGCATTCAACTGTAAAAACAGCAACCCATTTGGGCTCCCTCTCTGCTGCAGAGAGCTTTCTTTCACTTATTAAACTTTCACTCCTACCTCACCCTATGTGTCCACGCTCCTTAATTCTCTTGGTCATGAGACAAAGAACTCCGACTGACACCTCACAAAGAGAGACTGCTACATTGTGGTGCATTGGGGAGACTGCAACATCTCTGTGTGGAAAAAACAGTGTTTTTTTGAGGCTCTCTCTCTTGCACAGACTGGAGTGCAGTGGCACGATCTCGGCTCACTGCAACCTCTGCCTCCTAGGTTCAAGGAATCCTCTCACCTCAGCCTCCCAAGTAGCTGGGATTACAAATGTGTGTCACCACACCCAGCTCATTTTTGTATTTTTAGTAGGGGTTTCACCATGTTGGCCAGGCTGGTCTCGAACTCCTGACCTCAAGTGATCTGCCCAATTCGGCCTCCCAAAGTGCTGGGATTACAAGCGTGAGCCACCACACTCAGCCACAAGCTGGTTTTTCTCTGCTCTCACCCCACAACAACCAACACGGAAGACTTCTGTGACCAAATGTTTAGGGATTTCTCCCCACTAGCAAACACGTAATTCATTCTGCAGCAGATACTAGCTGGGCATCCTCTCCTTGGAGACAGCATCTGATCCCATAGGTTGAGAAATCAGCCCCCAAGACTACTCCCTACTTTGATGCCAATCACAAGCCCCAGGTTGTTTTATCTGTGCTTCTGACTGGTGACTATAAATCAGGGTTCCCACAACTCCCTCTTTGGGTTTGCTTAATTTGCTGGAGTGGCTCACAGAACTCAGGGAAACACTTACATTTACTGGTTTATTATAAAAGATGTTCCAAAGGCTACAGAGGAAGAGGACTGTGAACCCCGAGCATTTGAGACAGGTCTCGGTAAATTTAGAAAGCTTATTTTACCAAGGTTGAGGATGCACACCCATGACACAGCCTCAGGAAGTGCTGACGTCATGTGCCCAAGGAGGTCGGGGCACAGCTTGGTTTTATGCATTTCAGGGAGACGTGAGACATCAATCAATATATGTAAGAAGTACATTGGTTTGGTCTGGAAAGACAGGACAACTTGAAGCAAAGGCTGGAAGACTGCAAGCAGGGAGGAGGCTTCCCGGTCATAGGTGAGAGAGGAATGGTTGCATTCTTCTGAGCTTCTGAGTAGCCTTTAAGGCAGTCAGATATGCATCTATCTCAGTGAGCTAAGGGATGACTTTGGATAGAATGGGAGGCAGATTTGCCCTGAGCAGATCCCAGCTTGAAGGAGCTCAAGATATTTTCCTTTCACAGGTGCATAGGGTGAGGTATGGAGGAAGGGATGGAGAGATTCCATGCCATCCCTGGGTGCAACACCCCCCCACCCCCACTAGGAATCTCCACTTGTTCAGCCTTCTGGAAGCCCCCTGAACCCAGTCCTTTAGGGTTTTTATAGAATCATTACATAGGGCATGATGGATTAAGTGACTGGCTGTTGGTGATTCAGGTCACCGTTGAGCCCATCTCTCCTCCCTGGAGGTTAGGGGTGGGGCTGAAAGTCCCAACCCTCTAATCCTTCCTTGGTCTTTGGGTGACTTAGCCCCTATCCTGAAGCTACTCATTAACATACAAAAAGATGATCACTTTAAGGATTCTAAGGCTGTTGGGAGTTGTGTGCCAGGAAAGGGGACGAAGACTAAATATATATTTTACAAGTTCACACAGTCCATTGGTCTAAACTGGTTACACATTTTCAAGTGGTTTGTAAGGAAGGCAGGGGACGATCAGGGTACAGAGGGCACACTTGGTGAGCATGAACTTGTCTGCACAGCTGCTTCCCCCTGGGATTCCCTGGCATTTTGGGAGGTGGCAGCATGTGGCCACGGCAGACACCCTCTTTATTAGCACGTTGCTGTGGGCTGGTGTCCACCATCTGGCCTCCAGGAGTCAGCCCACCTATGGAAGGCAGTGACATGCATTGATATAAAAGCAAGCCAGGCATGGTGTCTCACACCTCTAATGCCAGTACTCTGGGAGGCTCAGGCAGAAGGAGTACTTGAGGCCAGGAGTTCAAGACCAGCCTGGGCAGCATAGCAAGATCCTATACTAAAAAAATTAAAAAATAAGGCTGGGCACGGTGGCTCACACCTGTAATCCCAGCACTTTGGGAGGCCAAGGCGGGAGGATCATGAGGTCAGGGTATCAAGACCATCCTGGCTAACACGGTGAAACCCCGTCTCTACTAACAATACAAAAAATCAGCCGGGCGTGGTGGCATACACCTATAGTCCCAGCTATTTGGGAGGCTGAGGCAGGAGAATTGCCTGAACCTGGGAGGCGGAGGTTGCAGTAAGCTGAGATTGTGCCACTGCTCTCCAGCCTGGGTGACAGAGCGAGACTCTGTCTCAAAAAATAAATAAAGAAAGCAAGAAAGAAAAGAAAAAAAATAAAAAACTTACCCAGGTGTAGTGGTGTATACCTGCAGTCCCAGCTACTCGGGAGCATGGCTTGGGACCAGGAGTTGGCGGCTGCAGTTAGCCATGATTGCACCAGCACACTCCAGCCTGGGAGACAGAGTGAGACCCTGTCTAAAAGTACCGGGCAGTAAAAAAGTCAGAATATAAGTCTTATACTAAAAACGTCAGTAGATCACAAACAACATAAGTAAACCTGAAAAACATTATGCTGCTTAAAAAAAAAAATCTTAGACTGGGCACTGTGGCTCATGCTTGTAATCTTAGCACTTTGGGAGCCTGAGGTGGGAGGATTGCTTGAGGCCAGGAGTTTGAGACCAGCCTGGGCAACATAGTGAGACCCTATGTCTTAAAAAAAAAAAAAAGCCAGGTGTGGTGGTATGTGCCTGTAGTCCCAGCTACTCAGGAGGCTGAGCTGGGAGGATCGCTTGAGGTCAGGAGGTCGAGGCTGCAGTGAGCTATGATCGCACCACTGCACTCCAGCCTGGGAGACAGATTGAGACTCTGTCTCTATTAAAAAAAGCAGGCCCAACCCAAGGGTGTCTTCTCTTTGGGGAGTTACTCTCCTCATACTGCCTCCATAAGGTCCATTCCCCAAAAAGGAGCAGCCCCCTCTCATTGCTGTCCCCTGATGGGACATCCAGATCACCCAGGAAAGCTAAAAACAGTCAGCTCCGGGGCTCTGCCTAGAGATTCTGAATGGACGGCTCTGCGGTGAGGCTGGGTTTTGGAAAAACTCTTGTGCTCGTGATGCAGTCAAAGGAAGGTCCGCGGGTGAATCATTCTGTGAAGCCAACTTTGCAAGATTCCTGAGGACAGACTGTGTGACCTGTCCCTGTCCCTGCAGCCCATGGGCGGAGGCTTCAACACACATTTTACAGTTTACAATGAACTTTATTTTTTAATTTTATCGATTCAGGGACTCACTCTGTCACCCAGGCTGGAGTGCAGTGGCGCAATCTGGGCTCACTGCAACCACCACTTCCCAGGCTCAAGCAATTATCCTGCCTCAGCCTCTGGAGTAGCTGGGACTACAGGTGTCAGCCATAACACCCAGCTAATTTAAATTTTTTTTTTTTTATACAGATGGGGTTTCAACATGTTGGCCAGGCTGGTCTCGAACTCCTGACCTCAAGCGATGTGCCTGCCTCAACCTCCCAAAGTACTGGGGTTATAGGTGTGAGATACCGCGCCCGGCCCACAAGGCACTTTTGATTACATTCATTTAACTTTTAGCAGGTGTCTGCTGTTTTTCAGGGTCTCATTTGCTGTCTAAGGCAATATCCGAATGCTAGTTATTATTGCAATGGCAATTATGTCATTCCCATTTTATAAAGGAGGCGACCCTAGGTGATTGGCCAAAAGTTGTGAAGCCAAGTGACCGAGCTGGATCTAAAACTCATTTTTAATCCAACTTTTTATTTATTTGTTTTTAGAAACAGGGTCTTGCTCTGTTGCCTAGGCTGGAGTGCAGTGGCATGATCACAGCTCACTGCTGCCTTGAACTTGTGGGCTCAAGTCATCCTACTGCCTCAGCCTTCCAAGTAGCTGGGACTACAAGCATGTATCACCATGCTCAGCTAATTAAAAAAAAATTTTTTAAGATGGCCGGGTGTGGTGTCTCATGCCTATAATCCCAGCACTTTGGAAGGCCGAGGCGGGCAGATCACCTGAGGTCAGGAGTTTGAGATTAGCCTGGCCAACATGGTGAAACCCCAACTCTACTAAAATACAAAAATTATCTAGGTGTGGTGGTGGGTGCCTGTAATCCCAGCAACTCAGGAGGCTGAGGCAGGAGAATCGCTTGAACCCAGGAGGTGGAGGTTGCGGTGAGCTGAGATTGCACCACTGCACTCCAGCCTGGGTGACAGAATGAGACTCCCTCTCAAAAAAAAAAAAAAATTTTTTTTTAAGAGATAGGGTCTCACTATGTTTCCCAGGCTGGTCTCAAACTCTTGGCCTCAAGCAATCCTCCTGTCTTGGCCTCCCAAAACATTGGGATTAGAAGCATAAGCCGCTACACCCAGCCTTCTCCCAGCTCTGTATTTGGCCATCTCTTCATTAAGACAAGCCACTTCTGACCAGGTTCTCTGCTTCCAGAAAGATATCACTCCCCACCCTTATTGGAGAAGTGCTTTCTCCACCCTCCACCCCCCGCCATACCTCCATTACCTGCCACACAGGTTCTATTCCAAGTCTTCTCAGTGCAAATTGGATGGGTTAATGAAGAAGGTGCTGACATGTGAGGTATGACATCTCACTTGGAATAAATTATGGGTCCCTCTTTTATTTAATGAAAGCAAATTTAAGTGTAGAAATCATCTGAAACAGATGGTTCAGCAGAGCACTTTGTATGAGAACCGAGGTCACAGCTAACACTGTAGACGGTAGGTTTATACATTAATTGTGACAGGCTTTGGGCAGATAGTGAAAAAGTACTTGGTACTAAAAATATCAGAATATAAGTCTTGTACTAAAAAAGTCAGTAGAACACAAACAACATAAATAAACCTGAAAAATATTGTGCTGCTTAAAAAAAATATTAGGCTGGGCATGGTGGCTCATGCCTGTAATCCTAACAGTCTGGGAAGCCAAGGCAGGCAGATTGCTCGAGCCCAGGAGTTTCGGATCAGCCTAGGCAACATAGTGACACCCCATCTTTACAAAAATTAAAAAAAAATTAGCCAGATAGAGTGGCGTGCTCCCAGCTACTCGTGAGGCTGAGGCAGGAGGATCACTTGAACCCAGGAATTTGAGGCTGCAGTGAGCTATGATCACTTCACTGCACTCCATCCTGGGCGACAGAGCAAGACCTTGTCTCTATAAAAACAATGAAAAAAAATCTTAGATCAAACGGTCTATAATGTATGATTTCATTTAAGTTCTGGAACTAGTAAAACCAACCTATAGCCATAAAAATCAGATCAGAGGACCGGGCACGGTGGCTCACGCCTGTAATCCCAGCACTTTGGGAGACTGAGGTGGGCAGATCACGAGGTCAGGAGATTGAGACCATCTGGGCCAACATGGTGAAACCCTGTCTCTACTAAAAATACAAAAAATTAGCTGGGCGTGGTGGCAGGTGCGTGTAGTCCCAGCTACTCGAGAGGCTGAGGTGGGAGAATCGCTTGAACCCGGGAGGTGGAGGTTGCTGCAATGAGCTGAGATTGCACCACTGCACTCCAGACTGGGTGACAGAGTGAGACTCCGTTTCAAAAACAAAAAAACAAAAAAAAAACCCCAGAAATCAGATCAGTGGTAGCTTTTAGGGAAAAGCTATACAGGCAACATTGTGGGGTGATAAAATGTTCTGTGTCTTGACAGAGGTGCTGGTTACGTGGGAATTTGATTTGTCAAAACTGATTGAATGACACAGGTAAGATCTGTGCATTTGGCTATGAGGAAATTATCTCTGAAAAATAAAAGTCAGTAACTAACACAATATGCTGGAAGATGAAAGGTAATGAAGTAACTTGAATGAGAGTTACTTTTCTTTATAAAGAAAAGAGGTTTAATTGACCCACAGTTCAGCATGGCTGGGGAGGCCTCAGGAAACTTACAATCGTGGTGGAAGATGAAGGGGAAAGCAAGGCACCTTCTTCACAAGGTGGCAGGAGGGAGAAGTGCTGAGCGAAGGGAGAAGAGGCCCTTATAAAGCCATCAGATCTCATGAGAACTCACTCACTATCATGAGAACAGCATGGGGGAAACCACCCCCATGATTCACTTACCTCCACCTGGTCTCTCCCTTGACACGTGGGGATTATGGGGATTTGGGGGATTATAATTCAAGATGAGATTTGGGTGGGGACACAAAGCCTAATCATATAATTCCACCCTTGGCCCCTCACAAATCTCATGTTCCTTTCAAAACCAATCATGTCTTCCCAACAGTCCCCCTAAGTCTTAATTCATTCCAGCATTAACCCAAAAGTCCAAGTCCAAAGTCTCATCTGAGACAAAGCAAGTTCCTTCTGCCTATGAGCCTGTAAAATCAAAAGCAAGTTAGTTACTTCCTAGATACAAGGAGGGGACAGGCATTGGGTAAATATGCCCATTCCAAATGGGAGAAAATTGGCCAAAACAACGGGGCTACAGATCCCTTGCAAGTCTGAAATCCAGCAGGGCAGCCAAATCTTTTTTTTTTTTTCTTTTTTTGAGACAGAGTCTCCCTCTGTCACCAGGCTGGAGTGCAGTGGCGTGATCTTGGCTCACTGCAACCTCCACCTCCTGGGTTCAAGCGATTCCCCTGCCTCAGCCTCCTGAGTAGCTGGGACTGCAGGTGCACACCACCACACCCAGTTAATTTTTTTTTTTTTTGTATTTTTAGCAGAGATGGGGCTTCACCATGTTGGCCAGGACGGTCTCGATCTCCTGACCTCATGATCCGCCCACCTTGGCCTCCCAAAGTGCTGGGATTACAGGTGTGAGCCACCACGCCTGGCTGGCAGTCAAATCTTAAAGTTCTGAAATGATCTCCTTTGACTCCACGTCTCACATCCAGGTCATGCTGGTGCAAGAGGTGGGCTCCCATGGCCTTGGGCAGCTCTGCCCCTGTGGCTTTGCAGGGTACAGAAGACTGCTAAAGAGTCAGAAGGAAGAAGCACCACAAGGAGATGATGGATCCCTGACCAAGCAAATCCATCAATTTTAATCCTAAAATTAAGCCTACTGGCCAGGTGCAGTGGCTCACACCTGCAATCCCAGCACATTGGGAGACCAAGGCAGGTGGATCACTTGAGGCCAGGAGTTTGAGACCAGCTTGGCCAACATGGTGAAACCCCGTCTCTACTAAAAATACAAAAAATAGCCGGGCATGATGGAGTATGCCTGTAGTCCCAGCTACTCGGGTGGTTGAGGCACAAGAATTGTTTAAACCCGGGAAGTGGAGGTTGCAGTGAGCCGAAATTGAGCCACTGCACTCCAGCCTGGGCAACAGAGCGAGATTCTGTCTCAAAAAAAAAAAAAAAAAAAAAAAAAAAAAATATATATATATATATATATATATATACACACACACACACACACACAATTATATATATATGTGTGTGTGTGTATATCTATCTATCTATCTATCTATCTATCTATCTATCTATCTATCTATATACATATACACAAAATTAAGCCTACAAATATCTCTAATCCTAGCCCTGGTTTTAGCCCTACCCTTATCCCTAACCCTAAGACTAATCCTGCTCATAACCCTAAACCTAGCCTGAATCCTAGCCGTAGCCATCACTTAACCCTAACTTAACTCTAGTCCTATCCCTAACCCTACCCCTAAATCAAATCCTAATCCTAAAAACAGCCCTAGCTTCAATCCTAACTCTACCATAAGCCCTACTCTAGCCCTAAACCTAATGCTAAATCTAAGTGAGGTTTGCAAAATGAACCCGGTGAAGCTGATACTAAACTTTCCTCTTTTATTCTGTTGCACTCAGGCCAAATGAGTCTTGAGGAGTTGGGAAAAAAATGGGGCAGGGAGGGAAATCTTAGCTTCCTACTGCAGAGGCGACTTTCAGCATAAATCGTCGCCTTCCACAAGAAAGCCAACATGTTTCCAACAAGGAATCTAAATGGAATCTTTCCTGAGTTAAGAGTGCACAGGGCTGTTACCAGCACCCACTCTCACAACAGACACCGGAATCACAAATGTCAGGGCTGGAAGAGGCTGTCGGGCAGCCCTTGAGGGGATGAGAGACTGAGTACCATGAAGAGCTAGTGACTTGCCTGAGGTCCCTAAAGGAAATCAAATTCCATCCTGCACCTCCTCCAATAATACTGGCTTCCAGGCCAGGCGCGGTGGCTCATGCCTGTAATCCCAGCACTTTGGGAGGCTGAGGCAGGCAGATCACGAGGTCAGGAGTTCGAGACCAGCCTGGCCAACATGGTGAAACTTCATCTCTACTAAAAATACAAAAATTAGCCGGGTGTGGTGGCACGTGCCTATAATCCCAGCTACTCGGGAGGCTGAGGCAGGAGAATCACTTGAACCCGGGAGGCGGAAGTTGCAGTGAACTGAGATCGAGCCACTGCATTGCAGCCTGAGTAATAGAATGATGACTCTCTCAAAAGAAAAAAAAAAGCAAAAAACCGGCTTCCAGCATTTGTGAAATGGCGTGATCAGGTCAAGTATTAGTTCAGGCCATCTCCAGGGTCTCTTGTTTGTTTGTTTTGAGACAGGGTCTCACACTGTCATGCAGACTGGAGTGCAGTGGCATGATCATAGCTAACTGTGGCCTCCAACTCCTGGGCTCAAGTGATCTTCCCACCTCAGTCACCCGAGTAGCTAAGCCTACAGGCATGCACCACCATGTCCGGCTAATTTTATTTTTTTGTAGGGGTGGGGTCTTGCTATGTTGCCTAGGCTGATCTTGAATTCCTGGGATCAAGGAATCCTTCTGCTTTGGTCTCCCAAAGTGCTAGGATTACAGGTGTGAGCCACTGTGCCTGGCCAAAGGGGTGCATTTTGTGTGTTTATTTTTATTTTTATTTTTTGAGACAGAGTTTCACTCTGTCGCCCAGTCTGGAGTGCAGTGGCACGATCTCAGCTCACTACAGCCTCTCCCTCCCGGGTTCAAGCGATTCTGCCACCTCAGCCTCCAGAATAGCTGGGACTACAGGTGCCCACCACCACGCCCGGCTAATTTTTGTATTTTTAGTAGAGATGGGGTTTCACCATGTTGACCGGGCTGGTCTTGAACACCTGAACTCAGGTGATCAGCCTGCCTCGGCCTTCCAAAGTGCTGGGATTACAGGTGTGAACCACTGCGCTCAGCCAGCGGTGCATTTTTGAGTAGTAAATGTGGGGAACACGGCTATAGCACATAAACCCCAGCAACCATGCGGCTGCCACCAGGTTTGAGGGGACGCTGGTGGCCCCCTTCCACTGGGCAGCTTGCTCCTTCCGCCCTGTAATGTGATGTTCCTTGAAGTGTGCTTCAAATTCCTTAGCTATAACGTTTTATTTCAGAATAAAAATAAATAACCAGGTCAGGTAAAGAAAACTGATGGCAAGCCTTGCTGTGCGAGAGGAATTTTTTTTGTTTTTTTTTTTTACAGGTGACAATTCCCAGTTAAACATTTTCACACAGTCAAGGAGGGGGACAGCTTGGGCTCACAACAATGCTGCTAGAAAATCGGCCGGGCACGATGGCTCATGCCTGTAATGCCAGCACTTTGGGAGGCCGAGGCAGGCAGATCACATGAGGTCAGGAGTTTCAGATTAGCCTGGCCAACATGGTGAAAAGTCGTCTCTACTAAAAATACAAAAATTGGCCAGGTGTGGTGGTGGGCACCTGTAATCCCAGCTACTCAGGAGGCTGAGGCAGGAGAATTGCCTGAACCTGGGAGGTGGAGTTTGCAGTGAGCTGAGATCACACTACTACACTTCAGCCTGGAAAACAGAGTGACACTCTGTCTCAAAAATAAAATAAAATAAAATAATGGACTGGAAAATCACTCATGGGCCAAGCGGATTGCTTGATGGCTTGCCCAAGAGATATTTGAAAATATTAAGAGAAATAGGAATTATGGATCACGATGGGCCCTTCAAAGAGGAGAAGAACGATGCATCGTCAGCTTCTGCAGAAGATGAATGACAG